>NC_000006.12:40363030-40666060 GCF_000001405.40 Homo sapiens | reverse complement strand
TCTATGGGCTCAGAGTCCTAGGGTGTCTCCCTCTATTCTGGAAAGATCTATAGGGTCAGGTCCCTCCCAGCCCCCCTAGTTGGGTCTATACCTTCTTCCAGAGATCACAGCACAGAGCTGTCCAGTAACATTCGAGGTAAAGGCACCTGCCTCCAAGCAAGATGTTTCTCAAAAGTGACCCACATTCCTTATCTTGAACTGAATGAAAATGTTAATCAATAGATCTATTGCCCTGGCCCCTGGGTCTTTGAGCTGCACACACAGGGAATGCAAACTGATTATAACATTTAAACACACACACACACACACACACACACACACACACGACTGCTCCCATAGGGAGGCAGAGCAGACAGTTCTTTTATACCCAAAGCCTTGCACAACCTGTCTGTCCTCATCCTCATAGCTTCTCATCCTACCCTGTCCTCACTAACTTGGTCCTCCTCGATGAGGGTAGTACTAGCCCAGTGAGATCTTGGGGTCAGGCCATTTACTTTGGGGACATCCTTGCCAGTCCCACCCAAGGGTTAGACTCTACTTTATGGAGCTTCAGCCTTGTGAGACCCCTCAGCCCCCTTTTGACTGCTTCTCCATCTTTACCCATCCTCAGCCATTTGGAGCCCTGGTCACAAGGCTGCAGCTTAGAGATGGTACTGGAATAAGTTAAGACTTTTGGACTGTTGGGATGGGGGTAAATGTATTTTGCATGTGACATGAATTTGGGGGTTCCAGAGGGTGGAACACTGAGCTGGATTACATCCCCCCCAAATTCATATGCTGAAGCCCTAACCTCCAGTACCTCAGAATGTCACTAGACTAGCAAATAGGGTCCTTAGAGAGGTGATTAAGTTAAACTGAGGCTGTTAGTGTGGGGCCTAATCCAATTTGATTTCCTTATAAGAAGAGGAGCTTAAGAGGACACAGAGAGATACCAGGAGCCCACGTTCACAGTGAGACAACCCTCACTGTGAAGAGGCAGTGAGAGAGTGGCATCCGTAAGCCAAGGAGAGAGGCCTCAGAGGGAACCAGCCCTGCTGGCACCTTGGTCTTGAACTTTCAGCCTCCAGAACTGTAAGAAAATAAATTTCTGTTTTTTAAACAGAAAGCTATCTCCTGATAGCATTTTGTTATGGCTGCCTGAGAACACTAATACAACCTTCTTCCTGTTTGATTTCTCTTCACCTTTTTCTGTCCTCAGAAACTTGGGGTCCACATCACATCCCTGCAGCTCATCTTTGGGGTTGTAGAAGCTACTTCACCACAGATGTGAGGGCTTGGTGGGACAACCTCATACATATTTGCATTTCATACACATTTGCTGGCCCCTTGCAAGTGGCGCCCAACACTCATGCTCATGGTTGACTGGTAGATGCTGGCATGAGCCCAGATACCATGAAGAAGGACGAGTGATCTACCACCATGAACACTCTTAGCCTTTATTTTTAACTTGACTTTAATTCATGGTCCTAAAACCACTGAGCACCTCAGTTTGTTAAAGTAGAGCACAGGGATATGAAAGCCAAGATGATTATCTGTTACTCAGATATTTCAAGCTTGCATCTGGAGAAGATGAATGTGGACACTTGCAGGTGGGGCTTTCCATGTGCCTGTCCTTGGGTGAAGGTGCCAATACAACCCTTTCACTTATCCCACCTGCCTCTGGCCCCAGACGGGAAAAGCACATGCACCTTGGATGGCGGAATATAAGGATGAGTGAGATTATTGAGTCTGTGGTGACCCTTGAATGATTTACCTAACGGAGAGAGAGGAATTCTAAGGGCAAGAGGTCTTGGTCTTAGGGCTCCCTAGGTTGAAGGCTGTGGGTACTTCTCCCCTATCCGATGCTTGATAAAGCTGCTGTGGGAGTCTTAGTACTGTTAGAAGGACAGATCCCTACTCTATCCTCTCATTTACACTGCTGGCCTCAGGCAACTTCTTCACTCCTCTGAGCCTCAGTTTCTTCATCTCAGTTTCTTACCATCACACATGGTAACTGATGAAAGTTAGTGGATGCACATAGCAGGTCTTCGATAAATAGTAGTTGGTGAGGTCCTTAAACTCTCCGGCGTAAGCAATAAATGACCCACTCCCATCAGTCCCACACCCAGGCAGGGGTGGGCCTGAGCCTGGCCTGGGAGCAGAACTACAGCATGTCAGGGACCACTCTTCTTCCCCAGGCTAGCAGATCTGGATGGTGGTTCCAGTTTGGTACCCTGCAGTTTGCTGAGCCCTGCAGTTTTGACAGGTAGCCCTGGGAACCCAGCAGCTCCATGTGGAAGGAGCCTAATTAATCACTGTAGTAATGGTTCCGGCAGCCCCACTGCTCTGGGCCATGTGTCCTCCTGCAGCTGCTCACTCACCACCGTCTGCCAGAAAGCTCATGTGCACTCACCCTGCACCTCTGCCCCCCAGGCAGCTCGACTGGGGTCATACCAGACCAGGAAATGGACACCTGAATGCCTCTGACTTCTAGAGATATGGATGCCCCTATGCCCCCTCCTATTGGGCCTGCCTCCCTCGGCTCTTCACTTGTGAGCTGAGAGCTCTTCTTCCCCAGATAAAAACCCAAATGCAAGCAGGGATCGCACACACAACACAGTGAAGGCTGTGGAAGAGCACTGGATTTGGAGTTGAGAGACCATGGCCGGAGAGTCTGTGCTACCCTTACTGGCTGTGTGCACTTGGTAAGCCTCTCCACCTGTCGAAGTCTCAGTTTCCTTACCTGTGAAATGGCGAAAGTAAGATCCATCCTGACTAGCATGTAGGACAGAAGCAAAAGCTTCTGCTTCATAGATGCAAACTGCTTTAGGAGCCATACCAAACAATCAATAACTGGAGCTTTCACTGCATTTCATAAAGATCCCTCCCTGCATGATGGATAGAGATGGGGTACCCTCTGGCTCCTTTCTGTGGACCTTTCTGAGAAGTACATCACCTCAGCTGTGCCCACATTCTCTTGTGGATGAGCCTGGGGGGGTCCTGTGGATGTGGAGGTGGGGTCTGGAGGGCAGGGCTGCCTGGTTTCATTGTGAGAACGCAATGTGTGTTTGCGTCCCATCAGGGAAGACAGAACACTCCTAGTCTCAGGGCAGGTTCCCATGATTCACAGCATCTGAATCACTTCCCACACCCCCTCCCAGTCTGACAGGAGCCCTCTTGGCAGAGCCAATTTTGAGGGCAAAGAGACCCACAGACACCTGGAGATCCTGCTCTAGCCGTGGGACCTTCCAGTTTGGTTGGAGAGTATGGCCCAGCCTCTGAACCTTCCAGCCCAGGTGGGGAGGCCCCAGGTGCAGCATGGACCCTCACATCAGTCCAGTGAACAAAGCACCTGGAGATACCTACCAGGCAGTGAGAGCAAATGGACCTTTAGGGGCAGAGCGGCTGCCTGGAAGAGGGTCTATTCTTAGCCTGGCTTGGCCTCTTGTCAACTTACCCCAGGAGCCCCTCTGGAGGAAACCTGATCCCACACCCCTTCCTGAGCCATAGGTATAAACAGAGGCTTGCTCCCTGAATTTGAGTTGCTCAAGATCAAGGGGCACCGATCGCCCTGTGTGTTCAGCAGAAGGCACTCCCTGCTTCTCTGATTCAATTTATCTTTGAGGATAATTCTTTCCTCCGCAGATCGTTTTTCCAACCTCTCTAGAGCCAGTCTCAGCTCTTCCTTTTGTGAAATGGAGGGAGATTATTTGGTCTCCCTTTGTCCTGAGAACCAAAAGCTTTAAGGACAAATAATGATCAATAAAATACAACCTCTATCAAGGAAAGGTACTGGGAAACTGAATAAATCCCTCCTTTTAATAGGGATAGTTGACACATACAGCACTTACCATCTGCCAGGATTTGTCCTAAAAGCTTTTCATATATTAACTCACATCAGCCGTATGAGGTAGATACTCTTAATATCTCCATTTTATAGAAGGGGAAGTTGAGGCACAGAAAAGACTAGCCTGAAGTCCCACGATTAATAAGTAGTAAGACTGAGATTCAAACCCAGACAGCCTGACTCCAGAATCTGGGCTCTTGACCTCCAGGCTACTCCATCTCTAGCAGCTGAGGCTGTGTTCTGGCAAGGCTGTTTCTGTCTCCATCTCCCATGCTAGACTGTGCAGGGACCCAGCGTATTCCTCTTTGTCCTCCTAGCCCCAGGCATAGTTCCTGAACATATTTGCAACATAAATAAATAAATAAATGGGAGGCATAGTGACAGCTGCCACTGAAAAGGCATATTATCTGGGTCTAATCCAGGGGGATCCTGGATGCCTGGTGGTGAGAAGAGAGCAGGAAAGGCCCCACTGGGGGTATATTTGCTCTCTCAACACTGTGGTTGGACACGTTCTGCATTGGAGTCATGAGACATCTGCAGGATTCACCTGAGATCCAACCACATTTTTGTGCCTTTAGAACCTTTCCCACCTGCTCCTCTCCCTCCTCTGCCCTCCCTCCCACTGCAGGAAGGTCCATTGCAGCCACAGCTTTATGGTCCAGTGAGGCTGTCTGTGACACTCAGCACCCCCACCCACCATCAGCCACTGAGTATTCTGAGACCCATTTTAATTTCTATTGTTATGGTCGCTGGTATTATTTCTAATCCTCGAACCTTATTTTTTCCCTGGGGGAAAAGTTGTTTTACATGCTGAGGCTGGAAAGCTAAGTGTTCTGGAAGGAATTGGAAATAATCATGAGAACAAGCAGGTGGTGGTATGTGAGGCTCGCAGTAGGTGGATGAGGAAAAGACCCCTCTCCCCTGAGAAATGGTCCTGTTCCCAAAGCCCCTGGTGGGGTGTGAGGCTTAGAGAATGGGGTGTCTGCAGGCTGGGGAAACAGTGGAGGAGACAGATGGGGACGGTGGAGTTGGGGCAGGAAGGCCCTCCACTTGGGCTTGCTAGGGACACTTCTCTGCAGGTTGTGGGAGAAGGGGGATAAATATCACTGTGGTGTGTGTCGGTGGGGGAGATGGGCAGGCCTGCAGTATAAGATACAATGAGTTAAAAGAATCATTCACTGAGTAAAGAGAAATATCAGGAATCAAATTGCAGGGACAATTTCAAGCAATCATAAAGGGTTTTTCAAATATATTCACTGCTAAGAGCTACAGATGTCAGGAGAGAAAATTCGTTCACTTACCAATAATAGTTGCGGAGGCTGGGGGAGCAGGATGCAGACGTGGAAAGTACTTAACCAGCTTCCCCACCTCCTTTTCTCCTGGGATGCTTGGGTGTAAGGGAGGAGGGCTGAGTTCTGGGTGGGGAAGTGGCTCCTCCATTCACCAAAAAGGGTGGGGGAAATGGGTATGACTTGCCCCTGGGGAGTGAGGTGGCCAGGGCAGGCTGAACTGGAGGGAGGAAAAGCTTGGAGGGGAGAGAGAAGGACACTGTGGCCCCAACAGCCCAGCCCCAGCAAGACTCCCTCTTCCTCGCCAACCCATCCACAGGTTATGTGACTTAAGGTCAGGCACCATGCTCGGCATTGAGTAGGAGTCTTGTTGTTGTTGTCACGGAGAATTTATTGATGATTTGTGATGAGCAGAGCACTCTGCCAGTTGTATGACAGACTGGAGACCCTCAGAGACCTGGTACCTGCCCTGGGCTTACAACCTAATTAGGGGGATGAAAGCAGCATCCCAAGGGAAGTGAGAAAAATTTTCAGCACGACGCTGGAAGACGTGGAGACATTGTGATGGGAGATGAGCGTCATCAGTGGCCACCTCAGGCAGCCCAGTCAGGAAAACCTTCAGGGACACTCAGATATTAGCCCTGTCTATATAAGTTCTGCCAAAATGCCGCCTCTTCCTTTCAGGGACCCACCTGGTGCAACAGGAAGTATTAACCATTGCACAGACTCTACCTTCACCTGCCAGGATGAAGTCTAGGGCAATCATATCATCTAAAATGACCCTGGGCAATGAGTTGAAGCTGACTTGAATGACTCTGAGGGCAGAGGCAGTGTTATTTATCAGAGACTTTCCTAAAGTCAGGGACAAATTTAATCCTACCTTATCTAATATAGTCCTCATACCAATTCCCCAAACGAGCCTCAATCCCCACAGGATGATGTGAAAAGGATCGGGTGCCATCTTCAGTGGGTTAGGTTATAGGAAAGAAACCCAAGCTTGGGGAATCTGAATCTTGCGTGACTGAAAATAAGCATGCCTCCCCTTTGCTTCAGAAGAGACAATGGTTTATAAACTGGATAGTAAGTACATCCACCTTCTGCTGCAAAGGGAAATACTGTCTCTAGCTTTCAAGGATGTTTTTGTAGCAAACAAACATCCTGCAAAGGATAAATCAGAATGAGATGTGCAGAATTTCAAAAGGCCATGGATAATTGCCCCCCAACATTAACAAACTCTGCAGTGCACTTATTTATTATGCTTATTGTTTATGTCTATCTTTCTCTGCTGGAATGGATGCTCCATGAGGGCCAGGATTGATGCTTCTTTTGTTCACTGATGTATCTTCAATAACTAGAACACTGCCTCGCATATAGTAGGTGCTCAAAAAGTATTTGTTGAATGACTAATTCCACAAATGTTGAATGACTGCATGAGGAAGAAGAAAGCAGGGGCTTGGCGTCTCGCCACCAAGGAAGTTCCATTAAGGAATCCACAGCATGCTGTGGGGAGAAGGAATCTTGATGCTAAAAAGGTAACCTTTTCCTGTGTGCCTTGAGTTGGCATATGCCACATCTCTTCTGTGTGCTCTCCTATCTCTGCTGATGCCAACTATCAGTGCTCATGAGGCAGGGAAGGTTCCCAGGGAAGAGTTGGCTGGTTTTGACTTTGTTTCTGCAGCAGGCCACCTGTGTGTATCACCAGGCCACATGTGTGCATCACCGGGCAACAGGTGTGTATCACTAGGCAACATCTGTGTGTCACCAGGTAACATGCATGCATTATCAGGTTCCGGGCATCTAACCTGGGCCTCTCACCTCTCCCCTGCCTTTCTCAGGCTGGTAATTAAAAGTATCAAAGCAAAGTAGGGCTGTCTCATTACATGTCCTGTTTATGTGACTCTAAGGTACTTAGAGATGATTTGAAGGGCTAGGAAATCAGCAGCAGAAGTTCCTTCACCTCCAGCCTGAAGCTGGCAACCCTGAGGTAAGGACATCGGGACTGGGGCATGAATTAGTGTTAACATAAACCAATAAATGCATTCATGTAGGTGAGGAATTAAAAATAACCGAGATGCTGCACATTTCTCTTATTAATTAACTGTTCTAGTTAACTTTGCTGCTTGTAGAGACAAATCAAGGGTCCTAATAGTGGGACAATTTCCTCCTGATCTCTGTGGCACTGGAATGTGGCACCGTGCCTCAGTCAGCCCCTGTGGCCCAGCAGAGACCATGTGCAGTGGGGCTGCATCCTGGGGGGAGGCTTCTACAGCCACTTAGGAAGTTACCTCTGGGCTCTCTCTTGAAGCATAGAAGCGGTCCACAGAGGGGAGGGAAGGACAGGGGTTGGAACCAGCTAGCTCAGAACCCCTCATACGGAAGTGTTTGGTGATTTGACTCCTAAGGACAGGAAGCTGGGAGGGGAAGGTGAGGTTTTGTGACTGTGCCAGCCACCTGGAGCTCATCACATATGGCCCTGAGCTTTTGCTATTTCATTCATTCATTCATTCAACAAATATTTATTTAGCCTCTTTTAGGTACTAGGTGCTTTGCTAGCAGCAGGGATACCAAAACAACGAAGAATGACAACTTATGACCTCTATGAGAAGAAACTCCTAGCCTGGTACTGGAATAGAGCCGCTCTCACCATGAGGTGGAGGCCTCTGTCCCTATCACAGGCATTTTGGAGGTTAGGGTCCAGAAGAGGGAGGCAGATGGGCTGTATTCACCAAAATATGCAGGTTTCTGCCCACACACTCCCACCACAGCCTGGATTTGGACACAGTAGGACTTTTTTTTTTTTTTTTTTTTTTTTGAGGATAACAGAAAAACTGTCTTTTTCCAGGGAAGTTTTTCTACACAAACTTGCAAAGAAGTTTGGTGCACTGGGCCAGGGACTCAGGAAACTCAACTCTCGCTTCTGCTCTGCTGCAGACTTGCTGCATGGTCTAGGACAAATCACCGCCCAGTCCCAGACATAGCTTTTTTTCACTTATAAATTCTGTGGTTCCAGGATGCAGTCTGTCCTCCACCTTGCTTTTGTCTTCAGATAGAATTCCTTCACTCCGTGGCTGTGCCAGAGAGTGAGACTCAGGATGGTTCCAGAAGGTATGTAAGGGAGGCCAGGCTCCCCACAGCTCATGCAGAGAAGGCAGGAAAGAAGGGCTCTCCAGGGGGCTGTGGGGTTCCCAGGAAACTGAGTATGGATGACAGGAACAACTGTCCCAGGGACTCAAACTCAGGGCCAGCAGGGGCCAGGCAGGAATGTAGAATGAAGTGGGCTCAGGAGAGACTGTTGAACGAAAGACCCATGCCCCAGCTGAAAGGGGCAAGTGCTATTCAGCTTCTTCCAGGTTTTCTGGGCTGAAATTGGAGGCCCAAGGGTGTCAGATCTTCCATCATTTTAGAAGTTATAATTCAAATTTTTATGTTTAAAAAAATATGTTCATTTTAAAATGCTGGGCTTGAATTTAAAATATTTAAATGTTACTGTGTAGGCAAACAAAATATACCTGGGGACTAGGTTTAGTCCATGAATATGTCAACTAGAATTAGGTTTAGCCTGTAGTAATGGAAAACAAACAAATGAGCAAAATAGCTGTGGCTTAAATAGGATAGAAGTTTATTTCTCTCTCACTTCTAAGAAATCCAGAAGGAGTCAATTCTAGACTGCTAAAGTGTTACAGTGGTATTCAAGCTCCATCTATCTTGTTCCTCCACCATCCGTGGCCTCTATTTTCAACATTACCTCATCATCCAAGATGGTGGCTGGAGCCCTATCCATTATGTCTACCTTCTATCTAGCAAGTCAAGGGAAGGGAAGAAGAAGAGCATGCTATCTTTCTTTTAAAGACATTTTCCAGAAGTTGCACACTTTATTTCTACTCAAATCCATTGACCAAAACTTGATCACAAAGTTCATACCTAGTTGCAATAAAGGCCAGGAAAGATGGATTTATTTATTTATTTATTTATTTATTTATTTATTTATTTATTTATTTTGAGATGGAGTCTTGCTCTGTCACCCAGGCTGGAGTGCAATGGTGCTATCTCGGCTCACTGCAACCTCCAGCTCCCACGTTCAAGCGATTCTCCTGCCTCAGCCTTCTGAGTGGCTGGGATTACAGGTGCACGCCACCACGCCCTGCTAATTTTTTTTTTTTTTGTATTTTTAGTAGAGATGGGATTTCACTATGTTGGCCAGGCTGGTCTTGAACTCCTGACCTCAGGTGATCCACCCGCCTCGGCCTCCCAAAGTGCTGGGATTACAGGTGTGAGCCACTGCGCCCAGCCCAGAAAAATGGTTTTTATTTTGAATTTACGATGATCATGTATCCAATTAAGGAGCAAAAGTATTAGAACAATGGGAAAGGGGGAGAGTGAATTTTAAGTGACACTAATAGTTTCAGCCCCCGTTTGCCTTCAGTTTGAGACCTCGCAGACCCAGTCTGTTCTTCATGGTAGGGGCAGGAAAGGGGGTGTGGTATCTGTGCACTTGGAGACTGCCTAGTGAAAGGGGCAGGGCTGCTTTGGAGAAAGGTCTGCTCTCTTGTAGCGGACTCAAGTAGGACTGGCTCTGCTGAAATAATTCAATTTCCCTGGAAGCATGGCTGAAGGAGACCCTTTAGGGTTATTTATTCTTCAGTGTTTTACAGGAACAGAAGTTTTTTTTTTTTTTTTTTCCCAACAAGTATCTCCCAGTCACTGATAGTTAATATTCAGACAGTGCCACAGCATCCTCAGTCACACATTGGAAGAGCAGGGGTGATGCCTCAATCCAGCCCCTGCACCAGCATAGGGGCTCCAGAGAAAGGTGAGTGCTACTGCCTTATCTCCACCATGGAATGGGAGGGTAGAGAAATTTCAATTTCAGTTAGAGTGATTCAGGTAAAAAATCAAGATATCTAAGCTGAGTCATTAAAGAAATAGAACCAGCCACTAGAAGAGGGGGTGACATTTCTTTTACTTGTGAAGATGAGGCTCTGCGAGCTACCTGTCTGGAACAAGGTCTTGTATGCATCCAGAAAACATGCACTGTGTGCTAGTTATCAGATTCAGCTTGGGATGGGGTAGGGGGCACCAAGAGGAATGAGACATGGGTCATGTCCCTGGGGGACTCACCAAGAAAACTGGAACCCAGGAGGGAAGCACATGCCCCTCCAAGCTGCACCAGGAATCCCTTTACTTTCTGAGCCTGGTACAAAAACTACCATCCAGGCCTCCCTGTCCTTGGTGTCCAATTGGGAAGCTTGGCAGGAAATCAAAGGGCAGGGGAGACAGCAGTGGGGGTATTTCTTCCCAGCTCCCTCCCTGCTTCAGCTGAGCATCTTTGGCAGTGGCTGGCCCTATGCTCTTTTTCCTGGCTCTATAACCCAATGCCTCCAGCAATGCTATTTCCCCCTTCCCTTTTCCCTCTGGACACAGGTGTAGTAACCGCTTCCTGTTGTTGCCAGTACATGGATACTTCACTCTTCCTTACTAATTCTCTTAATCCTGCGCATCCCTCCATAAATTTCTTCATTAATGTCTCTTCATTTGAAACAAAGAAAGGCAGAAAAAGGGAGAAGAAATACCTAAACTTTGATCCTTCTCTGGAAATGACTGGTAGATATTTATGCCTTCCCCATAGCTGTCATAGAAAGACAATGATGAAAACTACTTGTCCACAACCTGCTCCTTGCTATGTATCGATCATCACCACAGAGAATCTTCATCATTGCTTATATCATCATCATCATCTTCACCATCACATCATCCTTATAACCATCATCATTGTCATCTTCACCATCACCATCACTATTAACATCATCATGATCTTCACCATCATCATCACTATCATTATTACCAGCATCATCATTATCATCTTTACCATCACTATCACCATCATTACCATTGTCATCTTCACTGTCATCATCACCATCACTATTACCATCATCATCATCATCTTCACCATCACCGCCACAATTATTACAGTCATCATCACCATCAGCATCACTGTCACTGTGGAGACTATTATCACCATTGCAACCACTTTTTACAGCATCATCACTGTCTTCATTATTACCAAAAACTACACATGCACTTTTGCAAAAGGCTCAACAGAGAAAGTGAACCTGCCCCTGTCTGTGGGAAAACTTGTCATTGATGATTATAACATATAATCTTTGCTAAGAATTTACCACATGCCAGGTGCTGTTCTAACCACTTTACCTGTATTAACCCTTTTAATCCTTGAACAAACCATTATGTAGGGATTGTCATTATTTTAATTTTATAGATAAAGAAACTAAGGCACTGATAGGAAGACCCTGAGAGAACAGCATGGAATGAATGAATTATCATAGGGAAAATGCCAACCATGTCTGAGCTGCTGGTGAGTGTGCTAGTCTGGAAGTTGAGGGGAGTTCCCTCCCACCCAGAACAGGGCTAAGGGGAGGTGTCAGTTAATATCTCCATTAACTGATCCACAATGATTTGGAGAGCTTTGCTGTCCTGACACACCTTCAGGGCCCAGACTCTGCACAAGGGCCTAAGATCAGCCTCTCCCTTGTGATGAGTTCAGCTTCTCAGGCTCACCCACCCTAACATGTCTCTGTTCCCAAAGGGAGAAGATGGCCCCTGGCCCCAGGCCTAGAGTACACAGGTAAACAACTGATATTTTCCCAAGTCAGTGAGTTGAATTATTCTAGTTCTTTCTGGAAATACAAGCCTGCACATCCTTCTCCTAGGCAGCTTCCCTCACCCTTTGGACACAGTGGGCTCTCTTCTTGTGCTCTTCTGCAGCTCCTTTTACAGTTCTTGTGTAAAATACTTAGTGCACTTGTGATCACCTGTTTAAACTGTGTCTTTTCACTTCAAACGGTCACCGCAAGAGAGCAAGAACTAGGCCTCTGATTCATGCCATGGTCCAGTATCATGCCTGCAACATGTAGCTGCTGAATGAATGAACAATGAAAATCCTGATTGCTCTCTGATACTATTACTACAGGTCTCAGCATCTTCCAGACTCTCAGCTTTCCCCTCTGAAAAATGGAAATAATACTCCAAATTTTGCTATGAATATTAAAAAAAACAAATTCTTCCTACCAGGTGAGTATATAGCTATGCAAGTTATTTTATTCTTGTAACAGCTTTTTAAGACTTCCATGGAATGCAGACTTGTCTCCAGCTTAGAGTGAGAGAGTGGAAATACTGAGTTAGTAAGTGCCATATAAAGAACTCTGGTCCCTTCCTAGCTCCTTATGGCTCCCAGCCTCAAAGGCCTGTCTAAAGGACTATATGACCCTCCTCTCTACCTGCCACAGAAGTGTAGAAGCTCCTAGGGTCCAAGTAGGAGTAGGAGGAAATGTAGGAAAACATGGGGTTCTGGCATCTCCCTGAGGGGTGAGTGTGAATTTGCTCTTCCTTACCGAGCTCCCATCCTGACTCACCCATCCTTCAGAAACCCAGTGGGTCTTCTACCTATTTGAACTGACCCTCCTGTAGGGACATTCCTCAACATCCCTGGGCTGTGGGCCTGGGTTCTAATCCTGACTCAGCTATACATTCCATGCAGGGAATGTCTCCAACATGTCACTGATGACCATGCCAGGGTTACCATGGCCATGGTATGATGGAGAAGACGAGGTCTGGAGAGACAAAACATTCTGCTTAGTTCTGGCAGGGCTAGGAGTAAAACTCCATCACCTGACTCCCAATCCAAGTCCCTTTCCAGTATATTAGAGCCAAAATCTTGGTAGGAAAGTTTTAGAGGAGTCGATGTATGAAAGTTTTTCTTCATTAAATTATTTAAAACTTTCCAACAAAAAGAATTGGTAGACACAATCTCCATAGTCCAACACTAGGTACGAAAACCAAGTTTAATGCGTTCTAATCAGGTAGTTCATGATGAAGGGTCAATCCATTCTGATAGGACCATAGAATCCCTGAAGATAAATGACTCAGAGTCCTCCATCAGACTGGGGCTCCCTGAGTCAGGGCTGTGTCTCCCCTCAGAATGGGGCCCCCCGAAGATGGGGCTGTGTCTTCCCTCAGACTGGGGGTCCCCAAGGAACGGGCTATGTCTCCCTTCATACTGGGGCTCCCTGAGGATGGGGTTATATCTCCCCTCAGGCTGGGGTTCCTTGAGGACAAGTCTATGTCTCCACTAAGACTTGGAGACCTTCTTGGGTACAGCTGTGTCTCTCTAGTATGGGGGGTATTTCTCAAGGCGGGGTTGTTTTTCCTCACCAGACTGAAGAATTTTCTGACAAAGAGACCACTCCTCTACTTTTAAGTAAAAACTTCAAAGGGAAACTGAGACTTTCTTGGATGAGCTACATAATTGTACTAAATCTCAATCTCCTCATTTATCTATGGAGCATAATAATATTTAACTTGCAGGATTATTCTGAGTGGCTGTGACTGTAAAGCATACATGTCAACTCTTTGACACTCCTTCCTTCAGGAGGTAGAGTCTCATTCCCCTTGACTATCCATTGACCTGTATGACTTGCATCTGATCAAACAAATGTGGCAGGGGTGACATTGCCTGAGTTCCAAGGCTGGGCAATAAAAGGTGACCTGACAGAACTTCCACGTGACCCCTCTCTCTGCCTGTCTCTGTCCCTCTTTCTCTCTGTCTCTGTCTCTTTTTGGTCACTTGTTCTTGGAACCTGGATGCCATGCTGTGAGGAAGCCAAGGAGCGTGAAAAGGCCACACGTAAATGTTCCCACTGTTGGCCCTAATAGAGGTCAGATGGCAGCTGGCATCGACTGTCAGGACTGCGACTGAGACGCTTCTGAGATGATTCCATTTGACTGTCACTAATGTACTAATGAGAGACCCTGAGAAAGAACCGCCCAACTGAGTCCAGTCAGTTCTCAGATTTGTGTGAAAAATAAATAACTGTTACTGTTTTGAGCCAGTGTTTGGAGGTGGTTTGTTAGACAGCAGAAGGTAACTGGAACAGTATTAAATGAAGTCAGTCACTTTATACCAAATGCCTAGCGCCATGTCTGGCACATTGTCAGTGTGCCAACACATAGCCATTCTGCAGTGCCCTGAGTTCAGAGCTGTGCACAGCAGGGTGGGTGTGCACACACTCTCAGGGATGCCTGACTCACACCTGGTGTTTGAAGATGCAGTGGGAGAAGATGGGCCTGGGTAGAGAAGGCTGGAGGAAGAACCTGGGGAGGGAATCAAAGACCACACAGGAGCTAACCTTGTCTGACAGTCGACAGGCATTGTACTAGGCATTCTGCAACATCACATCTCTTAATACTCACAACCGCACTCCAAGATAGGTTTCATCTCAACTTACAGAAGAGAAAACTGAGGCTTGAAGATGTGAGATGTGATTTGGTGCCTCCTCCATGAACTTGGTGCCAGTGAGCATACAAGCCAGGCAGTGTCCACTGTCCTGTGCCCTTCCCCACCACACCTCACTTTTCTTCCACCCCCACAATGCCTCCCTCTTGCTCTCGGCCAATCAATAAACAAGTAATTAGCAAGAGCCTTATCAGCACTGTGGTGCCAGGAAGTCCTTCCTGGTGCCTGCATCCATCTCCACTGCTGAAATTTCCTTAGTTTGTTGGAGACCAAGAAAATCAGCTCATTTTTCTTTAATAAATCTCCAGAGACCGAATAATTCTTGCTGAACTCCATGTTGCTCCCCATTTGCTGTCAGTTCCCTATGCCCCAATCCTCTAATGGAAGAACAGACTTCCTCTGGCCTCCCCTGGGCTGGGCTCAGGGCTTTCTCTCCTGGAACCCATTGACCCACAGCAGGATACCTCGACAAGGGTAATATTGCCCTAGTGGGGGAAAAATTGTTTTTTCAGTGGGAGGAAGAGGAATGATCTCAGCTATTATGATGATATATGGACCTCCACAGAGATATAGTGCATCTGTGGTATTAAAATTACAAGGGAGACAATTAGGAAAAAATATCTTAAAAGGCTTATTGGGGGCAACAATGAAGAAAAAAGCTTGCAAACACTGCCCTAGATCCCTCACCCCACACGGATCTGCAGGCCCATGGCCGTTCCTTGAGGTAAGGGTGAAGGGTGGCAGGGGCTTGGGGGCCTCCTGGAGTTGGGGATGAGGCTCCTATTGGCTCTGATTCCCTGGTCCTGTGATGGTCTGTGGGAGGGATGGGGTGACCACACAGGTGCCAGCTCAGAGGCTGGGACTCAAGTGATTTCCTTCTCTAGGATTCCAACCCCCAACACTTGTTTCTTATGCTAGAGTGCACATGGGAGGATTTTCTTTAGAAAATCAACTCTGATCGATAATTTATTCTGCTGGAAATGAATAGATCTGGTCACCTGGGTCAGAGGCTAACTGAAACGCTGGGCCACATCTGGGAGTTTAGACGTCTGCATTTTCAACCCTCCACCCTCATACCCCTACCTCACCTCCAGCCCCATGGCCAGCCTTGGCCGGGGTAAAGGTTCTCCTCACACCAGAAAGATGACCACCACCCAACCCCAGTCCATGTCCTTCATTTCAACAGGAAGAGATGGCCACAGGGAGCCTCTCCCAGCCTCTGCACAAGCAGTTAGTGCCCCAAGGGAGCAGAAAAAGACATAGATAGTGAATGTCAGAGACTCCTAAATCGCATGAGTGTCTGCAGGCTTTGTTCTGGGAATCATGAGGGGAGGATCCTCTGTGTCTCTGTGTAGGGGTAGAGTGTGTGCTGTGAGCTGGCCTCCCCTGGGGTGGGGAATGCATCTGTGGGTCAGTATATGTGATATGTGTTGTGTCTGGTTACTCACACCCATCTCTCTGAGTGTTTTCTCATGTGTCTGTGGATGTCTACCTGCATGAGCTCCTTCTCTGGGCTGTTATGCTAGTCTGACCGTGTCCAAGGGTGCACATGTGCACAGGATCCTATGTCAAATAACAGGCAGGGAAATTTGCATGCAAGGTGCAGGCTGCCCTTATTGCCTTGGGAGAGAGGGTTGGTTTTTATGAGAGCAAATTAACTCATTTTTAAAGGAGTTTAAAATACCTCTACTCTCTTAGTTTCTCTAGACATTTAGGGCGGTGAGAAGTACAGGGACTGGGGACTATGAGAGGGCTGCTTGGAGGGTCCCAGGGCTTGTCTCCCAGTGGGAGAGTGGGGCTGTGGAGTTAGAGGAAAGTAGGACTCGAGATTGAGATATTAATAAACCTAGGCAGAGATGATGGGAGGGGGACACACAGCCAGGGAGAGAGACAGAAGGTGAGAGGAGGCCTGGATGGTGTTGGAATCCCAGCTCTGTCACTGCGTCAGGGCAGGTCTCATCCCCGCTCTGAGTCTTCATGTCTCCCCTCTAGAATGGATGAATCACTTCTCAGCCATAGGCTACCTGGAAAGACATAGGAGAAAGCACATGTCAAGTGCTCAGTACAGTAGCTGGCCCATGGAGACCCTTCGGGGAGGGCAAGCTGACAAAATAAAGACAGCTCCAGGTCAGAGGCTCCTAAATCCTATGAGTGTCTGCAGGCTTTATTCTGAGAATCACAAAACAAAAAAACCAGGCTCAGAAGCGGGCTCTACTGTTCTTGAAGGCACTTGCCCTTTTTGAATCCCAGAGATGACAGATTCCCTGACCCCTTCCTGTTCCAGAGGCTCTGGGTGGGCAGTGCGCTTGGGACCCCAGCCTCCACCACAGTAGCCACAATCAAAGCACAGTTGGTGGCAAGCCCCTGCTGTGCGACATGCTTTGCATACGTCACCCGTATGAGGTCCTCACAACAGTTCTAGGAGGCATCTCCCTGAGGCTTGCTTTCCTTATTTGCAAAACAGGAAGAGCTACCAAACCTGCTTACATGATATGCCAAAAACTCTTAGGGCGATGCCTGGGACATGGGAGGCACTGAGTCAATATTACTTATTATCATTCTCATGTTACAGATGATGAAATTGAGGCATAGAGAGAGCAAGCAGCTTGTCCAAGGGCACACAGGTAGGATTTGGACCTGGATCTCTGGCTCCAGAGACTGTGTCCTTCCTCCAGTAGGACTAGAGCTTGTCTTGTTTTTTTTCAGAACCTGGCCCAGAGACCAGAATCATTCCCATTTACTATCCCTGCAGTGCTGGCAGGCAGCCTGCTGATACTGACCGTCTGCTGGCCAATTCCTCTAGATTCCCAAGAGTCCCCTATGTACCCCAGTCTCCCATTGCCACTTTCTTCCTGCCTGTCGGACTTATTCCTTTAGCACAGAATCTCAGCTTGCTCTCTGCCTACCATATTTCTATCGTGGGGAAAAAAATTAGAAACAGCTGTAATTATTACCTCTACTTAAGTTGCCCCCAAAGTTTCCATGGTCTGGGAAGGCAGGGGCCACAACCTGAGGTCCAGGGCAACAAAATTCCAGGTCCCTGAGAATCTCTCCAGGTAGGTGGTGGTTACTCAAAGTTAAACTGCTTTGTATCATCCGTCAGTGTTGGGTTTTCTCTATCTTGTCTGTTTAGTTTTTAAATTCCTTTTTGCTTTCATTTGTTAATTCTTTGGCTTGCATTTGCTGGCTCTTCAAACTTGCTGAGGAGGAATTTTGCTATTGTGAGGAAGATGACCACAAGCCTTCCTTTGAGTTTTCCTTTGGCTTTGTCCTATTGTCTAAATACCAAGAATCTTCTTCTTAGATCCTTTCCCAGAAATGCAGGCAGCACGAACCCTTTGTTCCATGTTTCAGACCATTTCCCTTTCTTCATGATTTGGTGGTCTGTTGTTACATTTGCACTAAGGGGTTGGGAGTGCAGACCATATTGCCTCCCAACAACATCTCAGCTCCCAACAACATCTCAGCTCTTGTGCCCTCCCTGACTAGGGAGCACTCCTCTGCACAGAACATGTACATGGGTGCACATGTACACATCCATGCATGGTATATATTCAAGTAAGGAGTATTTATCGCATGCACACACAGCACTGTTCTAGGTGCTGGGATGCATTGGTCAAAAAGACAAAGGATGCTGCTTCTGTGGATCTTACACATACACACATACACACACACACACACACACACACACACACACACTTACACCACCTCCGCTCACACACCATTCTCTCTGTCCACACCTTCCTTAGGAGGAAAGGACAGCAATTGTGAAAACTTCTGAATACCTTGACCACAGTCTGATTTTGCTCATTAGGGTAGATGTCACTGCCTTTGGGCAAAGTGTTCCCTGCCATGTGGATGTGGGAGGTCCTCAGCCAGGGGTTCTTGTGGCATCCTTGCTTCATTCACCCTTCCTCTCCTTGTGAAAGTGATGGCGTACATTTTCTACCCAGGCATTCTCCTGGGTATGTACCTAGGATCTCTCCCATGTGTGCACAAGGAGATGTGAGTGTGAATGTTAATTGTGGCTTTGCTTGTAATAGCAACAACTGGAGAAAACCAAAATGTCCATCTATACAGCAGAGAAAATGATTGAATCAGAGCTACCTGGATCATCATGAATACATCTCAAACATGTAACGTTGAATAAAGAAAAAGCAAGCTTCAGGAGATGCGGTGAATATGCCATTTGTATAAAGCTTTAAAAAATACAAACCAATGCTTTCTATTATTTATGGATACCTATATCCTGGGCAAGCATGAAAACCTGTATAGAAATGGGCATGACAAACACTAGATTCAGGAATGTGGGGAGCCTGGGAAGAGTTTATAAGGGCTTTCAATTCAAACTATAATGTTTAATTTTATAAAATGGTCGATGGGTCCATAGTGTTCATAATATTATTAGCTATACTTTTTATGTCTAAAATATTTTATTTTAAAAGACACAACATCGAAAGAGAAACTAAGAAGTGTGTTTAACCAGAATTCCTCTGGGGTAAGAGTTAGAATCACAATGAAGCCTTTATTTCTTTATTTGATTTGTCTCCAAGTTGCAGCGGGTTTTATTCAGGTAAGAATTCTCCATTTAGAGAAAATGACTGGAGTTTCTTTTGAAAGATGGCAATAACTGTGAAGTGGCTGGATCTTTTTACTCCCATTTTGGTTTTCTGTTTACTTTCTATTGCCAATCCTGCACTGAGGGCTGTGACAGTGCCTATCTTCCTACCCTGTTGCAGTGTGTGGACTGTGAAGTGTATGAGGATGAGTGACAGGTAGCTTTCCCTGTAGCTGGTCCGCTGGTGAAGGAAATGGGTTGACCCTCCTCGAAACTGAACCTACAAAGACTTTTCCATCTCTGAGAGGCTTGCTTCATCACACAGGATACTAAAGCCTGCAACCTGACTCGTGTCCCACCTTGCTACCGCTATTCAAAGCTATCCTTTCTACCCAGGCATTCTCCTCCTGGGTATGTACCTAGGATCTCTCCCATGTGTGCACAAGGAGATGTGAGTGTGAATGCTAATTGTGTATTTGCTTGCAATAGCAACAACTGGAGAAAACCAAAATGTCCATCTATACAGCAGAGAAAATGATTGAATCAGAGCTACATGGATCATCATGAATACACCTCGAACATGTAACGTTGAATAAAGAAAAAGCAAGTTTCAGGAGATGCGGTGAATATGCCATTTGTATAAAGCTTTAAAAAGTACAAACCAATGCTCTCTATTCCATCAGTGTTCTGCTCTCTACCAGGTAACCTGGTGGACTGATCCTAATTCAGGAGTCTTGGATGACACCTTCCAAAAGATACACTTTGATCTTAGGCAGCCTTAAAGAAAGAGTAGTACCTAGACATCCTGGGTGCCTCTTGTCCCGCAAGGTGAGTCTGGCGAGGATGAGGGCTGGGAATGTCAGCTGGGAATGCCCAGCCAGGATGGGCATGAGCAGGGGGTGGTGGGGAGAGGCACATCAATAGGGGCCCTGATCAGAGCAGAGCAATTTCTGCTCTTCCCAGGTCCACTTGCTCATCCATACCATCTCATCCCACTGCCAACAGCAGTCATCTATCTTCAGGAGCCACTCAGATTTCTGTTATCAGCGAGAATCAAATCTGGCAAAATGGCAGGAAAAGTGCTTGCATGGGGCTTTTCAGCAAAACTCAATTAAAGTGGGGAATTGGACTTGAAAATGAGCCACTGTACTTACTGTTCTACTCAGAATATCCCCTCCCCTTCTACATGTGCTGGATGCTTTCATGGGATAACCTGTGACGGGTCAGTAAGAGAAGCCCTGGCTACCCATCGTTCAGTGCTTGCGTTATCACCAAATCCCACAGATTCCTGTCTCAACTTTCAGATGGGGGAAACTGAGGCATATAACCTTTAAATATATTTCCCAAGACTCTAAAGCTGGTCAGTGGCAGGGCTGCATTAAAAATCCTAGTATTCTTGTTCCCAAACATGACCTGTTTTACTACCCTATGCTGGCCTGATGAAGTCCTACCCAGATCCTCTAGAATCTTATCTAAGCTAAGCTTCCTCCGTCAATCAGAGCAATGCAGCCACAGACTCAGCCCCACTGCAGAATCTGCCTCCGAAAGACATGAAACATTTTCTTCCATCGTGCATGCCATCTAGAGCCACTACTGCTCAGCCTAGATGTCTTCAGTGGACACAGCCACCCGCTTCTGTGGAGCT
Organism: Homo sapiens; assembly: GCF_000001405.40. Lineage (NCBI taxonomy): Eukaryota > Metazoa > Chordata > Mammalia > Primates > Hominidae > Homo > Homo sapiens. Next base: position 40,645,435 of record NC_000006.12, on the reverse strand, counting down.
GCCTCCGCACTGAGGAATTGGAAGAGTTCTGTTAGAAATCACCTTGCTTATCCCAGGCCAGGTTGCCCGAGTACTAGTAATGGCTGTCATTTCCCTAACCCCTACTCCAAGCTCCTTTCATTCTCACCGGTTTAGATGTTACTGTCCTGTTTTTACTCTTGAGTACGTGGAAGCTCAGAGAAGGCAAGTGGAGTGCCCAGCGTCACACAGCAAATGTGGATTAGCAATTTAAAGCCTATATCTGTCAGTCTTGGAACCCCTGAACCGCAACTGCCTCTTGTTCCCATGGTCAGGCTTTGGGGGACTGCCCCCCACCAAGGAGTTGGCTCATATTCTGTGCAGCTTCTCTTGTCCTTTTCAAGGTACCATTCTCCTGTCCTTTCTACACATCCAGTGCCTCACAGGGCCTTGTGGAAGAAGCTTCTTAACGTTCTGCCTGTCATTATCTCCACTTGGAACTAAAGGAAAGCAAGCAAGTGTCAACCTGTGCATGGGAGAGTTCTCTGTAATGTCTGTAAGACATTAATGGAATGTTGTCTCCCTGGCAAAAAAAATAAGTCATATGATTGTATTTAGAGTTAGATAGTGAATATATTTTGATTTAAAATGTGCAATGAATCAGAGTTAATTGCGTTTCAGTCACTGAGTCCTGACCTGGAGAATACTTTCATTTCTCAGTTATCAGTACGGTGGTCTTTCTAAGTGTGGGAAAGTGGTTGCTTCCATACTCATTGGATCCCCTTGCTTTATACCTCATCTTAGGAGAAAATAAACCAGTGAGAGTTGTTCTCGGTAAGATCTGTTAGGCAGCAAGTAACCAAGTATCTGAACAAAAGTGGTTTCAGTAGTAGGGGTTTACTCGGGTGCAAAAGAGGTTATTCCAGGCTTGGGGCAGTTCAATGAGGTCATCCAAGCCCCAGGCTTTTCCTGCCTGTCTGCTCTGCCAGGCCACCAGGTCGTTATCCCTCAAGTTGCTAGATGGCTGCCCACCTCCCAAGTGGCAAGGTGGGAAAGGCATTCCTCTTTGGGAGGATAAGTTTTCTCAGTACCTCCCCACCTCCTGTAGGCTTTCTTGTCATCTCATTGGCCAGAATGGAGTTACATGCCCAGTCCTAGAATAGTCACTGGCAACAGAGAATGGAGTTATCACAACCAAGTTAGACCAAGCAGGTTTTAGTCTCATCATGCCTTATCCGCCACCATGATATTCCACACATCATTGCTTATGGCCAAGGAACTCACTTCACAGCTGAAGAAGTGTGGCAATGAGCTTGGCATAGTCCCACCCACCCCAAATAAGTGTTCTGTTACAAGGGAGAAGGCAATAGCTGTTAGGTAGCCACAAACAGTGGGGTGTACCTCAAGAAGTCAACATCTGCTTCCGAAGTAGCCAGTAAAAGAGCTGCTCTTGAAATAATAGGCGAGGGCTACGGTAGGCCTGAGGGAACAGAGGGCTGGCAGAGACACCAAAGAGGTTCTGGTCATAGCAGGGTCTGATGTCTGTGATGTGGTATAATCTCTCTGTTCAGATGATACCCTGAGATCCAACCCTACTCTGGAGTATCCCCAAGATAGAACAGATGGGGACCCTTGCCAAGACGTCAGATTCCAGGGAGATAAAATGTTATGCTTGTTGTATGGTGTGGTGGTTAAGAGCATGGGCTATGGAGTCATACGGACTGGGTTTGAATGGGCTGTTGATCCTGCGCATGTTACTTAGTTGCTCTGTGCCTCAATTGCTTTGTCTGAAAAATGGGAACAATGGTACATCCTCATGAGGTTTTGGTGAAGATTTTAAGCATGTAGCATGCTTAAAGCACTGTCTGGCACATAGTAAGTGTTACGCAAAAGGCTAATATTATTATAATGATTATTTATTATTATCTGCTGTAAATCACATCCAGATCAGTGAGATGAAAGCCTGGGCACTGAGAGGCTTGTGTTGAGACTGGGGGAAGAACTGGGGAATAAGATCATTGTAGGCACAATTTCCTAGGACACTCCTTTTCTTTTAAAGTTCTCCATTCCAGAGAAGCATGTGCATCAGTGAGGAAAGATGTGAATATTCTAGTTTGAGAGGCATTCTGTGACAGGAACAGAGAACAAGATGTCGTGGACGTGAACAAGATCAGCTCAGCATTTCCCTAAGCCCAGCAACATTTATTCTCATGGGGTGGGGCACCCCAGGCTCAGCACCTCCTGTTTTTACTCCCTGTTCACCTGTGTTCTAGTCCTCCCCTCTATTCCTCTTCGAATGTCATTGTAGCTGCATTGGGGATCATGGGCAAGTGGATCCAGGTTCTACCCAGAGACTGGACATAGCAATACAAAGCAGGTGCTGAGACTGTATGTTTTAGAGCTGCATTAGTCAGGATGAGCCAGATTTTGCTGCAGAAACAAATGACCCCAATATCTCAGCAGTTTCATGCAAAGGGGGTTTTTCTTCATTGCTCATGTTACATATTTGACACAAGTTGGAAGCAATGTCTGCTTGCTGAGTCACTCAGAGACTAGGCTGAGAGAGGCATCACCTGGACACAAGCTTCTAAGATTCCTAATGCAAAAAAAACAAAAACAAAAAAAAAAGGAAAATTGAAGTCAAGTGTTGGCAATTAAGCATGCCTACATTTCATTGCAAGTCACATGCAAGCTGCAGACAAATCACACGCCCATGCCCAACTTTAAGGCACAGGGACATGCATCCTACCATGTGCCAGGAAAGAGAAAGAACCAAAATATTTGTGAACACCACTAAGGACAGGGCCTTTGAGGCTTCAGGGGACACAAACATTTGACAGGATTAGAGTATGTATTTCCTCCTGGAGATGATGTTGTCCCAGACACACTCTCCATAAGGCCTGTGTCTCTCCTCCTTTGCAGACCCGAGAGGGTAACAACCTGGTTTGGAATTGTTGCTTCTTATTGCAAAACCCATGGCAGTAGGTGTCACTGCTTACAGAACATCTTGTCAAATAATTTTCTCACAGTGAGTCACCTTTTTTTCAGACTGCTGAGAGTCAAGCTTACACAACCCTCCTCTTGCAGGAAGCCTTCCTGGATTGCCTCGTGAAGGTGCACTTAATACCTCCCAAGACCTAATCCGGATATGGGTCCATCAACTTTATTTCCTTTCTTCCTCATCCCTCAGATGCTGTCCGCTCCCCCGGTGGTACCTGGGAACAGCTCACATTTGGATAATCCCTTGCAGTTTTAGAAAATGTGTCCACATACATTCACATTTAATCCTTACAACAACCTTGTGAGGTAGGAATAAGTTTATACAAGAAACCAAAACCTGAATAAATAAAGTATCTGGTTTAAGTTCTGGACTTGGAATTAGGTGGAAATCAAATTCAATTCTCTGAGTCCAGTAATAGTTATGAAAATAATAATAGCTGTTTGCAATATGCTAGGTACTGGTCTATTATCTTATTAACTCTCACAACATACCTAGGAGGCATATTGCTATATTAGCCCCATTGTACAGTTGAGAAAACCGAGGCACACCGAAGTTAAGGGAGCTGCCTGGAGTCTTACAACTTGTTAACTCTAAAGCCAAGATTCAAACCCAGTGCGTTTGGTGCCTGAGAGCACGTGCTTCAGCACCATGATACATCCCAAGTCCACTGCGCCACCATTCCAAGTTGTGGAGGACCTCTGCTTCTCTGTTATCAGCCACTTCATCTCTAACACCAGGAGCAAAGGTGCCCCCTTGCCCTCAGGTGCTGCATATTGTTAGTTACTCATGGGTCAGCTCACATTCCCAACCTCTCATGACTTATCTCTTGACTCCTAGTCTACTCTCATTCTCATCTTTGATGTATTCAGTGATTATTCTCCTAAAAAAAGCATGGCCAAGATTACTATCAATCTGATCCAAATGTCAGTACAGCATGCTACTAAGAACCTCCTTCCTAAAACCCCAGTCTTCCCTGTAACTCAGATTGTGAGGACTGAGGGGCCACCCCTAGGTAATCCTTGTCCACCATCATTTCCAGAAACACTTAGGATGCTCCCCACCATCCTTGGCCTGGCCCAGGGGCATACCCACAGCCAGAAGGGACTCCAGAGAGTTTCAGCCTTGTCCTAATGGCTTGAGCAGTGATCTCTGCTTACCTAGACCTGGGAATGGGCATGTGAAGGCTGTGCCCAGTCTGCCTGACACAGCAGGGAGACCCTCAGCTCTGGGGAAAGGTGGTAGAGTGGAGGCCAGCTCACACATCACTCTTGTCTTTGCTCAGACCCTGACATGCTCACAGTTACCCCTTCCGGCAGGCCCTGCATGCTTCCCTTGTTCTCGGAGCACACAGCTAGCACACAGCTCTCTGGGTGAAGATATACACAGCAGAGGAAATCTGAGCCAGTCTTCACTCTCCAAGGTCAGCCTGAAAGGCGAGTTGAGCGCGGGAGGATGAAGGGGTCTTTCTTTCACTCCCAGCCCTGCCACCTCCTCCCCAAGCAGCCTGGTTTTGGCCGGCGCCTTCTCTCGCCTGCCTCACAGCTTGTTGAGAAGAATGAGCTGCTTGAAGGACACTTTACATCTCCATAAATAATCACGATGTTGAGCACACAAGATGAGAGGCACGCCCTCCGAGGTGGGCGGAGGGGGCTGGGAGCTGGCTGGAGTTCTCGTCCCAGGGCCCATTGTCCTGGCTCTGTTCCCTCCGAGGAGCTGCTTTTAGCTCGGCCTCAGTGGTGTCAGCATCTCCTCCCACCCCTGAGTGATTTTTTTTCCTGGAGGGGCGGAAGCCAGCAAACCACAGAGCTGTTGCTGCAAGAGAGCAAGAGGTCCAGGCCTAGTGGGGAAGCAGCAGCTTTAGAGAGTTTTTCTGCAGACACAGAGATGGATGCCCAGGAATCGATCCCTCTGAAGATGAATCACGGCAAGATGCACAAAGAAAACCCCTTTGGTCTGAACAGGCAGATGATGTTCCTGACAGGGCCTCCGCTCCTTGTCAATTTGTTGTGATTGGTGGGAGAAAGAATGAGAAGGAGGGAGGAGAGAGGGAGGTGGAGGTGGGGGTAGGGGGGTCACACAGAAAGATGATGGAGACACAGAGGTGCACACAGAGATGAACAGGCACAGAGACCCAGAGATTGAGATGCAGAGACTCAGAGGCATATGCAAATGGAGAGACACTGAGACAGAGAGAAAATGGAAGAGCCATGGAGAAATTCAGGATGAGAGGGCAGAGAAGTTTTCTTCCTTTGATCTCGTTGGGCCAGGGGGAGTTAAAGGCAGGGAGACGCTGGCATTTTGCTGGACATTAAACATTAACCAAGCATTCAGGTCAAGTTAGGCTTTGGATTGTTGCTAAAAATTAATCAAAATATATATTTGTATATATATACTTCAAAACATCATGTTGTACACAATAAATATATACAATCAATGTAATCTGTTAAATTTAAAAATTAAAAAATGACCAAATGTTTGGCCAACTCTCAATTACCGATGAATTGTTTCTATGTGTGGCTTCTCCTTGAGGTCTTGGAGGTCCCCTTTCTATTACAGATGTGTGTGTGTGTGTGTTTGAGAGAGAGAGAGAGAGAGAGTCATGTTGCGTTTGATGTCCAGCCAGATTAGATTTGGATTTATCTTTTCATTTCAAATTAGCAATGCTTGCCTATATCAATTCAGGTAATTAAAAGGTAGCCATGAGGGAATTCATAGCATGCTCTGCATATCCTTAATGCACCTCAAGATCAGGCTTTCTCTAATTATAACCTCAGAGCCATAAACTCTCAGAACATGGTTCATCAGAGTTGGGTGGAAACCTTATAGGTCTCTCAGTCCAGTCCCTTCCATTGTAGATGGAAAAACGGAGGAACAAAGGCCACGGGGGCCTGATCAAAGGCACACATGTAGATGCAGCCTGCCAGGTGTCTTCAGCTTCTGCTTGCACAAGAAGAGAAAAGATGGAGGGATCCATGTCCCCAGGGCAGAGGGGCCCCATAGCCAGGCTTTGCTGACTCAGAATCCTTCTCAATGATTCTGCTTCTCACTGACCAGTACTAGAGCTTTTTACTCCTAGTCTATACCAGACTTTGCAGGGGTGTTTGGGGAGTGGACCTCAGAGGCAGAAGAAAAGCATCCACCCTTGATGTTTATACAAATTCTCTCTCTCGGTACTTCTAGAAATGGATCATCAGACATGGGGACAGAGAGTGGGATATACATTGAGGCTAGTTGTGAGGCAGTTCCTTCAAGATGCAGGAAGGCAGAGTAACTATTTCTAAAACTCATTCCAGGAAACAGGTAGCCCTAGCCTTCTGGAGCAGCGGTTTTCAATCAGGGGCAATTTTGGCAACGTCTAGAGACATTTTTGGTTATCACACTGGTGATTCTACTGGCATCTAGTGGGTAGAGGCCTAGGGTGCTGCGAAACATCCTATAGTGCACAGGAAGGCCCCGCAACAACAAAGAATTGTCTGGCACAAAATGTCAGCAGTGCCATGGTTGAGAAACTGTCTCCTAGAGGAAGCAATCCATCTTGTTCATTTTCCATCCGTACCACTCACATTCAAGTGTGGAAATGCTCATTGTTTTGCCTATATGGACATGGGCCTTATTCCCAATGGCTCAGAGGGGATAGACTCACTGGTAGGTGAGGTGGGGAGACATGGATGAGCTGGAGGCATGTTTAATAATGTGAGTAGGTCTCAGTAGACTTTCCCTTTCTACTTCAGTTCAGGAAGAAGGAGAAAGAGAAGACAACCTCTACTTGTTTTCTTCTTACCTCCTTTCTTCTTCATCCTTACCTTGCACAGTCTCTGCCTGCTTCCTTCTCCCTTATTCATTTTCTGTTCCAACCCCATCTTGTCTAGGACCTTGCCCTTTCACTTTCTTGATGTCTCTCTTCTGTTCAAAGCTAAATATTACATAGAACAAAGCACAAGTTTTCACCTTTTCCCCTTGGAACCTAGACCCACTGCTACCCAAAGATGATTACCAGAAGCCTCACTCCCTGTACATTGCGGTATTGTAGCAATGCCACCCCAGAATGGCTCAGGGTCTCCAGAGGATCCCCCAGGGTGGCTTGATGGTACTGACCGTTCACCCTGACCACTGCACCTGTTGGCAAATAAATTGATTATAGGAGCTACTTAAGGATTCTGATAGAACAGAGGCTATAAACATGAAATATGTGGATCAATGTTTGTACTATTTACTGGCATGTGTGACTCAGGCAGAAAGAGTGTGAACATTTGTCACATGGAGTACAAGGGGCTGGCTGGAGGGGAGTAGTTTTTCTTCCGTTTTTGTGAATTACGAAGTCCCCTGACTTTGGAGAGCATGGAAGAGTTGAGGTTCCCACAGTTGTAGATCCATGCACTCATTCTTTCTCATTTTTATTCTGATCAGGGTTATGTGATTCCAGAGAAATATCATGCAGATGTAAAAAGATCATCAGCTCTGATATCCAAAGGCCTGAGTTCCAATTCTGGCTTGGCCAATTACTAGTTTTGTGACTTTGGGCAGCTAACAGTGTCTTCCATCTGTAGAGTATAGTAATAATAATCTTACTGAGTCATCTCTTCCTCTGTCCTCAGGCAACCTAGCAACGAAACAACCTTGGAGCACACAGTAGGTGCTTCTTAAATGTTAGTCCTTTCCCTTTGCCAGGAAAATGAAGTCACTGTGTTGTTGGCAAATGTGCCTTCCCAACTATGGAAAAGTTTGCACATCTTCACCCCTAATATCTACACTTACTGAGTTCTTGACGTGTCCCTTGAGGAAGAATGATTCACTCCCTCCTCCAGGTGAGACCCTGTCAGCCTCTCCAAAAAGTCTTCACACTGTAAAAAACGGGCAACCTGACTTATCTTTGCTGCCCCTGCCCTCTCCCAGCACTCTTTGCCAGTTTTCCCTGCCCAGACACCGTGTAGTTGATCATTCAGTTCTGCACAGCTAACCCTCCAGGTTCTGCTAAAGGTCCTGCCCTACGTTGTGCCAGGGTGGGGTGAATGGATGTGGGTGCAGAAGGAGTTAGGACCTCAGAGAGACATGGATTACAGAGACCACAACCCTCCAGGGATCCAGGACTCCCTGGTATTAGAAGAAGACAGAATTCTGCGGGGGTCAGGATTCTGCTCTGACTGGACATATAACCCAGATGCCATATGACTTGGAGGGTCCTGTTGGCCAAACGGTCCACTGCTGAGTTGTGCCACCCACTGGGCCAGACCAGAACCATACCCATCCTCTCCACGTTCTTTGAACTCTGAGTTAGAGTGGCACATGGTAGGTGCCCAGCTAAAGTTCCCCCAGGAACTATTGCCTCAGAGCCAGCCATGGAAGCAGGGCAGGGGATTCCTGGCCCAAGGTCAATGTGTTGGGCCATTCTCACATCACTATAAATAGCTGAGACCGAGTAAGTTTTATTTATTTTATATATATATATATATTTATATATATATATTTACATATATATTTATATATATTTACATATATATTTATATATATACATATATATTTATATATATGTATATATATATACATATATATTTTTATATATATTAATATATATGTTTACATATATATATTTATATATATTTATTTAATATATATATATGTATAAGGTTTATTTTGGCTCATGGCTCTGCAGGCTGTATGAGTAGCATAGTACTGGCACCTGCTTCTGGTGAGGGCCTCAGGAAACTTCCAATCATGGCAGAAGGCAAAGCTGGAGCCAGTGCATCACATGGCGAAAAAGAGAAGGGGGTGGTCCAGACCCTTTTAAACAACCAGATTTCATGTGAACTGACTGAGCAAGAACTCACTCATCATGAGCGATCCACCCCATAATCCAGTCACCTCCCATCACCTCCCATCAGTCCTCACCTCCAATACTGACAGGATTGCATTGGGGATCCCAACATTGGAGATTGCATTTCAACATGAGATTTGGAGGGGGAAGACATCCAAACTGTATCAGTTGGCCGGTGCTGGCTTCCGCAGTGTTAGTGATGAGGCTGCGGTAGGCCTCACATCCAAGCTCTTGCCACTTCCAAGCTGGAGGATACCTGCTGTCTCCCTCCCCAGTTCTAGAAGGCAGAATTTCCACACTCAGATAATGCATATGACTAAGGAGGTACTGAGAGGAGGCAAGTTTGGAGGGTGCACTTCTTAGGAGTCTTTTCATACAATTCAGCCAACAATGAGTATCTTTCAACCCACTTGTGGACATTCAGGTGAGAAAACCCACGGGCAGGGGCAAGGGCAAGGGAAACATTCTCTCTTTCTCCCTGTCCTTCCTCCCTCCCTGTAGGGATGTGCACCACCCTTCCCCCCTCACCTGCCTTCTCTTAAGTCTATTTTTGGAGCCTCAACTCTCTGTGTGTGTGTGTGTGTGTGTGTGTGTGTATAGTATGTGCATGTGTGTAAAAGTAAAGGGCCCCATGGAAGGTAGATAGGCTTTCTCTCCAAAATATGCCTGTGTGTGCAGACCTCGCTATTTTCACAAGGGCTCTAAAGGGGATAACAAAATTAAGTTAAATCAAGCACAATGCAGTCAAATTATAGCATTTAAGCACCATATCAGCTTACAAAGTGCCTTCATGTGTAGTCACCAAAACATCCTGTGAAGAAGTATTCATTTTAGCCCTAAATTACAAATAAGGAAACTGAGGTTCAAAAAGAGAAGAACTTGCCTGAGGGCCCACCAGTGGTAAGTGACAGAGGTGGACCTAGAGGCCATACCTTTTGACTGCAAAGCAAAAGCTCTTTCCACCTCACAGAAGAGTTGGCAAGAGAAGATAAATAGGCGTGTCCAAGTTTCTAGGACCAGAAGGCCACTGCGGGTGAGCCTGGAATATAGTTCTGGGTTTCTGAGAGCCAGAGTCAACAGCTAGAAAGGAGAGAGAGGGAGGAGATGATTTCAGAGAGTGGAGGGGGAGGGATAGTCATGGGGAGATGGGCATGGTGAGTGCAGGGACTTCAGGGGCAAAGTTGTGCAGGCACAAGGGAGCTAGGGGCAAGTGATCGTGGAGAGATAAGGGACCAGAAAAGTGCCTTCATCTGTTTCCTCCATGGGTCTCTCCCTCTGTCCCTGCCTCCATTTCTTGGCTTTTGTCCCTGCCAGAGCTGATCCTTAGCAACCCCAACACCCTATGCATATACTTCATAAGACTTCCTGGGGAGCTGGGAGATGCGTAAGAGGCATGCGAAACCCTGGTCTAAAGTTCTGGCTCATCCTTTCTCCCATCACTCACTTCTGACCCTTTGCTCCAGGGAACACTAGCCCCAGTACAGTGAAACCACAGAGACATACTTTGCAGGGGTCACAGAATTATATGGGTCATCTGGTCAACCCTCAGGGCATAGTAGAGAAAACTGAGGCCCAGAGAGGGTAGGTGGCTTGCCCAAGGACACACATTGGTTAAGAATCGGGGCAGGGAGCTGGCATAAACCAGATTCTTCCCCCCACTGCAAAGGCTAAGAGGGAAGAGGGCACTGGAACCTCCAAGCCATAGCCAGCAGCAGGGCCACAGCCTGAGACACTGCCTGCCTCTTCCAGAGTTGATCCCAGACACTCTATCTTCCTCCCTGGTTTACTGTTTAGTGTTTTTAAAGCACATCTCAGTTCAGTGCTTTTGCTACAGTAAATATCTAATAATTGTTTCAGACTCTATTACTCACCTCACAAAATAGTGCCTGGAAATGGTGCTTATTTAGGTTTGTGCTGAAAGAGAAAAAACTCAGAAAAGGCCTGTCACATCTCCAGTGCTGTTGACTGTTTGTGGTCCAGAGATGGGGGTGGGGCGTGGCCCACTGCCAAGTACCTGGTGCTGGATACTCCTTCTAGCTGTGGGGATGCTGGTGCATTTATTAACCCTGCTAAGCCAGTCTCTGCCTCCACAAAAGCTGCTGAGACTGTGTGTGTGTGTGTGCGTGCGTGCATGTGTGTGTGTGTGTGAGAGAGAGAGAGAAGAGATTTACAGGCTGAAGTATATCTCTGAGTATTAATATAAAAATGTGTATGCCACATATCACCTTGTGTGTGCGTGTGGGCATACACACACATGTTCAAACATGAAAGTGAGTCCATACTTTTAATGTTCACAACCATCCCCAAAATTGTCCTCACAAAAGAGACCACAGCTGGAAGGCAGGGGTCATAATAATCACATCAACTTTACTATTTACATATGGTTCTCGCATCTGTGATTTCCACTGATCCTCACAACCTAGATATTTCCATGTTCATTATTCAGATGAGGACACTGAGGCCCAGGGAGCTCAGAGTATGGACTGAAGTTCAAACACTGGTAAGTGTTGGGGCTCAAGTTTTGACTCCATGAAAGTTCAGAGGCTAAGACACCAGATTCAGAAACACTAGTTTTGGTGTCAGATTTGAATCCTGACTTGAGCATTTACTGGCTGTAAGACTTTGGGCAGAGGATTGTCTTACTTAATCCATGGTTTTCTCATCTGCAAAATGGGTATTGCAGTGTCTATCTGCTTATCTCATAGGAAAGTTGTAAGATAAACAGTTGTTGTGAAAATGATGCAAGGTCACAGGTGTAAATGTTCTGCATAACACCTATCCTGTTACAGGCACCTGTACATATTTGCTGTTACTGTGATCAGCTAATCCAATTCCATGCCTCTGTCTACAGTCCCAGCTAAATGAGTGCCTATCTCCTTGCCCTGGGTCAACCATCGTGTCACTAGATCAGCAGTTTGAAAGCATTTTTGTCTCAGCGTCCCTTTACACTGTTAAATATTATCAAGGAGTCTAAAGAGCTTTCATTTATATGAGTTACACATACTTTCATCTTCAGAGAAATTTTAAAATATTTATATAAAATATTATTATTTTAAAATCATAAACCCTTTGCATAGTAATACAAATGATATTTTTATGAAAAAATAACTATTTTACAAAAAAAGTTTGTAAAAACAGTGGTCTTGTTTTCCATTGTTGGAACTCTCTTTCATGTCTGGTTTATCAGAAGACAGCTGGATTTGCATGCCTGTTTTTGCATTCAATCTGTTGTGATATCACATGTCATGCAGCCTCTGGAATATGCTACTGAATGCTTGTGAAAGAATCAGAGTGAAAAAGGCAAATGACACCTCGGTATTATTATAAAAATAATTTTGACTTCACTGGCCCCAGAGGCCCCTGGACCATGCTTTGAGAACCACTGCATGAGATGAAGACTAAACTCTCTTCCTGTCCAGGCAGGCTGTGCTTTTATGCATTTCTGTCACTATATCTGGAAAATTAAGATTGACTAAGACAAAAGCAAATAATATCCGTGTTAGGTTTCTCCATTGTAGGGCATTGACTTGTGAACCTGATATTGACAAACTAAGGTTGGCTACTTTTTACCAACTTCTTCACTTGTGTCCACCATTGGCCCTAGGCTGTTGACTGATTGATTTATATCATATGTGTGTCATTGAAGAGGCATTTGAATTTACTATCTGACATAAGAAGATTGAGTGATTGCAGGGCTGATTGCTGCAAAGCTTTAACAATCATCATTAATGACCCAGGTTCTTCTTTATTCTCTACAAGCTCATTATATCAGCTTTGTCTCTCACATGCTCAAGATGGCTGCAGCAGTTCCCACCACCATATACAGACACCACAACACCATCGTCAGATAAACCATCGTTCTTTTTGGTCTCTTTGTATTAATAGGAAACATTTTCCCAATGGGCTTTCCCTCAAATGCTATTGTCTAGAATAGAGTCTCCTGCTATATCAGTTTCCTGGGCTGCTGTACCAAAGCATCACAAACTGGGTGGCTTAGAACAGAAATGTATATTCTCACAGTTCTGGAGGCTTAAAGTCAAAAGCAAGGCTTCAGCAGGACCATGCTCTTCCTGAATATGTGGTAGAAGGGTCTTTTCTTGTCCCTTCCATCTTTGCAGCTCTGGTATTCCCTGGCTTGCGGCACGGTAACTCATCTTTCATGTCTTTTCACCTAGTCCTCCCTCTGCATGTGTCTGTGTCCAAACTTCCCTCTTTTTATAACGATACCAGTCACATTGCACTAGGGCCCTCCTTAATGACTTTGTCTTAACTTGACTACGTCTGTAAAGACCCTATTTCCAAATAAGGTAAAATTCACAGGTACTGGGGTTCATGATTTCAATATATCTTTTCTGGAGGGATGCGATTCAACCTCTAACCCCTGACTTTCCTTAAATTGGTAGCAAAGGAAATACAGTCATGGCAATTGGCTTCCAGGGGGTTTCAACCAAGGTGTATGTAGCAGCCTCACTGGGGAACATTTGCACATGTGGGGAGGAGCTTTTGGAAGATGTAACATCTGGGGCCTCTCTGAGCATACAGTCCCTGGCGGGCAGAGATGCTCCACGTCTGTATCATAAATGCCGATGGTGTGCCGTGGAGAAGCGCTGGGGTCCTGTCAGGGCCAAAGGACACTGGCAGCACATCTGGCCTCTGCGAAGAGGATGATCATTGGAATACAGCCAGAGACACAAAGGGAGGGAGCAGATTCAGGAAGGCCATTAACAATGTCTGCTGATTGTTGAACTGATTTCATTGTGTGTGTCTTTCCAAGGGCCTCCAGCCCAGAGCTTTGAGTAAAGCTACAATTATCTTCCTCTCTGCTGGGCCTCTCCTGATGACGGTGAGGAAGAACAGTGCAAATGAATGTTTTGTTTGTTAGAAATATTGTCCTCCCCTCCCCACCCACACTCACCCTGTACCCCCTATGTTAGTAATGCAGCTGATTTTGAGAGGAGGAGAAGAAATAGAAGAAAAGAAAAAATCACTCACAGCTTCACAACACAGCCACTATTATGTTTAAAACTTTTAATTTTGAGATATTTTGCTATGTGTGTTTTATTTATGAAACTGAGATCCTTTGTGTATTCAAAACCAGGCATACTACTTTTAGGAGAGTAATGCCTATTGTTCTAATTATAAAATACAGGGGATGCAAAAAATATGATTATAATTCCCAGACCTAATTTCCCAATAATAATGACTGTTATCATTGTTGGATCTGTCTGGTTTGTTCCCCCTGCTAAGCATTCTAAAATAAAATTTTGAATATATATATGGGTTTTTTTAACCCCAGTTAATCAGTAACATTTACAAGTTTGACAAAAAACACAATATAAGGGGTGGCTTGGTGGCATATAATATCTGCCACTAAGACTGTCCCTATTTAAAAAGTATAATGATTCAGAACATTAGTGGCCAGCTTTCTAGAAGCCATAGGTCTCTTCACCTGGAGTGGAGTGGTCTGGGTGAAAACCCGGGGTCTTCATTGCATCCTGTAACCCCTGTGGAATTGCAGAGAAGACCATGTGCTGAGCTGGAGGCAGCAACTTTCTCTCTAGGGTCTAATGTGACAGTTGTTATAAGTCCCCCACTGTGAAGCCTCTAGGACAGAGAAGACAGATCCAGGAGAACCACTGTCACCCCAGGCACCCACCAGGCTCAGCATCTGTAAGAGAAGCCACTGGTGGTGGGTCAATAAATGGCCCGGGAGAGTTCCTTCCCTTCTCTAGACCCATTGCCTCCTGGATAAAACCAGAAGGGGTAGACTGATGTTTCCAAGGACCTCTGCAGCTTTCTCAGTCCAGCCAGAGCTCTTCCTCCCCTCCCAGCTGAAGGCTGAGTGGCCATTGATCATTCAGCCATAGGAGGGGAGCCCATGGCAGATGGTTCATCTCTGAAGGTTCCTGAACACTTTCACTCTGCTTCACTCCCTTCCTGAGTGCAGTTCAGAGCCAGGCTTCAGGGCCACCCAAGGTCTGTGGGCCTGCAGGTTGTCCGAGCAACCACCCTGCTGATCCAAGGGAGAGGGCAATGCTTCTCCAACGAGGATGTCTGTGGACCTGGGGCTCCCTGCACACACCATGGGGACGAGCCCCATCAGCTCCATATCTGCCTCCCTTGTCTTCCAACCTCTTCCCGCAGCTCCTCTGGCTCGTCCATGCTCACTCAGTGTGCTGCACCCCCCCCCACCCCCCATTCCCTCTGTCTCTCTACAGACCTCCTGCTCACGCTCCATGCCTGACCCCCTCCTATCCACCCCAGCCTGCACCTCCTGCCTTCCTGTGTATGGGAAATGTTAAGTGGAGACATGCTCACTCTGTCTGTTGCGATAGAGACGCAGCAACTTTCTCCCCTAGTCGATCTGTCAGGCATGATTAGGCTGCCACGAGACACAGGCAGCTCACAGCCCAGCCAGCCCAATGGGCTGACAGCTTCCAGCCAGGATACTGCTGGGACACACACACACACACACACACACACAAGCACACACACAGACACACACACTCAGAGGCACACACGCAATCTGCCTAGACTGCATCTGGGGCCTTGCTGCTGTGACTGGGAAAAACTGTTTAAACAGAGAAGGCTACTACTTGGGTGACCACTCCCTAAATCACTCCTTTTTTGATTCTACAAGCATGTACAGAGTGGCCTCTCTGTGACAGGTCCTGTTCCAGAGCTGCAAAGCAGCAGGGAACAAAGCTGGCTGACAAGGCTGCCCTCAGGGAGCCTACAGGCTCACAGTGAACAGACAACCCCTGGTAAGCTTATAAACAAGTAAAGCTTTCAGCGTGAACAAAGATGCTGACTGCTTGGAAAGGAAGGGAAGAGGAGAGCACGGCAAGGGACTGGGGTGCTGATGGGTCCTGGGTAGGTTGTAGGAAGAAGCTCTAAATCCCCTTGTTCTGGGAACTGCTCACCATCGCCAGCAGATGACATGGGTTCAAGCCACCTCTGCCACTAGCTGTGTGACCCTGGGCAAATCACTTAATTTCCCTGTTCCTCAGTTTCTTCATCTGTAAAATGGGAATAACACAAGTCACTCTTCATAAGATTGTTGTGAGGGGAAATGAGTTAAATGCATTCGGGCTGCTCAATAAGGTGGTAGGATGGACAGGGGTTCCCTCTCCCAGAACGGAGCCCTGCAGGTGAGGGCCATAGGTAGGTAAGCGTAGAGGCAGGGCATACAGGTCAGGCGGGTTGGAGCCTACAAGACAGAGGGCCTAGAGAGGTAAGAATTAGAGCCAAAAACGGGTCATCCCACTTCTGATTTGGGTCAGGTCAGGCATCCAGGCAGCATTGAATTTCATCCTCCAGGAAGGCATTCTATACCTAAACTTTCTTTATAAAAATATTATGTGAAATGGCACAGATTGACACTCATACAATTTGTGGGAGTCTAGGAACTCTGGGGGCCTGGGCATATTTCACTGAGCCTCTGTCCTGAAGTTCCTCCCTGTCCTCCTCCCGACACCCTCTACTCCTCTCCTTCCCTGCCTAGCCCCTCCGGCACAAAGATCCTGAAATGTGGCAGACTCCACAGACAGTAAACTCACTCAGTGTGGGCACCTATAAATAAGTCAAGTGGAAAGTTACACAAACAGAATGAGGACATCCTCACATCACAGGGCTCTGCTCCATGGCAGTTCAGACCAGGATCCCAGCCTCCTTACCTCCCAAGTTCCCAGATCTGTTTAAAGAGTCCTGAATCTGCTGTGGGAACCCCCAGCCTTAGGAGTTCTGCTACAAGTATCCATGCTTAGAACCACAATTGGCAATAATAGGAAAGGAAGACAAGCTCTTACTTAATGGAGCCTGGTCTGAGGGAGACACAGTCCCAACCTCAGGGAGCCTCAGTCTGAGGGAGATGCAGCACTGTCCTCAGGGAGCCCCAGTCTGAGGGGAGATTAAACCAATAAAAGCCAGCAAACAATAACAACAAATACATAAGAATAGAATATTGTTTTGAGGCAATAAGAATAGGAAATACCACATAGGAATAACTTTTCATGGCTTTGAATTCCAATATTGATCCCTTGAGGATGGGGAGCGACAGGAACAGAGACCTCACCCCTCCCGGATTAAACCCAGATCATCAGGGCCAGGAGTGCTGCCTGGGAGAACACAGTGCATTTTTCATCCTTCCCTTCTTCATCTATCCATTTCACACTGAGCTTTGCCCTCTCCAAGGGCCTTACCATGCCAGTTATGTCACTGGAGCTTTACAACAGGAGCTTCAGAAGCCCTCCGACATGTGGTAGATGGGGAGCGTCATTCTTATTGTAAATGAGGGGAAACTGAGGCCCTAGAATTGAAGCAGATTCCCTAAAATATCCTCAGCTGGTTTGCCCAGAGCTGGGTCTGGGATCTTGAATTTTGGCCAGCGGTATCTCCTAATGTAATGCCGGTTTCCCTCTTGTGACTCTGTTTCTCCTTTTTGAAGTGGAGATCATTGCAATGCCTGCCTCATAGCAGCATTGTAGAAATTGAATGCGTAATGAAAATCGAGCCATTCCAAAGATACCTGGCACACTGTAAGCTCCCAGTTACAACTACTGCTACTCCTATTCCTATTTGTTGTTGTTTATTCTGTGTTCCTTCAAAGCATGGATTTTTTTTTTTTTCTGTCACCAGGCTGGAGTGCAGTGGCTCAATCTTGGTTCACTGCAACCTCCACCTCCTGGGTTCAAGTGATTCCCCTGCCTCAGCCTCCCGAGTAGCTGGGACTACAGGCGTGCACCACCATGCCTGGCTAATTTTTGCTATTTTAGTAGAGACGGGGTTTCACCATGTTGGCCAGGACGGTCTCGATCTCCTGACCTTGTGAGTGCTGGGATTATAGGCATGAGCCACCGCGCCCGGCCCAAAGCATGGATTTTGATGCAAGTGATTTATTTGGGAGGTGAGGCAGGGTGTGGGGCCATGAGGAGGGAGGGGAAGGAAGCCCCTGAAGGGTATGTTAATGAGCAGCCACCACTGTGGAGAAGTGAGTCTCCATCCAGCTGGGGACCTCTTGGCCGTTGTGTAGAACACACCTCAGCATCGTCCCCTCTGGGGGCAAGGAATCCAGGATGTTTACCCTTCAGCTCCCAGGCTTCATTGACTGCTCCGGGACTGTCAGCTCCTGACAGCTGGGGCCTGTTCTGTGCATGAGTCAGGAGAAAGCCTGAGCCCAGTCATGGTGCTTACTGTAGGGCCCCAGGGCATGAACTGGGACAGTGAGTGGAAAGAACACAGAGTGTATCCACTACATACAACACTGGTCCCTAGAGAAATGTGATTCTCCTTATTGAATCCCACTGGACTTGGGACAGAATTCTGTAAGTCTGGAAACTCCTGGCTGAAGTTCTCAAAGGCAGGGACTTCATCTGCTTTGGCTGCTGCTCTATCTTCAGTCAAACACATTGCTCTGCACACAGTAGGTGCTCAACAAATATTTCTTGATAGCTACAGGAAGTCCCCTGTAATAGAGCTTTAGGGCTCCATTTTACTTTCTTGTCTGTGCCTCTCAATACACATGCCCAGTCCTCCAGGGCAGGCCTGTACTCTGTGCAGCCTGCGTACTTAGCACGGTGACTGGCACGTGGCGAGTGCTTATGACTCACATGTCAATTGAATGCTCAGGATTCCTGGAGTCCAAGAAAGAAGACAGCTCTATTTTGGATGAGGAATGGAAACCAGAAGCTGGTTCCTCAGTGAGCACAGAGGCAGGATTTGGGGGCAGGAGAGCTGTGGGAAGCCATCTGGAGAAGACTGATGGATAAACATTCAAAGTGTCAAAGCCACCTGGAGAAAAGGCAGGAGATAATGTCTCATTGCCTCACCAAGTTGGTGGGCCTGTGATATTTCCAAAAGAACTGGCCCTTGGCTTGAGAAAGCTGCTGTGGAACCCATGCTTTACAAAGGATAAATGGGAATTTTGAAGGGAGGAAGGCCCGCAGAGGAAGCTTTGAGAGCAGCAAAATTGGAGGCCCTAGCAGGTATTGTGCAGCCTTGCCAGTAATGAGAAATCCAAGAATAGTGGATACAGCAGAGAAACGGCCACAACATGAAGGAGAATGGGAGCTGAGGGCCTGCGGACTTCTGCGGCCTCCATCAGTCTAGAGGGTGATTGAGGAGGGAAAGGAGATGAAAGCAGGAGAGAATTGGAAGCACTTAGGAGACCACTTTAGATGGCCTTTCTTGAGCTCCATTTCCTCTGGACAAAGCCAACCTTACAATAGTAATCAACTGACAGCAAGAGATGATTTTAAAAGTGTATCAGTCAGCCATTGCCAACATAATGCTGTGTAACATACCAACTCAAAATTCAGTTGTCCAAAACAACGCTCATTTATTTTTAGACATTTTTTTGCTTCTCAAATTCTTTCACACTGTTCTGGTCAAGATGTAGGTCCTATGTCCTCTCTCCTTGAATCCGAGCTGAACTTTGTGACTAGCTGGTAACCAACTCTGAAATGGTCTACCTCTAGATTTTTGTAATGCAAAAAACAAATATCGCTTTAGTTGGATATTCTGTTGTGTACAGCTGAAAGCACCCCGATGGATGCAAAGATATTTTAAGTCACATCAAAAACCAGAGAGAGATTTTTAGCCAGGGGTCCCTCCCACAGGGCCTCAGTAGCATGCCTGTGGATCCAGTAGAAATAGTTCTTCTTTGTTACTGCACATCCTTCAGTGGACCTCCTCTCACCACACACCATCCCTGACCAACCAGAGGACTCATATCCTGTCTCACCTTGGCTTGCCTGTTCATCTTCACCCTTCGTAATTTCTGTCCCTTCTCCCAAATCCGGCAGGATTGTCTGAGAGGATCATGCTTCTGCTCTTTAGCCCTCATGGAACCAACCAACCAGTTGGCCCTGCTGGTCTGATCGCCCTCCACAGATGGGCTTGGAGCCATAAGTCCCAGCTCTTACAGCAAGAATCCTCCATCTTAGCAAGACAGGTTTATACCATAACCCTCAGGGATGTGGAAAATTGCTCATCACAGTGTACCTTCTGGGTCAAAGATCTGCCAGAAGTAAGAGAAGTAGAAAGCTCTGGAATAGTGGACTCTGTAGGGGATGTGGCCAGGGATCCTTAGTGCTGGAGGTGAAGAGATGACTAAAACAAACGCTATTTGTTGATCTGTGGTTTTGATGGATCTTCTATCCTCCTTGATGTATTTATATCTTGTTCTGCAGTCATGAAACATTTTTACTCTCTCTGATTGTAGAGGCCTCTCACCCTCTGTCTTCACCTCTTAGCTTAGTACATGTGTATCTGTCTGTCTTTCCAGGTTCTCTCAGTGTTTGTCATTCTGCATGTCGCCCTCTCTGGACCTTGTCTCTGTATCCTTTTCTCTCATGCACATGAAGTGCTCAGCAAAAGTGAGCTAAGTATTTGCTGACTTTCTGGGAGTACATATGTGTCTCTACCAGTCTTCATAAAGTCCTCCTTTAGTATTTAAACTTTTAAAGTTAAACATTTTAGGTCTGGGGGTGATAAACAACTTCATATGTCATTTAAAGGCAGATGAAATTCTCTTGTCACAGCTGATAAACACTTTCGATCCACTGCCATAGAAAAACAGATTCTCTTCTCTTTCAGAGTAATCCTTTTTCATTTGTTGCAGGAGCTAAAATTGTCATTCTCCTTAACTTCAACAAATTGAATACATTGGCTTGTGGGCTGTATGAGGAGGTTAGCAAAATTATGCATGGTCACTAGAAGGAATGGCTCACTTCCCTCAATGTGGCCCAGCCCCAGCCCTGGGGACCAGGCCTGGTGCAGAGTGTTAAGGTCTCTGGCCACCTCTCAGAGGTGGCTTCCTGGGAGAAGATAAATAAAGGGCTGACTTCCTCAGACATCTGCTCCATTGCCTGATTGACAGTCATCCCCACATCCATTTGCCCCTACTTCCCCATCTGGGAGCTGAGCTGTGGTATTCTTAAACATTCAGATGACTGATATTGGAACAGACTTAGTGAACTCAAAGGGGTAGCAAACTTTCCAGCTTGGCCCCCTTCCCCACTCCCTGCTAGCGGGATGACACCTTCTGAAGGCAGAATAGCTTTGCAACATCTGCATGCTGGCTTTCCTCACTGCCATTCCTGCTTGCTTAATTGAGCTAGAATATTTCGGTTAAACCTGTGAGGTTCCAGGCTTTCTTCCTAGATGCAGTCCCTGACACCCGGGTGGAGGCGGGGAGGTAAAGAATGCCTGCCTCACCCTGTCTGGCAGGGCAGATCTAGAATTAAAGGTCTTCAAGATTCACGTGGGGCATTAGGTAGTTAGGAATAGCAAAGGCTGACAAAGGCCCTTGGACAAAGGGGAAAGCGGCAACTCTCTTGTTTTCTTTCTCCTCACCTTTTTTCTTATGTGGGAAGGTGGGGAAAGAACAGGTGGAGGAAGTTAGGCCTATAAAATTGATGGAAATGCCCTTCTCTTAGCTGAGCTTAAGCAGAGGCACTGTTTGACCTCCATGTAGTATGGGGTCCGCCGGGAGTCGGGAATCTCCTCTGATTCTTCAGCCACAGTGGTTCTGTCTTGACATATGATACTCCTGGGCAGGGGTGTGGGAGGGGGATGCAGGCAAAGGAGGTGATCTCCTCAGCTGTAACAGCAGCTCAGAGATGGATAATGGCATTTCCTGAATGTCAGATCCAGGAGGGACATTAGTTTTTCTTGTGGAACACTTGGGTGTTACCCCTGGGGAAACTAAGGTCTGAAAAGGGGATGTGGCTTGCCCAGCCTCCTTTCTCAGTGTCCCAGTCTAGAGTCCAGGCTTTCTGCCTCCCAGTCCCGGGATCCTGGCTTCTGGTGGGCCAAAGATATCCTGAGGCAGGATGGGAGATAAAGCAATCTTGGATCAGCCATTTCTGTGGATTGCTGTCACCCTGAAACACTCACCGTAGTTTGTTGTCATTGTGGAGTACTCACTGTAGTTTGTTGTCATCATGGAGCACTCACTGTAGTTTGCTATCATTGTGGAGCACTAGCGGTGGTTTGTTGTCATTGTGGAGCACTAAAGGTGGTTTGTTGTCATTGTGGAGTACTCACTGTGGTTTGCTGTCATTGTGGAGCACTAACGGTGGTTTATTGTCATCATGGAGCACTCACTGTGTATTCCTGTCATCCTGGAACACTCACCGTGGTTTGTTGTCATTGTGGAGCACTCACTGTGGTTTGTTGTCATCATGGAGCACTCACTGTAGTTTGCTATCATTGTGGAGCACTAATGGTGGTTTGTTGTCATTGTGGAGTACTCACTGTGGTTTGCTGTCATTGTGGAGCACTCACGGTGGTTTGTTGTCATTGTGGAGCACTCACTGTGGTTTGCTGCCACCATGGAGCACTCACTGTGGTTTATTGCCACCGTGGAGCACTCACTCTGGTTTTTGTTATCATGGAGCACTGTGGTTTGCTGCCATCATGGAGCACTCACTGTGGTTTGTCGTCATCATGGAGCACTCACTGTGGTTTGCTGCCACCGTGGAGCACTCACTCTGGTTTTTGTTATCATGGAGCACTCACTGTGCTTTGCTGCCATCATGGAGCACTCACTGGTTTGTTGTCATCATGGAGCACTCACTGTACAGGCAGGCACAGTGGAGAGTGCTGTACAAACACAATCCCATCTGTTCCTTGCAAAAACCCTATGCAGTGGGTACGGGTACAGAATTATTGTCCCCTTTTCCTGACTCGGGGGAAAAACAGATCCAGAGAGACTCAGTAGCTTATGCCAGCAAGTTTGTGGAAGGACCAGTCTTCTAAGCTTGCTGCTTTTGACTCCAACCCTCATTCCCTAAGTCCAGGATTTTCAGTCCTGCCTGCACACTAGATCCTCCTGGGACGACCTGACATACTCATGCCAGGCCTGAAGCCCAGACTAACAGAATCAGAATCTCTGAAGGTAGAGGCTAGGTATTAATGTATTTTTTTTTAAATATTGACACATAACATTCTTTAGAAAAGTGTACACTTCCTAAGTGTGCACAACTTGATGAATGTTTGCAAACTGAACACACCTATGTAACTGTCACCCACATCAAGAAACAGAGCACTGCGTTGCCAGCCACCCAGAATCCCCCAGGCTTCCTCCCAGTCACCCCCTGAAGTTCACCAATATTCTTTCTGACATCTTAGATTAGTTTTGCCTGTTTCTGAGCTTCTTACAAATGGATTAAAAAAGCGAGTCCTTTCTTTTGTGCACAGCTTCATTTACTTAACATTATATGAGAAACATCTATGTTGTCGCTTATAGCTGTATTTACTCATTCTCACTGCTCTCTAGAAGCTCACTGTATGAATATGCCACTCTTTATTGATCAGTTCTTTGATTGATGAGCATATGGATCATTTCTGGTTTGGGTTCCTATGAAGAGTTCTGCTATGAACGTTCCTATTTGTGTCTTTGGTGGATATATGAGGCATTTCTGTGGGTATGCTCTGATGAAAGTGCTAGGTCAGGCCGTTATGTGTATGTTCAGTTTAGATCCCACCAAGCAGCTTTTGGATGTGATTGTGCAATTTACACTGCCACCAGCAGTGAATTAGAGTTCTGGTTATGCCACGTGCCAGCCAGAATTTGGTATTGTCTGTGCTTTTCATCTTCGCCGGCCTATGGAGTGTGTAGTGGGATCACACTGTGGTTTATTCTGTGTTTCCCCGATGACTAGTGAAGCTGAGCACCTGGATGTGTTCACTGGTCACTAGGTAGCCTCTTTTGTAAAGTGCTTGCTACATTTTTCTCAGGTATCTGTATTTTTCAAAGCTCCTCAGGTGATTCTAATGCATAACTAGGGTTGAGAACTTCAGCAGCTTAACCAGTGTGGTAGAAAGTTTTTGGCTTAGAGAGACAGAGGTGGTGAAGCCAGGGTAGACTTGTGTGTGTGTGTGAGTGTGTATGTGTGTAGTAGTGGTACCTACAGGGACCATAAGCCTGCAGGGTGGACTCATGTGTGTGTGTATTTGTGTGTGTGTGTGTGTGCGTGCAGTAATAGTAGTGGTACCTACAGGGGCCATAACCCTGCAGGGTAGACTCGTGTGTGTGTGTGTGTGTGTGTGTGTGTGTGTGTGTGTATTAGTGGTACCTACAGGGGCCATAACCCTGGAGTCCAGGGCACCTCTTGGGAGCAACTGAGCTGGAATCTTCTTGTAGGCACACTTGACAAGAGAAGGTAAGAAACTCCTACCCAAAAGAAAAGCAAGTTTCACTGTCCATCTCCACCCTTAGTAGTTCCTGTCCCCACTCCCAAATCCAGCAGGATTGTCTGATTGAGAAAGGATCATGCTTCTGCCCTTCAGCCCTCAGGGAACCAGCCAACTAGTTGGCCGTGCTGGTCTGATCCCCATCCACAGGTGGGCTTGGCCATACGTCTCAGCTCTTACAGCAATAATCCTCCGTCTCAGACAAACAGGTTTATACCAAAACACACAGGGACTGGGAGAATTACTCATTGCAGTGTACCTTCCAGGTCAAAGGTCTGGAGCAGGAAGGAAGGGAAATAGAAAGCTCTGGAATAGTGGATTCTGTAGGGGATGCCACAGAAAGATACTCCTACAGTGACCAGAGCAGCCAGTGAACAGAACCCCAAAGAGCTGGCTGCAGCAGCTCTCTGCTGCCTCGGAAAGCTCCCTTTGATTTAATGCCCTCTGAATTAAAGAGCTCTCCTCAGGCCCAAACCCACTGGGGCCATCTTTATTAGGAACAAAATAAAGAAAGGTCACCGAGCCACATAAACCAGGAAAAATGGCATTAAATATCGACTGTTAAGAGAGGGGGATTAATGATGGTTTGTTGACAGGAAGGCAGGAGCCAGCCCCATCCGCCCCCCGCAAGTGGGGACCTGAAAGCAAACATTTCATGTTGACATCTGCCGGCGTAGCCCAGATAATCAGATTTCTCAGGGAGGATGAGGCCGAGGCATCAATAAAAAAGGCAGATGTATCCTCCCAGCCTCCTGAGCTTAGCACGCATCCTCAAACCACAGCAGGAGCCAGACATGGTCACCATCACCTTCACCAGCTCTGTCACCTGCATCCCTTGGGTTGTGAAGCATAGTGGGTAGGGGTGGTGCCTCACCAAATCCCTGCCCTCCTTGGCTTACTGGGGAGATCACGGGTCCCACCTGAGGCAACAGCCTCTCAAAGCAATCTGGGCGCCCCACGATCCTCTTATGCTAAGAGTCACCTGGGGACGATTATCCTGTGTTCTATAACAAACACACTCCACACAGAATGAGGACTGATTGGAGGACAAACTTCAGGCCAGGCAACAGTTGCAAGTTCAGAGATTAATTATGGCATCTGGGGTCAGAGACCCCCGAGGGCTTCCTCATTGCAATGGAGCTAGCTGTAATTTGAGGACCCCAGGCTCTGGCATGCTCTCCAGAGACAGACTGCTCTGCCTTGGACTTCCTGAGCCATCTGCATGACCCTTCTCATTGCACTCTACAGCAATCAAACCTGTGGAAAAATCAGAGGATTTCTTTATTTGACCTTTTTAAAAGCAGTTATATGTTTTTCTAGTTGGAAATATTTAAGAATCATTTAGTCCTTCACTCTCATCATATGTCATCATTATCATCATCATCATATTTATTAAGAACTTACTATCTGACAGGTACTGTTCTAATTGTGCCCTGTGTTTGCTCTTCTGTTCTTCTTACAATATTCCTGTGACATAGGTGCTGTCATTACTGCCCTTCTACAGATAAGAAAACTGAGGTATACATAGATTAAGTATTTATCTGTAGTCACAAAGCAACCTTCTATAGAGAAATAAGGATTCAGGAAAGTAAAATCATGTTATCATCATGATTTAGTGAGTGTACATGTGTCAGAGGCTTTACATATTTCCTAAGTTTTATAAAATCCCTTTAGGGTGATGTTTTAGTTAGCTTGGGGAGTCATAACAAAGTACCACAGACTGGGCAGCTTGAACCAGAGAAATGTATTACCTCACAGCTCTGGAGGTCAGAAGTCCAAAATCAAGGTATTGGCAGAGCCATATTCCCTCTGAAGACTCCAGGGAAGGATCCATTCCAGCCCTGTCTCCTAGTTTTGGTAGTTCCTTGGCTTGTGGCAGAATGCCTTCAATCTTCACATGGTGTTCTCTCTCTGTATGCCTTTCTGTGTCCATCAGAGCATACCCACAGAAATACCTCATATATGAGGATTTCTTTATTTGACCATTTTTAAGGCAGTTACAGGTTTTTCTAGTTGGAAATGTTTAAGAATCATTTAGTCCTTCACTGTAATTTTATATCATCATCATCATATTTATTGAAAACATACTATGTGAACAAACTATGAACAAAGTTTATTCATTCATGCATTTGCTCAGCACATATTTATTAAGCAGCTTCTGAGAGCCAAGCTCTGAGATCGATGCGGATATTTGAAGTTAAGACGCAGATATGGATCCTGGCCTCACAGAGGTGACAGTCTCCCCACCTAGGATTGGACACTTAAGTCAGGATGGCAAATAGGTTTCAACTCAAATACCAGTCCATTGGCAGAGACTGTCTGGACCTCTGTGTTGGGAAGGATTTAGTATCAGCCAGAATTCATGTTAGACTATTTTAACGAGAGACCCCAAAATACAGTGGTTTAAATGAGACTGAAATTTATTTTATTCCTACCTTAAAATCTTGAAGTAGGTCACCAGGGCAGCTAGGACTGCCCCATGTCCATTGCTCCTGGAGGTTTCAGGGGGTTCAAACTTCTATTTTGATGCTCCACGAAAATGACTATTACCCTATCTGCTCTCGAGCCAGTGGTAGGGGGAAGGGATGAACGTGCCCTATTTGTATCAAGGGAATAGAAAGAAAGCTGTAGATGTCTTTTCTCTTCACACCCATTGGGAAGACTTCAGTCCCATGGTCACATCTTCTTGCAAAAGAGGTTGGGAAAGGTAGTCACTGCCTGGGTTTTCCATGCATCCAGCTAGAACATCGGGGATCCTTTATTAAAGGAAGGGGGAGAGAATGGTTGTTGGGGAACCACAGCAGTCTCACCCACAGATTCTGAGAGGAATGAGGTGCTGTGTGACATTGTGAAGCCTATCATAAAAACAAGATCTGGAAAGAAAGGCACTCATACCACCTGTTTTCTCTCCCTACCATGTAGCCCATGGTGCGGAGGCTGCCTGAGCCCAGGCTTCTAACCACTCCTCTGATACTTTACCAAAGTATTTTCCAAGACATGCAAAAGATAAGACAGGACCATTTATCAAAGCCTCACAAGGTCAAATTCTGATAAGTGTAGAAACCAGGACCAGCCAACCAGGGTAAGGGAGCATGGACCAGGAAGAAAGTATACCAGAGCAGACACACCCTCCTCTCTTGGGTCTGTCTGTTCATTCATTCAGCTCCTCTGGCTGACATCAGATCTCAGGGAGGCGCAGGAGTGGGGATGAGGGCACACAAGAGAAAGGTAACTGGGATTTGTAAGAATTATGTCTCCCAAATGCTTTATATATGTTTACATTCTTATTTAACGTGCGCAGAAACTCTTTTACTTTTATTACCTAGTTTACATAAGGATAGCAGAAGTAAACATCTGATTCAAGATCTGAATAATGCCAGCCACCTTGATCTTATTGATATTTATAGAAAAGAACATTCAACAACTGTAGAACACACATTTCTTTCAAATGAACATGGCATGTTCTACAAGATAAACCATATTCTGAGTTGCAAAACAAGGCTCAATAAATTTAAAAGGATGAGCATTCTGCAGAGTGTGCTCTCTGATCACTATGAAATCAAATTAGAAATCAATAATAAATTATCCACAAAACTGTAAGCATTTGGAAATTAAACATTTTTCTGAAGAACCGTAAATTAAAGAAGAACTCACCAGAGAAATGTGAAAATACTTCCAAATGAAGGATAAATTCAGTTCTCATTTTCATGATTATTACTTCTATGTGGCAAAAAATACACCACATCAAAATCTGTGGGAGACAACTAAAGCAGTGCTTAGAGGGAAATTTATAGCTTTAAATATTTATATTAGAAAAGAATAAATACTTAAAATTAATTATTTAAGGTTCCACCTTATGAAGCTGGAAAACAAAGAACAAAGCCAACTCAAAGTAAGACAGTAGAAGGAAAGAATAAAGGTAAGTACAGGAATCGGTGAAGCTGAAAAAAGACAAACAATAGGGAATATTAGCTGTCAGGTACACCTCTAGCTAGACTCATCAAGAAAAAAAAAGATACAAATTACCAACATCAGGAATAGAGAGGCCATCACTACAGACCTTAAAGACATTAAGAAGATAATAAGTACATTTATTTCAATAAACTTGCCAACTTAGATCAAATGGGCAAATGCTTTGAAATAATCAAATTATCAAAACGGATTCAAGAAGAAGTAGAAAAATAGTAACAGTTCTATATTTATTAAGAAAATTGAATTCATATTAAAAATCTTTATGCAAAGAAAACCGTAGGTCCAAGTGGTTCCTCTGGTTAATTCTATCAAACATATTTAAGGATGAAATAACACCAGCGCTACTAAAACTCTGCTATAGACTGAATTGTGCTCCCTGAAAATCCTATATATTGAAGCCCTAACCCCCTAATATGGTTTGGCTGTGTCCCCACCCAAATTTCATCTTGAATTGTAGCTCCCATAATTTCTACCTGTTGTGGGAGGGGCCCAGTGGGAGATGATTGAATCATGGAAGTGATTTCCCCCATATTCTTGTGATAGTGAATAGGTCTTATGAGACCTGATGGTTTTATAAGGGGTTTCCCCTTTTACTTGGCGCTCATTCTCTCTTACCTGCCGCCATGTAAGACATGCCTTTCACTTTCTGCCATGATTGCGAGTCCTCCCCAGCCATGTGGAACTGTGAGCTCATTAAACTTTTTTCTTTATAAATTACCCAGTCTTGTGTATGTCTTTATCAGCAGTGTAAAAACGGACTAATACACCCACAATGCGATGGTTTTTGGAGATGGAGCCTTTAGAAGACAGCTAGGTTTAGACGAGGTTATGAGGGTGGGGTCCTCTTGATGGGATTTGTGCTCTTATAGGAGGGGACACCAGAGAGCTTACCTTCCTTTTCTGCCATGTGAGGACACAGCGGGGGAAGGTGGTCATCAGCAAGCCAGTCATTGCACCTGAACCCCAATTTTTTCTAAGGGGCTTAAGCAAACCCGCCCAACATTTTACCCTGGAGGTCCTATCCTTTATAGCATATCTTCTTTTATTCAGAGGTATTTGCAGATATTATCTCCCTTCCTAGGCTGTTTATTGTATAAACAGTCTTGAAAAGATAATCCAGAAGAAAAGGTGGTCAGTGCTTCTGCCTGTTAGCATCTCTCTTACAGAAGGGAAATTTCTTGCAGGAATATGAGAGATTCATGGAGAATTATGTCCTGGTACTCCTAAGATGGAGAATAAGACAAGGATGTCCACTCTTACCACTATAATTCAACAATATATTGGACCTGATGGCTAGTACAGTAACACAAGAAGGGCATAATGATTGGAAAGGAAGAAAAAAACTGTGTTGCAGATGACATGGTTGTTTACATAAGCAATGCCAAGGAATTAGGAGTTGTACTATAAAACAACTACTAGAACTAATTAGTGAACTTAGGAAGATCCCAGTGTGTAATGTCAAATACTAAAATCAATTGGACTTCTATATACCAGTAACAATTTATAAAATTCCACTTAGAAAAACAACAAATCATAAAATTAGGAATAGATTTAAGAAAAATGCAAGATTAAAAAATATAAAATGTGTTGAGAGAAAATAAATAACTAGAGAGATATTCCATGTTCATTAATTGGAAGACTCAAAATTGTTGTGATGTCAAATCTCCCCAAATTAGGCTGTCCCCATAGATGGATTACAACCCCATTGACAATTCCAATAGCCATTTTTAAAGAAATTGACCTGCTAAGTTTAAATTTTATATAGACATGCCAAGGATTTAAAATATCCAAAGCAATCATTTAGAAAGGAACAAAGTTAGAGGGCTTATGCTACTTGTCTCCAAGACATATTATGAAATCTACATTAATCTGAATAGTATGAATGGCATAATGATCAATAAATAAGTGGAACAGAATTGTGGGTCCAGAAATAGACACATAAGCATTTGATTTTCACCAAAGACACCAAATCAATGTAATGGAAGAAGGGAAAGTCAGCAAATTGTGCTGGAAGAACTGACTATTAACATGGAAAACTGAATTTTGGGTCTGCCTTTCACACATACGAAAATTAATTCAATATGGGTCATAAACTGTAAAGCTTTCAAGAAGAAACTATATAAGAATATCTATGAGACTTGGGGGTAAGAAGGAGTTTATTAGACAAGATTAAGGAAGACAATAACCATAAAAGAAAACATGATTATATCAGACTTCATAAAAATTTTAAAAATTCTACTCATCAAATGGCATTATTGAGAAAATGAATAGGCAAGCCACAGACTGGGCGAGATATTGCAAAACATATCGGAAAAGGACTAGAATCCAGAATATATGCATCACTTCTGCAACTCAATAATAAAAAGACAATCCAATAAAAATAGACAAAAGATTTGAGGACACACTTCACAAAGAAAGGTAAATGAATAGCCAATAATCACATGAAGAAAAGATGCTCAACATCACTAGCTGTCAGAAAAACGTAAATTAAAACTACAAAGACTTCTACACACCCATTCAGAGGACTAAAATTAAACAGCCTGACAGCACCAGTGCTGGCGAGGATGTAGAACTTGAACTGGAACTCTCATATATTGCTGATGAGAGTGTAAAATGTCACCAACGCTTTGGCGGGTTCTGGCAGTTTCAAAACCAAACATATATCTAACCTACGACCCAGTGATTTTATTCCTGGATTTTACCCAAATGAAATGAAAACATATGTCCACAGGAAATGTTGCATAGAAAGTTCATATCAGCTTTATTCATAATTACCAAAAGCTGACAACAACCTAGATGTCCGTGAGAAGGAGAATGGGCAATCAAGCTGTGATACGTC
Source organism: Homo sapiens (assembly GCF_000001405.40). NCBI lineage: Eukaryota > Metazoa > Chordata > Mammalia > Primates > Hominidae > Homo > Homo sapiens. Next base: position 40,614,655 of record NC_000006.12, on the reverse strand, counting down.
CATTCAAGGAACCACTACTCTGGCATCAAAAGGAACAAATACTGATTTCACACAACATGAATGAAACTCAGAAACATGGTGCTCAGTGAAGGAAGCCTTATGCAAGAGTGCATGTATTAGATGTTTCTGTTAATGTAATATTCTAGAACTGGCAAACTACTATACAATGAAAATAATCAGAACAGTGGTTACCTTGGGGTAGCAGTGAAGGCATGGAGTGGAAGAGATGTCAGGAAACTTTCTGGAGCTATGGTAATGTTCTAGGAGCTTTGATTATACAGAATGCACCAATGGTAAATTATAAATTTAGGATTGGTGCATTCACTGTGTATATTGTATATGTAAATATGACCTAAAAAGAACCATAAGCAAATATTTAACCCTAGTTAATGATATGCATATTGAAGTATTTAAAAGTGAATTGCACTGATATTTGTCATATAATTTGAAATGCATAAAATGAGATGTATTAGTGGATGGATAAATGGAAGGACAGATAATAAAGCAGACATTCTAAAATGTTGATTATAGAATATAGGTGATATGTTTATGGGTGGTCACTGAAAAATTCTTTTGTCTCTTCAACATGCTTGCAATTTTTCATAATAAAATGTAGAGAAAATGTAAGTGAAATATTGCTGAAAAGTACTTGTATACACAATACAATTTGTGGGAAATAAAATTTTGCCTTATGACATATACCAGCATGCTTAGCTTTTCAGCAACAGATTTGCTGCAAAAGGCTGCCCCAGAGAACAGAAATGACATGCATTAATTAAAGAACTTTTGCATCAACTTATAACCTCAAGGCTAATCTTTTCAGTTTGTAGTATGATGATGTAGCGTCATCACAGTCATTAGTGGGAATGAGAGTGTGATTATATCTCTATATGTCTGTTTGCATTTCACAGCTGCTAGTTGGGCTCAGTCAACACTTTCACATGTTAGTAATTGTAATCAACCCATTTGTTCATTTAAAACAAACATTTACTCTTTGGGGAAGAAATACCTTGAGTCCTAATTTGTTAATTATTAGTTCTTATGAACATTAGCCAATTATTCTCTTTTTCTTCCCAAATATGTAGAACTACTGAGCTACCTTCTTTCTCTCCTGGAAGATTGGTGCAGGAACTTTCTTCTACTCCCCACCTGGTTTGTAAATGCTCAACTAAAAAAATACGAGGTAGGTATTTTACACACACATACACACACGTGCGTGCACGCGATAATGGAAAGAAGAGAAGCATTTTATTTTGGTGCAAATATTATAGTTTAAATTACATTGCAAAGTGCAAAGACACAGATTTTTCACCTGCTTTGGAGCTGGAATGACATTTCCCTAATCAAAGACATCAGTGTATATCACCTGAACGTGGAATAAAGACTAACAGAAATTCATTAACACTCCTCCTCTGGGTAGGCTTGCTGAAAGAGATGAGCTTCTAGATTAGCTGAGAATGACCAAAACAAAAACAAAAACAAAACAAAACAAAACAAAAAACATGAGAACCAACAGAGAGAGGAAGAGGTTGTTCCAGGAGGCTGTGGGTGAGAGTGAGGGAAGGATGCACATATAGTGACTACCATGACATGGGCGAAATCACCTTCCGACACACCACCTCATTGAAAACTCCCAATCCCATGACGTCCCTCTTCACAGTCAGGTCACCACTTTGAGATCCTCTGAGATGAGCAGTGGGCAACCTTGATAAAGCTGTAAGGTCAATGCTACAGGTCCCAGCCCCTTGGTCAGAGCACCTGCTTCCCTTAGGATCTTCCTTAGAAGACGGCCAACTCCTTCACCTTCCAAACAAGCTTCTCTCATAGGTGCTTTACAACCCAGCATTGCTTGGTTTTAGCGTTTGCAGGCTGTGACCATGGAGATGGTATCTATTCACCTAGTCCTCTATGTTCCTTTTGTCCTTTATGCTGGGACGAGTGCTAAACAGGGAACTTTTAATCCAGAGGAATTTTTTTAAAAAAGCAGGAAGGAAGATAAGAATCCGGAGCCTGATGTCCCTGATGGGTGGGACAAGGCAGTTCTCTAGAGTGACCAACTTGTCCTGCTTTGTCCAGAACTTTGCCAGTGTCAGCACTGAAAGTCCCACCTGGAAACATGCCTACCCCACCTTAGTCCTGGCAAACTGGGATAGCAGGTCACCCTACACCCCTCCTAGGTCCTCTAAGGGGCTAGGACATTTCTGATACTCTCCCCTGGGTCGACACAGATAGCCCCAGCCTGGGAGATCCCAGAGGAAGCAGGACTGGTAGAGCTGAAGTTCTCTTACCCAGTGGGGCCAGAAGCCTGTCCCAAAGAGCAGAAGTCTCTAGCTGAGAGCTACTCCCTTCTCTCCCCTCCCCCTAGACTGTCCCAGATACTGAGGAACGGATGGTGGTGGACACATCTTGCCACTGTCCCCTCTCTGCTAGCACTGCTGCAGGAAATCTGAGAAGACACAGTGCGTTCCAAGCCTGGGTCACTCTGCATTCTGGGCAGTCATTCAGGAGAGGGAGGCATCCATTCTGGCCATCCTCAAAGATCGGGCCCTAACTACTTGGCAGTCAGCCTCATGGCTCCTTAGGGACCCTGGCAGGAGTGCGACAGTCATGTCAGCTCTTCATCAGGCCCGCCTCCCTGGCTTCTCCTCTGACCACTGCAGTAGCCTGGATCATGGCTGCAAGGCCCGGCCTCGGACCTGGTAGCTGGAGTGCTGGAGAGGGGCAAGTACGCTCACTGAAATGTGTGGCTTGCAGGTGCCAATCCACTTTGCCAACTGGCTGGGTGGGAGCCCCCAGCTCTTTTATGTCGCCACTATCACTTCTTCCACCCATCTCCAGATATTCACAGTCTTTCCTGGTGCAGGGTTGTGGGTGACCTTGAGCCAGGGTCCCAGACTTTTCCTGTGCCAGCAACACCATCTGGAAAATGGATTTGTAGCCTAATAATAGAAGGCTCAAGAAATGAACTCATTGAAGGGAACTTTGGGATATTAAGCTGTATGAGAGGCCCAGAGCGAATGTGTTGGCTGATTGTTCTGGGCGGGCTTACAGCTGACATGCCAGGAATAGGGCACCCAGAGCATGCAGCCGCTCTGAGCTGAGCACGAGAACGGTAGGGAAGTGGATCTTTTCTTTGGCAATTGACACAGGAAACCCTCAGAAAAGAGAATGAATTTAAAACCAAGAGATGAAGATTGAGATTTTGTTAAGCACCTAGTACAATGCCTGGCACAAAGCTGGCCCTTTATGAAAGAGTATCATTGGCTGGGCACAGTGGCTCACACCTGTAATCTCAGGACTTTGGGAGGCTGAGGCGGGCGGATCACCTGAGGTCAAGAGTTCAAGCCCAGCCTGGCCAACATGGTGAAACCCTGTCTTTACTGAAAATACAAAAATTAGCTGGGCATGATGGCAAGCGCCTGTAATCCCAGCTACTTGGGGGGCTGAGGCAGGAGAATCACTTGAACCTGGGAGGCAAAAGTTGCAGTGAGCCAAGATCACACCAGTGCACTCCAGCCTGGGCAACAGAGCAAGACTCCGTTAAAAAAAAAAAAAGAGTATCATTATTGTTATTCTAGAGAAAGTCTAAGAGGTAGAAATCGACATGAGAGTAATTAGGAGGGGGCCGGGGCAGGGGGAGCAGCTAGCAGAAATGGCCACAGAAGCAGAGACCAAGAGGAGTCACAGGCAAAAATTCCATAGACCTGCCAACCAGCATGTTAGAGGGAGTGACAGTTAATAAAGCTTTCCATGGTCTTTATCAGGGATCCAGGCAGCTAGGAAAAGAAGCTCCAGTTTATAGATGAAGATGTCATTGAGGTTGGGGTGGGATTTATTTATAACCAGCAGGTTCCCTAGCTCCTAAGACCATGTGCTTGCTTGCTTTTTTTTGCATCACACTTTGGTATGTTGCAAGTATTAGGGTGAGTTGGTGCCAGCTGTTAACTTGGAAACTTCTTGAAGGTAGGGGTTGTGTTGCCCCCATCAAACAAGAAGATCTTTGAGAGTATGGACTGTGTCTACTCCATCAGATTGGGGGATCCCTGAGGCCAGGAACTGGGTCTACCTGTGACTGGGAAGTCTTTGCTCATGGCCACTTATTACAGGATGGGGTAGAGGCATGACTAATTTGGCCATGTCATGAAAGCTGCCCTGGGCTAGACACAGGTTTTTTGAAGACTCTGTGCAGGGATCATAGAGATTGTCCTAGGCTCCTGGCCAAGGGGTGAGACTCAAATGCACTCCACGGGGAGGGGACAGCTGTGGCAGGCAGGAAGCATGGTGTCACAGCCTGTCAGATTGGAAGGACCTGCTGCTTCTGCTCCCCTCAGGCTGTTTCCTGAGTCTTACACCCTATGCTGCTGCTCTGGGAGCAGGACTCATCACATAGGAAGAGCTGGCCCCTGCAGCACTCCCCGAGACTACAAATAAGTGTGTTGTGTTTCCTGCGAATGCCTAAGTTATTACTTTCCCTTCTCAAATGAAAGAAGTATTTTATTGGCTTGGGTTTAGAAAGAAAGCGTAAAAAGTAGCTTGTTTTTATTTTCTGACATCATGAAGCTAAGGCTAGAGAGAGAAGTGCTGAGAAGGAATGGAGACAGAAGTGGGAGGGGAGGCAGGGAGGGCCCAGGCGAAAGAAGGAAGAAATGATGGGGCCAAGAGGGGAGGAGAACCGTGGAGGAGGGTAGAGGAAGATGGGGACCAAGGAAGGGGAGAAGAAGGGGGAAGGAGGAATTGCTGTTGTACAGTAAGATATTGGCATCTACCTCTCTAGTGCCCCTGCCCAGTGGGAAGGCACCAAGAGCCAAAGGCAGCAGTCAATTTCATTGCAAAAGTTTCGGCTCCCTGGAGACACTGACCAGCTCAGATGCCAGGGTTACAGAAAGTGGCTTGAAGCCCAAGGGGAGGGGGCAGGGTTTTCTCAGGTTACTCCAGCCCTAGGTCAGCACACACAGGTTTCTGCATCTAGGAATTGAGGCACCCAGAAACAGGGCTCAAGGCTTCTCTCATTTTGTGAAGCAGGAGGGAGAGAAGTTCTTAATTTTTGGCCCCTAAAATTATTCTTCTCCCTTGCTTTGCTAATATTACTGCTTAATGTTGGGGATGGACATAGAGTGATGGTTATGGGTGAGATTCCTTTCTGCACCCATGGCTGCTCTCCAGATCCCAGGCACTCTCTCCATGCTCCATGCCTTTGCCCACACTGATCCTTTCGCCAGATTGCTGTCTCATGCCTTGATGGCCTGTCAAATGCTTGTCACTCTACGTTTTGACTCAAATCTCGTTTCTCTTCAGAAATTTCTCATGCCATCCCCAGTCTAGTTTTCATATCATCCTGCATTTATTTTTTATCATTGTTTGGGTTATGCTGTATTTTGATTGTAGTTGATTTTATCAGTTAAGGATTGACTGGGAGGTCTTTGAGGGCAAGAACTGTGTCTTAGGTACCTTTGTATGCTTAGCACAGTATCAGAAACATGGTAAGCATCCACTACTGTTCAAGGAAGGAGGAAGGCAAGGAACTGCAGAGGGGCAGTACTGGTAGTGGGTGATACATGAACCTTGGGTTGAGACAGCCATAGATGCATATCTCTCCTCTGTTACTTAAAACTGTGTGGTCTTCAGGGGTTGTTTCAAGGTTGCCATGAAGACTAGAAGTAGCAAATTACTGGCCAGCCACGGTGGCTCACACCTGTAATCCCAGCAGTTTGGGAGGCTGAAGTGGGAGGATCACTTAAGCTCAGAAGTTTGAGACTAGCCCGCATGACATAGTGAAACCCCTGCACTATTAAAAAAAAAATTAGCTGGGCACGGTAGCACACACCTTATAGTCCTAGCTACTTTTGGTGCTGAGGAAGGAGAATCTCTGGAACCCAGGGGGTCAAGGCTGCAGTGAGCTGAGATCCTGCCACCGCACTCCAGCCTGGTTGACAAAGTGAGATCCTGCCTCAAAAAGAAAAAATAACATAATACTTAGCACACAGCCTGGGACATGGTAGGTGCATAATAAATAGTAGTGATTCTATATGCCAGACTTCCTCATTGCTAAGGTAAACTCCTACATACATTCCTATACCACCCTTACCCCACTATTAGCTCCTTCCATGAAATCTCTGGTCTGATTTTTCCAGGAGGCAGACATAGGTTTTTTCATGGGAGGAAACAGTCTTCCTGCATCTTTGTCAGCATCGTCAGAGTGTCTGCCACAGGACTGTTGATAGGAGGTGCAAATGTGTTTCCTAATTTGAGATGATGGTGTTTGGAATGCCTGTCACTGGCTATATTTAGCTCTGAATCCCCCAAATAGCAACAGGAAGGAAAAGTCTACCAGCCAAACATCTCCCATCCAGCTGGAAAATATCACAATCATAATTATTATTTTTTATTATTGACATTATTACTTATTGACTAAATGAATTAATGGGACTTGGGTATCCATTGGCATCTAAAATTATGGCATCTTAAAATATCAGAGCTCAACAGTCCTTGCATGCCATGCAGTGATATATGACCTGTTCTACAAATAAAGGAAGTGAGGCTCAAAGAGGAGACATTACTTGTACACCCAACATCAGAGAAAAACTAGGGCCCAGGTCTTTGGATTTCCAATTTTATGCTACACCAAGAAAGGGCAGTAGAGGCATGGAGAACCCAAATAATAAACACCCTACAGACCCTTTCTCTCTGGCATTGAAAGGTAATGACAGATGGCCAGTGGGCTCTGGCTTGCTAATCTTTCATGCACAGGCATTCACACACACACACACAAACACGCATGCACACACACACACACACTATACACTCCTGCCTATCTCTAGCCTGCTCATTGGGCTCCCCAAAAGTGACCCTGGGAAGAGCTGGGAAAGGAAGAGCCAGGGTCACAATTAACCTGGCACAAATATGCTGCAGATCACAGAAGACAGGGGTAGAGGCTGCTGGGAAGGATGTGTTCATTGTCACCCAGGTGTCATTTCCCTGGAGGGTAGAAAATGTACCTTAACACTCCTTGGAAGCCCCCAGAGAATCAGGGACAGAGTAAGGCACATCACTATTTGCTGATGGTTGATTTAATAGTATAATGTAACCTTGGGTAAATCTATTCCCTTCTTGGGCCTCAGTTTCCACATCAGTAAAATGGAGAAGGAGTGTTAGAATACATACCATATGAGGTTATTTCCAAACTTAAGAATCTCTTGTTTCATAAATGATTGATCCCCAAAGACTTTCTGTCTCACTCTTACTCTGATTTTTCATCTTACATTCTAGCTTCAAATTCCAGGATTTGATGCCCCAACTATCCGACCCCTTTATTGCTGCTCCTTCATCTTCTCCCTCCAATCATTGTCTCTATCCCAATCCCCTTCTGCTAACTCTAGTCCCTTTCTAATTTCTTAGAATCTGTTAGTCAAACTAGGCCTCCTCAACTATGGTTGGGGGATGCGTTGGCCCTCCTTGCTGCTATGTGCACATATACATCTAGACCCATCTGTGAAACACGATGAGCCCAGGGTCCCAAGAGGGATTCCAGCTCTTGTCCAAGTTAATAGGAGAAGGGATGAGAAGACGGGGGCTGAATTTCAATCACAATGTGATTATTGGTCTTTTTGAAGTTTTGCTGAGGGTTTTTTCACCTGGTTGGCTCAATATCACTAACCAAATTCTTGTCTCACAAATCGGTTTTGGCTGCAATTCAAATTTAATTACATTCTAGCTAAGTGAAAGCAAGAAAGAAAGCAAAGGAAAGAAACAGAGAGAGAGAGGGAGGGAGGGAGAATAAAAATATAGCTTATATTTATAGATCAGACAACTCTATCTTAAATCTTCAAATCTCCCCAAGAGCAACAGTCAATGTGAGCCAGACACAGATGGGTCAGCTCTGAGATAGATGTGAAGCACTAACAAGCTTCTTGTAATTTGAGGCTAGTGAATACTGCATGCCAAGGCTGGGCAAAAATTGGGAAGTTGGCATAGTTTGACTCAAGTTCTCCAGCTGCCTGGTTCTGTGCCTAGGAGTGCCTCTTTGTTCTCCATTTAGCTACCATTTAGGGCATTCGGGCTTTTTCCCTGCAACCCCTACCATATTCTTCTACCAGAAGTGTTAAGGAAACGTTAACAAATTATAATTTGTAACATTTGTTCTTTCTGATTTATACTGAAGTGTAAATGACTGATGATAACTTGCCTTCTCCTGGCCTAGAATTGAATTTTACTAAGAATAGAACGAAGACAGACAAACACACATGCACATGCATGTACACACACGCCCCAGCACCTAAAAATCAAATGAGAAAGCTTAACCAGCAATTAAACAAGGGTGTGTTGGATGGCCATGAGACTAGACATATAGGTAACCACAGACACATATAGATCTATACTATCAAATATGGCTACCTATACTATGGAATACTGGTATAGGAAGGCCTGAGGAAGATGGGCAGTGGGTGGAGAGCAGAGTCTAGGGTGACCAAAGTTTTTAGCTATAAAAAATAGGAGAAGAAAGCCAGCTTTGGGGAAGGGTTGGTGATTTATGCAGAGTATAGCATGACTTTGAGGTGTTTGTGGACATCCAATGGGGATGTTCAAAAGGCCTTTGGATATTCTTGCCTTGCTCAGAGGATAGGGCTAAGCTGAGACATGCATTTGAGAACAATTAACTCAAGAATGAGACCTGGGACATAGGTAGGTTTACTCAGGTAGGATACATCAAGTGAGAAGAGAAGAGGGTTAAGGGCAGGATACTGGGGAGCACCCACATTTTAGGGACAACCCAAGACGGTCAGAGGGTGTGAACCAAGAGGTAGGAGAAAAAATAGTGCTGTCACAAACATCATGGAAGAAGAATCATTTTTAAGGTACTCAAAAAATGTGAACCAGTAAGGGGAAACTAAGTAAGAAAAGGATCAGAAGTGGGGAGGGATGTGGCAGTTATGAAGTCATTGATACCCTGCCCTTGGCAGATGGGGCCAGAATAGAGCCCACAGTGCAATGAGTACCTTAAAAATGATTCTTCCATGATGTTTGTGACAGCACTGTTTTTTCTCCTACCTCTTGGATCACACCCTCTGACCCTCTGAGTTGAGAGATGAATATAGGAGAGGATGTGAGGATAGGGAGTGCAGGCTGCTCTTTTAGAAACTGTGGCTTTTAAAGGAAGGTGAGAGAGATGATTAGCTAGGAGGAGCCCTTCATAAACTGGCAGAAACTCGAACTTGCTTCTGTGCTTGGGGTAAGAGTTAGTGGGGAAAGAGGCTGTTGAGGGAGAGTGCAGCTATTGATGGAATGAATTCCTCACAGAAATAGAAGAGGAAAGCTGTACATTATGGATAGAAAGAGTTATCCTTGGGCAGAAGAAGGGCTTTATCAGGAAAGAAGGTATGGACAACTGTGAGAGCAGATCAATTTTTAATGGGGTTGAGGGAATTCATGCCTAGTAGTCTGAGTCTTCTGATTAACAGGGAAGCCCTATCATCTAATAAGCAGAAACTGGGAATATGTAATGATTTTCAGAGAAGTTGAGGAAGGTTAACTAACACAGTCACCATAGAGAGTTAGAAAAGGAGATTACCCAAGCCCAAGTCCCAAGAGGGTAGAAGGAGCCAGATGAGGTGTGAGACCCCAACTCTGGTCCCAGTTCAGTATGTGACTTTCATCTCCAGGGCTCAGCACAGACATACAGGGAAGATAATTGAATGGACCAAAATGGTGGTTTTCAGGGTGCATGTGGCAGGTTGACAAGAAGGTAAGGATGCTGAAGATTATGTAAGGAGGTGATGGATATGGTTCCCTGGGAGCTAAACCTTAAAACCAAGGAGGGAGAGGGAGAGAAGGGCAGTGTTGTAAAGACTAAGTGAAAGAAATACGTTTGTATTACTAGAGTGATTTTTCATTTACCCCATGAAGATTGTCCACAGGATATCCTTAATCCTAGGCCAGCTACTTCCACTTCCTGGCTTTCCTCCCTACTTCATCTTCTTCTCTCTTGCCTCATTTTGCAGGGCTCAGCGTGATTACAAAGGTACACCTGCAACCCCTTCCTTCTCCCAAATATGGCTTCAAATTCAATTTACACTTAAAATAGAAATTATTTTGTATTACATGGTATTTGGAATTCTATGAGCTTCCTCTTTATTTCCATTGACAGAAGTAATCAAAGCCAAGTTATATTTGATCTTAAATAGCAAGTATAATCACATCAACTGAGCAATCCCATTTACCCTCTGGGTCTCACATTCTCCACCTTTACGATAAGGAGGGGGGGGTGAAATAAGTAATTCCAAAGCTCCTGCCCTGCTCTGTGATGATGTTCTGAGCCTCCAACCTTCAGCAGCCTGGTCTAGCTCAGCCCAGTCCAGCCTGCCAGCCAGCCAACTCAGGTTCCAGCACCAAGCAAGCATGTTCTTACTGCCAGCACTCAACACCATCAGTAGCTGCTTGAAAAGGGCATAGAGCAGCCTTCCAGGACATGGATGCAGAACTTGTTTTAACCTCTCTGGTCTCAAAGCCTCAGGAGAACTGTGTAAATAACCTGGGTCGGGGATGCAGATCCCTGCTGCCCATAGCTAGCCAGATATGCAGAGTGGTGTGAAATTGTTGACAGCCAAAATATAGGGGGAAATGATAATGAAATTTATGGACTGTGGGCTTTCTGCACTCACTCACTCTTTTTCTACCTTCCTTACTCCACTCCCCAACCAGTTCCACCAATTCCTGCTGGTGCATTCCCAGTGATATATGGCTTCACGGGATTCCATGAGGGGCTCCCAGGAGGGAATGGGAACTGAACTAAGAGTGGACAAAGGTGTGGCTCCAGCCCAGCTCTTCCAGATTTTGATCCTGTGCAGGTCACCTCTTTCCCTGGAACTTAATTTATTCATGAGGTGGTTGAACCAGAAAACCTCTAAGATTCCAAGCACATTGTTTTAGCCTGGCTTCTCCCAGAAGCAGACCCTGGTACTAGGATTCGAGTCCAAGTAGTTCATTTGAGAGGTGAGCCTGGGAAGCACCAAGAGGGTACTGGGGAAGTGAGATAGGCAAGTAAGCTGCTATGGTTTGAATTTTTGTCTCCTCCAAAACTGAAATGTAACCCCTAATATAGAAGTATTGAGAGGAGGGGCCTTTAAGATGTAATAGTGTCAGGAGGGCTCTGCTTTCATGAATGGATTCATTCATGGATTGATGATTTAATGGGTTAATGAACTGATGGCTTATTCTGGGAGTAGAACTGATGACTTTATAAGAAGAGGAAGAGAGACCTGAGCTGGCATGCTCAGCCCCCTCATCCTGTGGTACCTTGAGACTCTGCAGAGAATCTCTGTAGCAAGAAGACCCTCACCAGATGTGGCTCCTTCATCTTGGACTTCTCAGCCTCCATAATTGTAATAAATAAATTCTTTTTTGAAAAAATTACCCAGATGTAGGTATTCTGTCATAAGCAATATAGACAGAAGCCAATACAGGTTTGTAGATGACCAGTTCACCATTGTGAACAACTGGACTTCAATCCCACTGGGAACTTCTGAGACATGTGTTCCAGATTAATGTCACTTGAGGAATGATGAAGTCATTAACCACCAAGCTTCCATTCATCACTGATTGGGAACTTCTGTTTGGTTGTTAACTCTCTAGCACTTATATCCTTTTCTGATGGGAAACAAGCATGTTCTTACTGCCAGAGAAAGCCTTCAGACAGGAGATGCAGGTGCTCGCAATAAGAGACTCTCAGCATGCAAAGAACCAGTGAATGCTAAGGGGATATGGGCAGGGCACTGACAGCATCTGCCATGCATATTTAACGTCCTTAAAATTCCACAACTTCCTTTGGCCAATTGAAGGATGAGAAGGGCCATCCACCTGGGAAGAACTAGTAGGAAATGAGTTTTTCTTTTTACTTTGAATGTCTAAATCCTCCCTTCCTCTTAACCTAAAGACCCAAATGTTCTGAAAATCTTTCCTGAATAAAGAAGGAAGAAAACCTGTATTATACTCTCAGGCCCACTGTTACAATGGCAAATTATTCAACCGTGAGCTTCAACTTACACACCTGCAAAGAGGAAATACTAGTAGTTACCTTGAAGAGTTGTCATAATAATTAAATGGAGTAGGCAAATGGGAAAAAGAAAGAGGCAGGGGCTGGTTTAGCTGGGACTTGGGAAGCTATGGGAACATGTCTAATTCTTCCAGTAGATTGTCCAACAGTCCATATTTCAAGGGGAGTAGAGAACTAGAGCTGGATCTGAATTAGCTTTTATGTCCAAGGCGGCCACCAATGTGGTGGTGAGGCACAAATGTGGGAGTTTGTGGTAGTGAGTGTATACTAGGGTCTGTGGGTGGCATACTCTCAGCTCTAGGCAAGCCTTCTGGTATGGGAACGTCAGACATCAAACCGGATAAGCTAATAGCGGAATAAGTCTTAGACCCAAGGAAAAGGAACCACCAAAGTTGGAAAGCCTGTTCCATGATTGTCCTATCAGGAAAGCCGAAAGTGAGTCATGGTCCAGGGCAAAAAACTGGGGGAACCACGATGGTATGTATATTAGTCTATTCTCACACTGCTATGAAGAGCTCCCCAAGGCTGGGTAATTTGTAAAGAGAAGAGGTTTAATTGACTCACAGTTTCACATAGCTGGGGAGGCCTCAGAAAACTTACAGTCACGGTGGAGGGTGAAGGGAAAGCAAGGCACCTTCTTCACAAGGTGGTAGGGGGAGAATGAATGCAGGAGGAACTACCAAACACTTATAAAACCATCAGATCTTGTGAGAACTCACTCACTATCACAAGAACAGCATGAGGGAACCTCCCCCATGATTCAATTACCTCCACCTGGTCTCTCCCTTGACACATTGGGATTATGGGGATTACAATTCAAGATGAGATTTTGGGTGTGGATACAGCCAAACCATATCAGTATATGTGTAGGACTCACATTAGAAACTTTACTTTGCAGCTGCAAAAATATTCCTTCCAAACCTTACTTGATGGAGGTGGGAATGTGGCATAAAATATGGCTATCCTTAGTGAAAACTGGTATGACTTGAGAATCAGGTTCATGCAGGGGAGTAACAAAATCACCTTGTTTGTTAGAAAAAAATTCAGAATAGGTAGAAGAGATTTCTATGCCTTCCAATCACATGCATGGACTTGTATGGACTCTGGGAAGTTAGGGGCTTTCATGGAAAGGCCTAGAAGAGGTTCTCCATCAGGGTGACCACTTGAATGAAAGAGAAGGGTTTGAGAATTCAGAAATGGATGTTTGCAGGATGAACAATATTGAGAATGGGTATCTACCATATCAGGTCCATGAAAACAGAGAAGAGCAGTAATAGGGTTCCAAATGGTGGGCTGGCAAAGGAAAGGAAGCAAGACAAAACAGTATGGGTGGAGGATGGGAAGACTCAGTATTTGCCACAGAATAAATTTGGTGTGTAGATCTTTGGGCAAAAGGAGCTGTGACCAATGCTGAGCCGGTTTGGGTGCAGCTACAGAAGGGGCTTCAGTTATTACCCAGGGCCTGCCTTGCTGATCCTACCACCTCAGCACTCAGCTAACCCAAGTGTCACTGTGCTAGAGTCAAATTTCATCCCTACCCTCACCATAATGTGTTGTGACGAACAATCCAACTCAGTCTCTTCAAGGACCTCTCTCACTAGCAGCCACTGCAAACCACCCTTGTCACAGATGGCATCTGGCAGCTGGGGACAAGGAATGGAGTTAGAGGAAAGAGACATTTTTTGTTGAAGGGGGGTCTACCAAAGTGGAGTGATGTGGACAAGTGGGGAGCTAGGGAAAACCTTGGGAAAAACAGAAAGACAGGGAGGAGAAGGGGATAAGAAGGAGCGTAGTGATGTGGATGAATACATTCAGGAAGCTTTTTCAGCAAGCCAGGTGCCCCCTGAGGTTACACAGTGCACAAGCAGAGTGATTATTGTCTACTCGGCGTTGTGCTGTGTACCACACAGATTGAGACCTGTGCATGACGCTAAGGAAACTGTGCAAGAAAAACCCCATGTAGCAGGCCCAGAAGAGCGACACCCTCACCCAAGGGTGACAGCCATCTGCCCCATTTTGTGAGCACAAGCATGAGCCCGCTCATCTGTGCCTCCACTGCACTCAGCTACACACCCTTAGTGGGGGTACTTATCACTCTGTATTAAGGTTAGCCGTCTGCCTGTTTGTGTTCCCTGTGAGCCTAAGACCTCTTTGAGGGCAGCTGCCTTGTTTTAAATATTGTTTATCTTTGAGAAAACTAAGGAATATAACGAGTGCTTTAAAAGTTTTGAGAATGAATGTCATTCGTACGCAGGGATGTGGGTGTGTGTTGTAAAGATGTGAGGATGGGTTTGTGAGGGCAGAGACGTTATGGTGAAGAGGTAAGAAAATCAGTTTAGGTGTTCTAAATGCAATATTTCTCAAATCCTCTGCCTGGTGCAGAAGTGCCTACAAGGATCCATGTTAAAAATAAGCATCCCCCTAGTCCTATCCCAGGCCTACTGAATCAGAACTCCACAGTTGGGCCTGGGAATATACAGTTTATCTCCCTCCACAGGTGGTTCTGATGGCCACGCTGGTCTGAGAACCACTGCTCTACAGGTCACTATTGCGTTTACAAGCAACTGATTTATAGGAGACCAGGTCTCTGAGGGTCCTTTGAAAACACCTGGAACAAATCCTCACTTCGCAAATAAGAAAAGCTGAGGCCCCGGGGAGATGGGCCTTGCCCGAGTCCACACTGCGAGCTAATACTCCTGCTGGGGGTATGTCACCCAGGTGTTCCCCATTCCCCTCACAACCTCTGTGATCCAGGTAAAGTTATTTACCGAGACGGCTCAGGCTTTCCGAAGCGCGCGGTGCGCTGTCCAGCACTGCGTGTTCCTGAAGCGCGCTGGCCTTCAGCTGGGCACCACGGAGAGTTAAGCGACGGTGGGCGGCCCCGCAGTGCCAACTGCTGCAGTGCCCGCCTGCAGTGCCCCCTGCCCCTCCCCCTGCACCCGGTAGCTCGCTGATCCTGCAGCCGCAGCAGCGCAGGACTGTCTCCCGCGGCGCATTATCCAACTTCAGGGTGGTTATAAATGACTACAGCGCGGAGATGGTGACCCGGTCCCTGGCAAGTTAGTCGGCTGCTCGCTGATCGATTCCCTTGTTAAGGGACCACGCAGGCAGAGAAAGTAGTTTAAAATGTAATGTATTGCGTTGAAATTTAACACAATGCAAAGCATAATATTCAGCTGGATCTGCATATTTCCCCCACCCCAATTTCTCCTAGAGGTTCCCATGGAGCATTTCTTGTTAAGTTTCTATCACTGCCAGACAAAGATATTTAATGACTTGAAAGACTAGGAGGGACTTTCAACAGCTCATCTGATCCAGCTGTCTGTTTCTGGCCTAGGAATATTGAAATCCCGAAGGGCTGTTTACTCTGCCCTTAAACTTGATGGAGAGGGAAGAAGGAAGGCCAGTAGGCCTGTTGAGTAGTTTCCATCTCATCTTTGGCCTACTCTTCACGTCTTCTTCCCATCTCCCCATCTGGCCTTTCATGCTCACACCTTGTTCCTTGAGCAAGGAAGAGCAGCTGGTCTTTCTCTGCTGCCTCCAACTTTCCCGACTCCCTGCCCTAGCTGAATTTCTGGCCTCCACAAGCCCCTCCAACTCCTCTGTTTTCATTAGCATCCCTCTGCCTTGATTGCAACTTGAGCTCCTAGGGGGTAATGTTAGATAAATGACAAGTCTCCAAAGGCTTCAAATGGCGGTAGGACAGGTACTAGAGAAAAGAACTCAGCGTGTTGAAAAGAATGACATCCCAAGAATCCCATTTAATTTGATGGCACGATGAATATTTAAAGTTTTATAAAGAAATACAGGAAAGCAATCAGGCTTATTCAGGCGTGTGCTCTGGGGAGCAGAGTACGCTCCCCATGTGTTGGCAATATGGAGATAAGAGCTGGAGGATGTGGGTGGGGGTGGGGGACACATACATAAATAGTCCATGTTCTTCCATTCTTTGTATTGAGGTGGAAAAGTGCTTACTAGTGCAGTTCAAGAAGAAACAGGGGGAAAAATCCTCCCAGATAATTATCATAACATGCTGACACCCTAAACAGTTTCTTTTTAAAATTGAATTTCTAATATCATTGCTTTGGAGATTATAATATTGAGTCACGAATCCCCTGGCAAGTGATTCAGGAACCGTACATGCTGTGTGATAAAGGCACCTGCCACAGAAACAGGAGGGGACATAAATCTCCCATTGTGTGTGCAGAATGCCTAATGGCGCCACCCCTCTGGCAGAGTGGGTCATCAGAAACCTCCCAAACTACCACTCTGAGGGGAGTTAATTTATTATAAACATGTATGGGATATTTTCATTTTGTATCAGCTGTTAAGTTAGATCCTGGCATCAGAGAGCTTGGTTAGATTAAACCTCTGCCTTCAAAAAGCTTCCAGTCCTCTTGGAGAGACATATATACATGCATACGATATCACACTGCTGGTCTAGCACAGAGCAAAGACAAGAGGACAAGCTGAGGGCTAATGGGGCACAGAGTGGGCAACCTATTAATGTCAGTTGTGGGGATGGGGAAGGCTTCCTATTAGTCACTATGGCAGTTGCTGTCATTGCCCTGATGTTATCTCTTGAGTATTTACCTTTGTACAACAAACTTGCTGCTGTGAACACCTGAGACTTTACACCCCAGGGTTTTTCTTGACCAAAAAAGTGAGTTGTGCTGGACAGTTCATGTCCCTAGAAGCCCCTAGCCAATGACAGATGACAAGTAGGCAGATAAGTACTCCACTTCCTCAGCTCTTGATGGACAACTCAAGGTGTGCCTCATATTGTATCTCAGGGACCCCCCCAGTGGGTTATGAGTTCCACCTGAAAGTACATGTTTGATTATACAACTTTTATTGGATTCTTTCCCTTTCTTTTTTTCCTACTGACATGTTCTAGGTATCCTCTCAAATAAAATACTTTTACTCAAACCCCATGTAAACGTCTGTGCCTGGGGGACTCCAAACTAGCTCAATACCAATAGCTACTGTTCATTAAAAGTCAACCATGCCAGGCACTGTGCTGGTTTTTTATACTATATCTAATCCTTACAACCATCTTGAAGGGTAAGAATCATTGTTTCCGTTATACAGATGAGGAAACTGAGGTCTACAGAGCGGAAGTGGCTTATTTGAGATCACAGAAAAAGATACCTTGAGCAAATAAAGACTCTATCAGTGATTGCTCTTTTCTCTTCCTTTAACCACTCTCAAGGTGAAGGGAACAAGGATCTCTTTGAAAGAGTGATAAATATGATAGCCCCTGTCTTTAAAAAATGCACATATATACACACCTGTAAGATTGGCTATGTACTTTTGGATGGATCATAGCTCCTCTTAGAATCACCTGTGGATTCCAGATTAAGAAGCTCTTTTAAGAAGGAGTAAAACTTTCAGAACCAAAGGACAATATTTGTTTCTGAGGATTTGGGAAGTTAGGAAAACTGTGAAAGGGATTGAGTTCAAGAAAGAGTAGCGGGGGGAGTGGGAGACAAACATACCACAGTTTGATCATAGTTGGTGGGACCAGAGTGGGTACAGAGGAGAATGTTAACTTGTGGAGATGAGGGATAAGGAGAATGCTGTGGTTGAGTGAAACCTGGGAAGGAATGCTTGGTGGAATAGCGTAATGCCCCAAGAGAGTCCAGACCCTGGATGAGGATGTGAGAGTTCCCCTATAGCCACAATCATAGATTCCGACTCTGAACTTTTCACCTCCTGATCTGTCAGTTATTTGACCTCAGTGCCTGCCAACCCCTAGGCTTCATATTCTCCTCACTTTAGCCATCCACATGCCCAGTCATACTTTGCCATCAGGTAAAACTCTCTCATTTGGAAAATGGAAATCACCCTCAGTGTTTCAAACACAGGGAAATTTAACACTGAGAATTTGTATCAAGTTGTTAGTTGGTTTTTAAAAAGCAAAAATGAGAAGGCACTATTACTCAGAGATCAGTAACTTCAGGACACCACTTCAGTCCATAGAGCTGAAGGAGCAGAAAGGGAAAAGTGTCATAATCCAGACCCCAGGATTCTGTGCTCCCTGACAGGAGTGAAGCCACTGACAATACAGATCAGAAACCCAGGAGCCCATGCCCCCACCGATGCTGCTACCAGAAGCATAAAATAGCTGCCACCTTTTTCAGGCCTTCTAATCTCATGTGAGTGCTGACCTTCTGTAGACCCCATGAAGAGTCCAGCAGGCAAGCGAGCCTTGGAAAAAAGTTTTTCAGGTATCCAAGCCAGTGTGGCACAGTGGGGAGTAGGAAAACGCAGGTATGGGTCTCTTGCAAACAGGCAGCATTCAACACAATCCTCAAAACCTGGGGCTCCACTTTCTCCTTTGCTCCAGCCACAAATTCCTATCCTTCCATCTCTCACTCAATGTCTACTGAATCCCCAGTTCTTTTTCAGAGCAAGCCCACTGACTCCTTGTCCAATATTCCCTGACTATTCTTAGTCACTTACTGACCCAGGACCCTACAATCCATCTTTTATAAGACCCTCAGTTCACTGCACATTCGATACATCCCCATCCCTCCTGACTAACCCCAAATCCTAGAGCACATGCATGTTGGTCCTTTCTGTTGTTTCCAAGTTGGCAAATTGCAGGACAAAGTCCCACAACCTCGCTGAGTTTCCACCACAACATAATGAAAACCACAGGCCGCCCTTCTGCCTGAAATATCTATGTTCATCCTCTGGCCGACTGCCAATCTCATCCCAAGGGGCTGCACCAACCTTCTTTCTCCCTCGAATCCCAATTCCTCAACCTGTATCTCTCAACTTGCAAGATCCAGACCATATTTTACTTCTCTTCACCTCGAAATGTCTCTGTCATCTCCTGATGCTTTGTTTATTGCCTCTGGTCTCTGAGAAAGAAGGACCATTTCTTCCTGCTAGGGTTCATGCCTGAACCCTCCCTGCTCCTCCCGAAGAGCATCTTTCCCTTGTTCCCTCTCTACACTGGCTGCTTCACCCTGGCTTACACCCAAATGTCTCCCACCCCCAAGAAAGTCTTTCCTTTACTCTGATTTCTCCTGAGCTCCCATCCCACCTTCCACCCTCCTTTCACAGCTAAACTTCTCAAAAAAGTATTATACGCTCACCGCCTCTACTTCCTCACCTCCCACTCAGTCCCAACCACTAGCAATCTGGTTTCCACACCCATAACTCCGCAAAAATTGCTCTCTTAAAGGCCACCAATGACCTTCAAATTGCCAAACCTAGCAGCTCTGCTTCGCCAGTCCCCATCCTCCTAGACCTACTCATCTGCCAGGTCACATACATTATTTAACCAGATTCAGAGCCAGGGGTCCAGCTGGTGTGTATGGCTCACGAGTGTGCTGCAGACTGGTCCCAGGCTGGGCTGTGATGAGCCATTCAGACATATGGGTGATTAAAATACAGAAATACTTCTGTCTCACTGCCCGAGCACCTTACGTGTCCCTTTCCCCCACCTGGCTACCCAAGCCCTTGTTCCAGGACCCCGAGATGGACCTCCTCATTATGTAGCAGAGACAGAATGATGTTTGGTGTGGCACGGGGCTTCTGCTCTTGCTGGTTGGTACCTGGGTTGTACCAATTGTTAGATATTGTTAATATCACCACTGCATATTGCTGTGCTGAAATCATTCCTTTAGTACTAGGACCAGCCACGTGGAGTCAGGGGAGTTTGGAGGGCAAATCATCTTTGGTGAAAAGCAGCCTCTCTATTTATCCTCCATATGCCATATAAATACCATTTTCTATGTGAGCCTTGGCATGGAATATTTGTGAAGTAAAGCTCCAAGGCCCCTTTCTTCCTTGATTCCTCTGTGAGATTCTCTGTTTCCTTACCTGGCTACCCTAACTGGCAGAGTGACTGTAACCTTGTTGAGCCACAGTCTCCTTATCCACAAAATGGGCTAACCAATTTCTGCTTGCAGGAAGGATCACAGATCATATGAGTAAAAGAGTTAGCACAGGACCATGTATGGAGGTAAGCTGAGTAAGTTTAGGTTCCTAATCCCCACCTCCCTCTCACCCTACATTTTCTCCCTGTGGATTTTCTCCATTTATATGACCTTTGCCTCCATTCTACCCCTGACCATTTGTTACAGACCCATTTGTTGAATTATGCTCGGGGCAAGAGGATCTGCGTATTCCTGAGCTCTCTAGCTCCACACATCTGATGTGGAACTCATTATTCTCTACCTCTTCCCCTAGTTTCTCTCATCTCCCCCTCCTTTCCCTCATCTTCCAAGTCTTTCCAAAGGATACCAACCATTCATCCAGCCCAGTGGGCTTTATTTTATAAAGTGGCTTTGACCACACTCTCTTCTTCCCCAGACCTGATCACCTCTAGGCTCTAGTCCATTCTACTTCTGACACTCACCTCTTTCTATTGTTAGCACGATAGCCCTGGAGATGACCCTGTTTTTCCCCTTTACCTGGGCTCTTGCAATTAACTTATAACTGTTTTCCTTTTCTTCAGTTCTTTCTTCTAGGAGTGCACCCATGGAACCCCTGCATAGATCTGTTCAAAACCCTGCAGTGTTGCCCATTTACTTGCAGAAAGGAATCTAGACACATTGCCTTTGTCTTCAAGGTAGTGTCAACCAACTCTGCACTCTTACTTCCCACTATGTTCTTAGTAAGAATCACGGTAAAACAACAACTAACACTTCTTGAAAATTTACTATGAGCCACTCAATATTCTAAAGTCATTCACGCCATTTAATCCTCTCATCCACCCTGTGACATAGTCGCTGTTATTTTTGCTTTACTGAGGAAGTAACGGAGGCAGAGAGAGGTTCTGTAGTTGGCCTTAAGTAACTGCCCTTAGAGGTGGGGGACTTGAATTTAAACCCAGAGACTGTATCAGGGCCCACACTCCTGACCTCTAGGCCTTCTTCTGCCCTGGGATTTGGTCATGCCAGAAAACTCCTCATGCCCCCAAAGCTGCCTTACTGTCCTGCCACCTTGCCTTTGCCTGGACTATACGTTTTTCTCATCGCTTTACCTACCAAAATGCTAACCATCCTTCAAGTGTCATCCACCTTCAAGACTCCTTGAAGTCTTGTCTTCTCTGCTCTGAGGTGATCTTCCTCTTTTTGAAATACAGAATTTCCTCAAACTTTCTGTTTTTACCTTATTCTCTTATATGACAGCCTTTTGAACACACAGCTGATCAGCTCTTCCAGAGTGGAGGATGGGGCCACAGCTTAACTTTCCCTTAATCCTGCCCTGTCCTTTTCACATGGAACCCACAAAGGCAGTTTTATTAGATTAAATGGAATTACTGTTTTGCAGACATGAGTTGGTTTCTGCTCCATTCTCCACATCCCTTTGAGAGGAAAGCCAAGGACTTGATTAAGGAATGGAAAGAATTCTGTAGTCAGTCAATTCCTGCTGCGATAAATCTCTTGGGTGAAGGATGTTAAGGCAGGGACATAAATGACAATAGCTGTGCTTCTGCAGTTGACTGGATTATAAAAAAAACCATACACTATGACTATATGTTTCAACAATACATAAAGGGAGTCAGGGAGAGGTAAAGGAAGGGAGTGAGAGCTGGTATGAAAAGAGGGGGATTTGCCCTGTCCAGTTTGGAGACTGAGATAGTGGTTTTCCTTTTATTCTTTCTCCTTTAACAAGTTTACTTCTCAACCAGTCAGTTCTGTAACACGCTCTAAAGTTAGAGTGTCAAGATTAGAATTGTGGCCTTGCCACCTGCCAACTCACTGGCCTAGCAAGTTACTGAGCCTCTCTGTGTCTTAGGTTCCAGATCTGTAAAATGGGAATAATAACTCTACCTGCTAGAGTTTTTTGAGAATTAAATACAATAATCCTCATCCAGGACAGAGAGGAGTGGCTGGCCTACAGTCCTGGCACTCTTACTGTTAAATGCCTTATGGCAAGAGAGGAAATTGAGCTGGGGGACAGGGTGGCCCAGTGAAGCCCTGGGGCACTAAGGGCTGTGATGCTTCCCAGATGCACCTGAGCACTTGCCACAACCCATAGTGTTCTCCACTTCAATACCACCCTTAAGGTTTAGGAATTTCCCTGGCAGGAGGTAGAAAGCCAGGGAAGTCAGTGGCATCTGCTGTCTTCAGTTCGTCATTGAGTGGCTTTCTTTATTACTTTTCATTAAATCCCAAAGACCATTTATCCCAGATTCATTTTAGAGATGGAGAAAATGAGGCCCAGAGAAAGGAAAAGTTGCCCCAGGTCACACTAAAGAACCAGAATCTGCTCCTCTATCTTCCCTTCTGGTGCTCTTTCTACCTCACTGTCCTGAATTCTAGAATATCCTAGCTCTGTGTGTCTGTCAGTGTGGCCCTGGACACCTTGTCCTTCTCTTTGCCACATGTCTACTGCACTTCAGGCTGCACCAGGTAATTCACCATTTAGTGGCATCAAGGCTAGCATTAGAGAGGGTGTCTTGTTCACAGGAAGGAGCCTGGGATGTGGAGTCAAAAGATTTGGTTTGAAATACAGTGCCATCAGTCAATAGCTCTAAATGCCTGGAGCCGTCAGGTTTAACCTATCTGGGACTCAGTGTCTTTGTTTGTAAAATGGGGATAATGATCTATTTCATGAGATTGTTGTGATGAAAAAGGGAGGTAATATTTGGGAATGCTCTTTATAGACTGTAAGTCATGGTGCCAGCATTGGTGTGTCTTTTCTCTCCAGGAGGAAACTCTGCCTTCTCCTTCTTTCTCTTCTCCTGTACAGTATTTAACAAAATGCTAGGAGGTACATAAATGATATTCAGCAAAGCCCGGGCACAGTGGCTTATGCCTGTAATCCCAGCACTTTGGGAAGCTGAGGCGGGTGGGTCATTTGAGGTCAGGAGTTCGAGACCAGCCTGGCCAACATGGTGAAACCCCATCTCTACTAAAAATACAAAAATTAGCCAGACTTGGTGGCGGATGCCCATAATCTCAGCTACCCCGGAGGCTGAGGCAGGAGAATTGCTTGAACCTGGGTGGCAGAGGTTGCACTGAGCCGAGATCATGCCACTGTACTCCAGCCTAGGCAACAGAAAGAGACTCCATCTCAAACAAACAAACAAACAAACAAAAAATACTCAGTAAGCACCTCTATTTTGATTGATTATGATTTCTCTGTATTGTCTGATCCTTTGATGCATCAGGAACCTACTCCCAGACCTGGTATTTGGGCAAAAGGGTGAGTCTGTGAAGGGAGTCCCTTGGGCCTAGGGGAGGGGAAGAGGTAAACAGAGGGCTGAATGATGAAAAGTAAACTGGATTTAGAAAACAAACCAGAGCTAATGGCTGTAGGTGGTGTTAGTCATTCTGTTAAGGAATTTGGGAATACATATGCATACTAATAAGAATTTATTTTGGCTTCTTCTTAATCCAGCATTTGGGAAGGGAGGAGAGGTAGAAGACACTGCAGAAATAAAAGACGTCACCCTTCATCTCCAGATAGGGCACCCTGGTGCTGGGCCCTCAGCTCCTGAGGATGCATTTGTCCAAGTTCTGTGAGGCTAAGGCTGAGGCCTGTGGATAAACTGGGGTTGGGCTGGCTGTTGGTCCTGGGGGAAGCTCAGTGAACGAGGTGCTAATTCAGGAGTGGCTCCCAGCATCCAGTCCATGGAATAGACTCAGTGGAGGGAGATCCCAAGACCTTATGAAACTGTCCAGGATCTTTCTTATTCCCCAGCCCACAAAGTCACTCTTCAGGCCACAGTGAGCCAAGGGAAACTCTAAGAAGTGTATCTAGCACACCCTGGGATTACAGACTGCACCCCTTCTTTAGTGAAGCAGGTTCAATGGTCCCTACCCTGGGATTCCATAGCTTCACCGGGCTCTGTCCTGTCATCAAACCAGAATACTTCACTGCAAAAAGCCAGTCTCCTCTCCTTTTCATACTCAGTGAATACAGAGAAGAGAGACTCACCATCATCCATTGCAAAGGCGTCTTTTCATTGGTTATAAAGGCCTAGGCCAAATCAGCCTTCTCTTCAGGCTGAGTGCCTCTCTACCTCAAACCCTCCTGGGAACTCTTCTGATCAGACACTGTGATTCCATTTAGCCAGTGAGGGTTGGGAGCCAACCATGTGCCCAGAAGTGTGCCAAGGGGTCTGGGGTTTATAGTCCAGTGAACAAACCAAGAGATACAGACAACAGGGTAAGGCTGGTTAGGGGTGTCAAGGAGAGCAGGCATGGCCTGCAGGGGAAGGCGAGTCCTGATTGGGAGTGGCAGGGAGCCCAAACTTTCTTCTTACTGGGGGTATTGAAGTTATATTCAAGGATGGAGTGCTGCCTTGATGTGCAGCCTAAAGCACAAGGCACAGTCATTCTCTACCACATCGAGACATGAAAGGGTGTGTGAAAATATCCCTAAGCACCTGCTGGGAGCTCTCTGGGAAATCATTTATCTGCCCTGCACTTCAGTGCCTTGGCTCTAAAACTGAAACAAAAAAAAGTATGTACAAAGAACCTTAAAAATGTTCATACCCTCCAGCCCAGTGATTCTACTTCAGGGAGTCTAGCTTAAGCACAAAAACAAGAATGTGGGGAAAGACTTAGGTACAAAGATGTTCATCACAGGGTTATTTAGCAGAATGAACACGAAGAAGAATCAAAATGCCCATTATTAAAATGGCTTTCACTCCCCAACCCCTTCTGGAATGATGGGATCACCTCTTTGGGAAGCCCTGGCTCAACTCTGAGGTAAGTAACCAGTACAGGAAGCCAGGTGCCACGTTAGTGACCCTAACTCAGTCCTTGTGGGCTTGTTCGAGGAGCCAAGAAATCCACCATCTTTCACCTTTTCATGATCCAAGTGTGGATTATCTTCTGGGGATTTTCATGGTAAACGGTGACTGTAGATTGGTGTTCTCTTGGCCTCTCAAGATGTATGTGGTCCCCATCCTGCTCCATCTGTCAAGGTTGCTTGGGGGTTCCCAGAGCTGGAAAGGCTCTTAGCAAATGCACAGTCCAAACCCTTTGAGGAAAAGGGACTTGTCACATTGCTTGTTAATACAAAGCCATGGTGAGCATCCAGGCCACCTGTGCCCCAGCACAGTACTCAGGTTATGTTGGGGCAAATGTAATTAGAAAAATAAACCAGTAATTCTCAGAATTACCAATGACCCAGGTCTTGGCTCTTCATGGAATATCCATGTTTCTGACTTGAGAAAACTTCTTGATGGAGTATTGGGTTCACTCTAGAGCAGAGATTGATCCATCCTTCCTATATCCCTCATTCACATCATTCTAATGCTTTTCTGGTTTCTAAAAGCAGCTCCATTTCTACTCTGGTGCCAGCTTGGTCCTATCCCTGCCACTCCGTTCTGGTTGTCTCATGGGTGACTGAGGGTTAGGGGAGATAACCTAGCCCACTGCCCCCAACCCTTGGGAGAATTCAAAGGCTTGAGCCCAGGCTGTGGTTCTTCCTAAGCCTTTCTTCCTGGGAGCTCCCGCCAATAGTAGGCAAGCCCTCAGGTAAGCAAAGAGTAAGGCAGTTTCCCTGCTGTTCTCCCCTCCTTCTTCCCTTCCCCTTCCTCTTCCCTACTTGCCCTCCCCAGTTTCTACTCCACACCTCCTTTTACTCACCTCTTCCTTCCTCATTACTTTCCTTCTCATGACTCTTCCCTACCTCTATCCCTCACTCCCTGCTCCTGAGTTAGATCCCTTCTCTCCAAGGCCCACCCCATATACCTTGAGTTTCATCTTGGCCATGCCCCTCCCCCACCAGGCTTTCCAGAATTCCTGCAGGGAGAGGCTTGTCTTCAAGGATATGCAGCATGCCAGTTTGGCAGTTTCCCGGGGTGCACATGTGGAGGGTGCACACATGAGGACCAGCTGCCTCGGCTTCTGCAGTTATGCATGTGTGTAGAGAGGACACAGGGTCGTATGTTACAGATGTATCCAGCCGAGCCAATCCTGGGCTGCAGAGACACATCCACATGCAACATGTGCCTCCCTGTGGGTAACCGGGACAGGTGCACGGGATGTGTTAGCCACCAGGAGAGAAGAGAAGGACTGCAACATTGACATTCTTCCTGCCCCTGGATTTACCAGCTGGAGTACCAACAGGAATCTCAAAATTTCATTTCCTTTAGAAGGAAGGAAATGCCTCTTGGGGAGTCCAGTAAGGCAGAGGACGGTCCTACCTTTCTGGTAACTAGTTGTTTATAGTGAACCGAGAGGATAACCAAAGACGAGACCTTGGCCAGACCTGGGTGTTCTGACTGTGAGCTCACAGTCTGCTTTGAGTAGGGTCTCCGCTACCTACCACATGCCTTGGACAAGTCACTTTACTCTTTTGGGCCTCAGTTTCCTTATACATCAAATGAGGGTTGCTGAGAAGATCAAACAAGTGAAGAGTTGTAAAGATGCTGTGCAAACACTTGGCGCCACTGCACCCTTCACTGATTCTTGTAATAATCATGAAAAGTCAAAGTGCGTGTGTGTGCGTGCACGGGGCGCTCGTTATTCATAGGTCCCTTACCAGGATTCGAGAATCTGAACTGGGCCCCAGGACTGGGTGGGCGCGATCGCCCCAGCCCCCACTCCCAGCCTAGGGCCGGCGCGGTCGGGTTTTCCTCCAGCAGGCGGCGGGCTGACGGCTGCAGGGCGCGCTAGGCACGTGAGGTGGCAGCGCCGTCGCCAGCTGCAGAGGTGCAGCCCTGGCCGCCCGGCTCGCCTTCCGCAGGGGCTGCCCGTGCCGCTGGACCGCGGAGACCGCCCTCCCGGTTCCGGGGCTCGCGGCCTGCCCACCTCCCTCCGCGACTGCGGCCCCAGCCCACTCCCGCCCCACCGTGCGTCCCCGCGCCACCCCTGCCAGGACCGTGAATCCCTCTGGTTTCCGCGGCGGTGTTGGTCGTCTCGGAAGCGGGTGCGCTCGGCAGCGGGCAGGGCAGCGGGCGCAGAGGCTGCCTTCGGCTCCTGCAGCTCCGCGGTTCGCCACTGGGGGCTGCCGCGCCGGAGAGCTCGGCGGGGACGGTGCGCACGGCCGCCGGGTTCCTGGGCGCCTCTGGCCGCTGGGTTTTCTCCACTGCTGGCCCTGCGCTGTCTCCGCAGCCCGCCCGACTCCCTCCCAGATTGGAGCGTGTGATCCGTGTGTGTGTGTGTGTGCGTGTGTGTGTGTGTGTGTGTGTGGAGCGGAGAGAGAA
Source organism: Homo sapiens (assembly GCF_000001405.40). Classification (NCBI taxonomy): domain Eukaryota; kingdom Metazoa; phylum Chordata; class Mammalia; order Primates; family Hominidae; genus Homo; species Homo sapiens. Next base: position 40,587,479 of record NC_000006.12, on the reverse strand, counting down.
ACCGGGTACGCGCGTATGCGCGCGCGCGTGGGGGGCAGTGTGCATGCGGGGAGTACGGGGGAGTGTGTTTGTGTGTGCGTGTGGGTGTGAGTGCCTGGCTCCCTCTCGCTGAGACACACATACACTCACACATACACAACCCGGCAGGCTCGTCTGAACTTGAAGACACCCCACATTCCAAGATGCCCGAGGTTCCTGGGAATGCCTGGGGTTCTTCGATCCGGAAAATCCTACCGGCATCCTCCTAGGGAGGGATTATTATTATTATTTTTCTTTAATCTGGAAGAGAAGAGAACAAGTTGTGCTTTTCCCCCCTTCTTCTTGCTAAATGCCATGGATATAACTGAATAAGCGGCTCAGGGCTTTCCCCGCGTGGACGTCCGAGGCCACCATCTGCCTGCATTCGCCGGAGCCGCCGGAGGGTTTAGCTCGAGTCTGTCTCGGGCGGGGAAGGATGCGTGGCCGAGCCGGGGAGCCCGGGCGCCCCGCGGAGCCGGCCTCGGTGCCACCCAGCCGGGGGTAGATGCTGCCTCGCCCAGGTGAGTGGTCGCCGGCGCTGCGTCTTTGCGATCCCGGGTGTCCGCGGGAGCTCGGCGCGGGGCTGAACGCACCCGAGGGAACCGGGAACTTTGCATCCCTTTCTTTTTCTCTTGAAGACTCCCCGCATCCTAGGTGCTCATGCGGACACCCCCTTCTCTTTTCGCCCATCCTTATCGCGAGAGATTTCCTTTCCTTTCTTTAGTCTTTATTTCCTACAGTGGGGGTGAAACTCTGGCGGGGAGCGGGGAGAGCCGGGTCCATGTGAGACTGGAGAGCCGGATGGAGAGACGGGGAGCCACGGGTGGATGGAACCGTTGAAAACAGCAGGAGAACTTTGCCGCCAGACCACTCTGTTGCATCTCCGCACATGCAAGGCCTGGCTAGAGCCATTGCTGGGGGCTAGGTGGGGGCGCCGGGGACTCCCTGAGCTCTGTGGACTGGGTGGGGTGGGGTAAAGCCAAGTGCGGAAGGGTTGATGCAGAGCGGATGGGAGGAAGGAAGGCATGGTTGCAGTTTGTGGGGGCAGGTAGGGCAGGTTCAGGGACCCTATGCTGGCCTCAGGCAGAAAGCAGATCAGGGGGATTGTGTGTGTGTGCAGCTTGGGGCATCAGAATGGCATGATGAAGCAATATGGAAAGTGGCATTAGCCATGCCTGGGTTCCTAGGTCTCTGTCTCCCACCCAGCCCTGCCCTGGTTCTAAGGTTGGCCTGGGCAGGGAGGAGGGAGAGCAGTAGACCGTTCCGAGGTGGACAGTGCCTTACTTTGCACAGACCTTCTGAGGGAGGTGTCCTACTCGTCTTCCCATCAGCCCGGTACAAAGGACAGAGACAGAGAGTTCTAGGGAGATAGAGCCTCTGAAAACCAGAGCAGGAGGGAGAAGAGAGCCTGAGTGGAGACCGCAGAGGGACTGAGCCAGACTGTTGCCAAATGCACCCGGCGACAGCAGACAGCTGCAGACGGACAGACACCTGCAGGGACAGGGAACATGTCAGAGCCTGCACTCTTGAGTTGGAGTTACAGGCATGGCTATAGATGATGACCCCCTCCCCTGGCCACAATGGAGTGTGTGTGTGTGTGTGTGTGTGTACGCGTGTGTGTGTGTACGCATGTGTATGTTTCAGGGAGGTGGCAGCTGTGGCCTCCATGGCCTGATTGGCCTTCTAGTACTGGGGGAGGGGGAAGCTTCAGGAATTTGACCCCCTGCTGCTGGGGAGGAGCAAAGCTAGGGAGGAAACTGCCATTCCCTGGGCTGTGAAGTTCCCAGGGGCCAGGGCTAGAGGTTCTATGTGGGCTGTTATTCTTGTGTGGGGGCCGATTTGGAACTCAAGGTGGGGAGCAAGGGAACTAGGTCTTGGGGTTGTGCCCTGGTCTGGTCGCTGCCCTCTGGCAGGAGCTTTATATAGCCACACACAGCAGAGCCCTGAGGGTAGTGTCATTTCCTTGTGGGGTACATCAGAGGCTGAAGGGGGTCAGAGTCCTGTAGGGAGGATTCAGAAGCTCCAAAAGGCCTGCACTTGGAGCCGTCATCCTCCGCCGACCATGCCAGCTGCCTGGGCCCTTCTGCTGATGCTGGAATGTCATCTTTCCCTTCTGACTCTGGCTGGGAGTGCAGAGTTGCATCTCCCTCTGGCCTCCTCACATGCTTCTGCTCAGGCCCCCTGCCCAGCCCTCAATTTAGAGTTTCTGGTCTAATTCCTGACCAGGAATGTAATTATTTATCTTCCTGCCCTCATCCTGGGGATGCAAACAGCAAACTTGGCATTTCTGTTTCAGCCTCTGGAAGGTTGGCTCCCAGTTCCATCTCCTGTCTAGAAGAACTGGGTGCCTGCCTGCTGTGGGCTGGAGGCTGGGGTTCAGGGCTCCTTCTTCTGTGAAGTGCCAGTTCTTTGCTCAGGCCCAGAAACGTGAGAAGCTGGGGAGTCTGGCCTGAGAGAGGGTGAGCTGGGAGCTTCCAGGAGGTGAGGCTGAGGAGGAGAAGCAAGATAGATGGGAAGAAAATGCAGTCAGAGTGGGTGGGGCCACCGGGGAAACCAGGCAGCCTTCTGGCCAACTGAGTCCTTCTTTGACTGAAGGAGGAATTGCTCTTCTTATCTTTGCTTCAGCTCCAAAGGAAAAAAAAAAAACAGGGATTCTGGCCTCCAAGTGCCAGTTTGCCAAGCCTCTTCAGCCTGTGGGGTTGAGCAGGTTCTGCTCTCCTTTTTTGCAGGGTGGATGTATAGAGGCTTATAAGCTCCTGGCGTGGGGTCTGTCTACCCAGGGACAGTGGAGAAGTGAAATTGGAATTAATTGTTTTCAGAAACTCCCCTTTCCTAAGGTAGATATTAGCATCTAGGGAGTTCACAGTCTGATGGGGGAGGCTGCTAGACTGGAAGCAGAGACATATAGCAATAAACAACCTGGGATGGCCAAGTGGAATTGGACTCTGAACAAGAGCAACAACAATTTGAGTATTTTGTGATTTTCCTTTGGGTAGGGGTGGAGTTTTAGGGTCCAACTTATTGAAGGGATAGAGTTGTCATATAATGGAATGAAACCTCAACTTGGGTGGCCTGGGTTCAAATTCTGGCTCTGCCATATCTTGGTTAACAATGTGAGTCTTTGTGTTTTGACCTGGTAAAATAAAATAATAGCATGTACCCAATAGATGTATTATGACCTGATGTTTTCCTGGCAGTCCCCAAACCGCTTTTCAGATCTGGGAGAGTCTTCAGTGGAAACAGGGAGGGTTGGAAGGGAGAGAGAGTTCTTCAGAGACATGGAGGATAGTACAGCCAACTTCCCCCTGTCCAGGGAGCTGCCAGGAGGGTTTGATGCCATCAGACATAAGCTGATTGTTAAAAGGCTCCAGAAAGCCCTCCAGAAAACTTTGAGAATTGATGGTTGAGGAGCAAATTTCACCTCTGGGGCCCTGGCACCTGCTTCCCTCCCTTTCTCTTGTTTGTTTTGGATTTTTATGGCCATGCACATTTGCTCAGGAAGTGGGGCTCTGCATTTTACAAGTATCACCAGCCACCCTTTCCTGTCTGAGGTTTGAATGTAAAATACCCCCCCAACCGCCGCCAGCACCCAGTCTTCTCTTTTTGACTCTGTTGCCCACTCCCCCAAGGGTGACCTCAGAGGAATGTTGTGAGGCCCAGGTAAAGTGAATGGATACAGCTCTGTGGGGCCTGGGCAGGGGTTGTGATTGAACTGGGTCCTATCTGTGTAGTAGCGGGAGGGATACATCCAATTTGAGAGAGGGGCCTGGTTTTCTTACTGATGAGACAGGATGCTAATGGTCATCCCCCAGGGTTGTTGGAAGGGCACAGCAGCATGTGTGACTGCACTTTGTAAACTGGACAAGCCCTTTAGCACTCACAGCTATATTTGTGACCCTTTCTCTTTAAGACTGTCACTAAAATGTCAAATATAATTATACTCAGGTATCAGGGCACTAAAGGTGGACTTTCACGGGTCAGTTTTATGTGGGACTGCAGTTAACCAGTGATTACAGGCCAGGCAGGTGGACACTGTGCCTTCTGAGAAAAGGGGTGTTAAGAACCTGCAGAAACAGGGCAGTTGTGGTTCACATAATTGGGTGGGACTGGTAACAGGAAGCTAGGAAGGGGCACATGGGCAGCATTTTTGGTAGAAGCATTTTTGGAGGGTTTCTCCTAATCACACCCTCCCATACATTTTAATACCACAGATATACTATATGTGTATATATACTATATATGTATATAGTGTATATATATGTCTATATATACACTATATACATATGTATATCTGTACTTTTTATATCAAAAGATTAAGTTCTCTTTTTTTGCCTCCCCACCAAGCACACATTTTTGCCCCCTTGGGGGCGATATTGTCCCCACTGAGGATGCATTGTCTTAAAATTAACAGAGGTAAGTGTTAGTTAGAAGAGGTGGATTAGTGAGACGGGGAATCCAGAAGATAGTGAGGGAGACAGATCCACTCGCAACTTGCTACCCCAAGTGTGGTCTGTGGACCAGCATCAGCATCACCTGAGTAGGGATCTCCATTTTATCAAGATGGGAGGTCGGGACAGTGTTGGGTTGACTGCCCAAGAACACAAGGCTAAACTTTGAACAGAGGGTCAAAAATAGCTATGTTCTGGGCCGCTCAGCTTGTTCAACTATTGAGTCCAAATCACCAAGCAAGTTTTAGTAAGGACACAGTCTACCCATGTCATGATTTATCAGTCTTTTTTTTTTTTTTCTGAGTGATTTCCTTACGTTGTAACTGAGGGTTGTATAGAAGGTATGGGGGCCCTGAAGAGAAGACCCAAGGCTTCCATGCAACGGAAAATCAGGGCATCTTTGATTTGAACAGGTCTGGGCCTGCTTTTTTGAATGTCTCCAAGGGCCAAGCCTAATGGAGACCAGACCAACCTGAGGAACAGACTGGAACTATAGAGACAAGATATAGGTGTTAAACTGTGCCAAGCTGGATTAAAGAACAAAACTGTGTTCTTGTAATTTATCAACCTGCTTGGGATTGTCTGCAGGAGAGCCGGGGCCTCCCTGGCAACCTTCCAATATTAACAGGGCAGCCCCAAAAACATACGAGATTGCAAAATAAGTTGGGCTCTTTAGATTTCACTGCATTTATTATTGGCATGTCCTATATTAATTCACCCACCAGCAGGAGCTAAGCTACAGTTCACGTGCCCAGAAACAACCTAAAGAAGCAGAAAGCTGAGCATCTCTGAACCCCTCTTCCTTCCATGTTTCCTGCCTGGGTCCTCTCCCCTCAACACATCCCTTCCTCTACCCCATTTTGGTGTAGGACAACACAGAGGAGCAGGCTCCCTCTTGCCTTAACCCAGATCTCTAATAAACTTCCTGGGGATGCAAAGTCTATTTGGCCCTCTCATTTCTTCTTCCCAGGGACTCACTTCCTATTCCTTTTCTCCAAAAGTAGTACTCTGTTCCCAGCTACCCCATTCTTTTTCATTCTCCTGTTAAGGCGGCTTTAGTCAAAGAAGCCAGGGGGTCCCCCAACTAATACTGAGGGTCTGTGGAGGTTCCTACTTCAGAATAATTGTAAAGTAGGCCTTGATATTACATGACTCTCTCTGGTCCCCAAAACATATGAAATGTGGCCACTCAGCCTGCAGGACTTGGAGAAGTTTGGGGAATGAGCCATACCAGGGTCTCAGTACCTAGTGAGAGAGCAATGGATGATGGCAGTGAAGGCAAAGGCATTTCTGACTTTCTGAGCTCCTGGAACCTCCTAAAAATGCCTAACAATGACTGTAAGATAAGGCCTTGTCATTCTAAAAAGGTATTGAAGATTTCTGGATGGGTAGAATTGATTACTTGATTCAACCTTTCCTGTAATGAAGTCACTATAATACCTAGAAATGCCCCCCTGGGGAAGAAGGGAGGGAGGATGGATGGGGATCTGGGGTCATGGAGGTGAGAGGTTAGAGGTCCTCCTATAGCACAAGGCACTGATGGCTGGTCAGAGAATGCTTGCTGGGGTGCAGCGGAACCTAGAATGAGCTCTCCTTTTAGCTCTGCCCGTAACTTGCTGTGTGACTTTGGCCGTCCCCTCTGTCTTCCTGTCCTCGCCTGTGGTTTAGAGCCTGTGTGCTCTCCTAAGGCCTTTTCAGTTCAGGAGGTTGATCCTTTGATTTACGAGTCCATGATCCAGCCTCAGAGCAGACATCTCTGCGGAGCCATCTAGGCCCTGGAAGTTACTTGGCTGGGGTCCTCCATCCTCCTTTCCATCCTCTTCTGCCAGACAGCACTGACCTGAGGCTTTTCTTTGCTTCGTGCTCCTGACTAGTCTATGACCAAACACTGTAACTGGGTTTCGTTTGGAATGACCAGGATCCCAGGGCTGCCGTCTGAATGAGGGTGTCTCTTTCCTCCCCACTCCACCACATACATGTGCACATACACACACATTCATACACACACACCCCCACCAGTGTACACATGTCCACATACCTCACACACATCCACACTTGCATGCCCACACATATACTTATACACACATACATTTATGCTCACACTAACACATACGTTCACATACATATACACACTCCCAAATACTCACACTTGTACATTCATACATGCACACATTCATGTACACACGTTCATGAGTTCATATACCTTCTCTTACAAATGCAACACTCCCACATATTCACACATACATGCACACACTCCCTTTTTCCACTGCACTGGCTTCTCCCTCAAAGACATGGGCGGGTGCCATTCAACCCTTCCAGCTCACTGTCTACTTTAGAGAGCATGTCAATACATGGCCTTCTGTCATTCCTATAGCCCTCTGACCTCATTCAGGAGGACAAAACCATGTCTTCTTTTGTATATGGATGAGGAAACTGGCTTGGATTTGCAGGTAGCAGGGTCAGGATGAGTGCCAAGACTTCTGGATCCGGTCCAGAGATTCACCTATCACTTCGGAGCTGCCGTAGCAATTTCTGCTCTGTAGAACAACCCTGGAAGACAGGAAGGGTATATTTTGTCCCTGGTTAAAGATGGGAAACTAAGGACCAGGGAGATTCACACACAGACAAAGGGTGACCAGATCCTCTATCCTTCTCAGCCAGGACATGTGCATACTCCAGCCGCTTCTTGGTGATCGTGTCTTCCTTCCTGGCTCTCAGTCTGCTAGAAGCTTTTATTCACACTAAACTCCAGCAAGTGAGAAATGCCACCCTGGGGCAGCCCATGGGCATTCCAGTTTCAGTTCTGACTTGTTTTCACCAAAATAGGGTGTGGGAGAAGGGTGGACTGCCTCTGTCCTTAGGGTCGAGGTAAATAAGCCTTCTCATTGCCATTTCTCATGATGGGATCAAGCTACGCTCATCATCAATGTATCCTTTTTTGTAGTCTCAGCCCACCTCACCTCTTGAGGCTATAGCTTCTGTGCTTTTCTGCCTGCCATTCCTTTAGCTTGCTCTGAAGTGCTACCTTCACTTCCTTCAAACTTTAAGGCCCTGTTCCTTTAAGATGTGGTAAGCAATCCCATCCATCTTCACCCATCCCTTTCACGACTTGATGGCTAGCAGTCTTCCTCTGTTTAGTTTAATTCAGCAAGCATTAATTGAATGCCTACTACGTGCCACCCAGGGAGCCTGACACTGCAAAGGTGAATTACCTCTCCAATCCCTGTGTGCACGCAGCCCTCAGTCTCACTGATCATTTGACTTCTTCTCTTGCACTTTTTCCAGCCCTGTTTGTGGACCCCAGGACTTGATTATGTTGGGGGTGGCGGTTCCAAGTTCTGGCTGATTTCTAGTGCAGCCCTTCACCTGCATTCTCGTGTGTGTGTGTGTGTGTGTGTGTTTGTGTGTGTTCGTGTGTGTTGCTTAGGAGTCAGTCAAGGTCACACATGATTAACTGCTTGATGTAAAGCTGATGGTGGTGATGATGATGATAATGATGATGGTGATTATATGGTGATGGTAATGAAGTCCGCTTAAGAAACAGGCTCTCAAGCTGCTTTCCCACCCTGCTCTACCACTAAGCTGACATCTTACCATCTTACCCAAATAGAAACTGATAGGATGAAGAGATTTGGGGTCATCGTCCCAATTTAGAGACAGCTGGCCTGAAAGGAACCATTAATCTTCCTCCTTGCCTGAGGACTTATGTCACAGGGGCTGAGCTGGGAAGAAGGGGAGCTGAGGCTAGAGCCCCTGGAATAGACATTAAATCCTGGACTCTCTGTCCAGAGTCACACCTTCTAAGCACATGACAATAAGGGCTATTGCCCTGGAGGAGAGGGTGGTTCCCCAGGCTATTGAGGGGCAAGAATCTGTGAATGAGGATGCTGGCAGGGATTGTGCTTGCAATCGCAGAGTGGTTGCAAATGGGCAAAGCAGATCCCTGATGCTTGGGAAGTCTTCATCTGATGAGCAAAGACCAGTCCTTGTCCTTGGGAAGTTTATGTCTAAGGAGGAGGACAAAGCAGATACACAAGGCACATTATTAGGGAACATTTAGGCACCAAAATTCGTGGATGGAGCATCTTTCTCACAGGGAGAAATGTGTGTACCTGTGCCTGCATTTGTAGGATTTGCATTGTGTTCTGTTTTCCTGGTTGTGTGAACTTGAGTGGGTTATTCTTTCTGTGCCTCAGTTTTCTCATCTGCAAAATGAGGATAATAATAGTACCCACCTCACAGGGTTGTTAGGAAAATTAAATGAACTACTATACATAAGGTACTTGGAACAGTGCCTGGCACATATTGAACAATATATACGTGTGAGCTATTAGTGGTAGTAGTAGAAATAGTGGTATTTTTCTAAGCATGGAGAGGACCATACTTAGGAAAATACCACTGAGGACCCTCTTAACTGATACTCCTTTCTAACAACCATCTCTTAAGTTAGACATTAATTTGGGGAATCTCCACATGATCTCATTTGTCCCTTGCAACAATCCTACCAGGCAGTCAGCATAGACATTATGATTACAACCACTTTGCATAAAGGGGAACTGAGGCACAGATGTTATGAAGTGGTTTCTGGTCTGATGGGGTTTTCATTGTACCTTACAGCCACACTGCATTCAGGCGAGGGGTCACAAGAATCTTGGAGGAGAGGGTTTTGGATGATGATAGCTGATAAGTTCAGGACTGGCCTTCCCACCTGGCCCTTATGCATGTTGGGATCATACTGCTGGGAAAATAAACCACGGTGGGGAAGGAAGATCTCATTCCAGGCTTGCATAACTAGACGGGGTCCACATGAAATGGCATGGGGAGAAGCAGGCTGCCCTCTACACAGCACCCCAGAGGATGGGAGTTAGGCCACAGGACATGAGTATTGAAGCCTTTTGAAACTGTCATGAATGCCTTGGGATGGGGATAGGGATAAGAGTAGCATCCACTTTATAGGGTTGTTGAATGCTTATGTGAGGGCGGGGCTGTGCTGGGAGCACTCAGGGGGCACAGAAGGGACGGGGAACCTGGATTGGGAACCTTCTGATTCAGACTGGCCTGGTGTGTGGGGAGAAAGCCAGAGACATCCTCCTGGGCCATATTCCTACCCACCCCAACACCTTTGTCCCAAGGCTGCTCCTAGTGGTGGGAAAGGGACCCTCCTGGATCTTTTATTTTTATTTATTTTTATTTTTTTTAATTTTTATTTATTTATTTATTTATTTTTTCCTTTTTTTTTTATTATACTTTAAGTTTTAGGGTACATGTGCACATTGTTGAAATTGGAAATCATCATTCTCAGTAAACTATCGCAAGAACAAAAAACCAAACACCGCATATTCTCACTCATAGGTGGGAATTGAACAATGAGATCACATGGACACAGGAAGGGGAATATCACACTCCGGGGACTGTGGTGGGGTGGGGGGAGGGGAGAGGGATAGCATTGGGAGATATACCTAATGCTAGATGACGAGTTAGTGGGTGCAGCGCACCAGCATGGCACATGTATACGTATGTAACTAACCTGCACAATGTGCACATGTACCCTCCTGGATCTTTTGGTTTGAAAGAGCTTGGAAAGTATTTGGGGCAAGAAAATGGGCCTTGGGGGCTTGGTGCAGTGGCTCATGCCTGTAATCCCAGCACTTTGGGAGGCCAAGGCAGGCAGATTGCCTGAGCTCAGGAGTTCGAGACCAGCCTGGGCAACATGGTGAAACTCCGTCTCTACTAAAATACGAAAAATTAGCTGGACATGGCCGCGCGTGCCTGTAGTCCCGGCTACTTGGGAGGCTGAGGCAGGAGAATCGCTTGAACCCAGGAGGTGGAAGTTGCAGTGAGCTGAGATCATGCCACTGCACTCCAGCCTGGGTGAGACAGCGAGACTCCATATCTAAAAAGAAAAGAAAGGAAAAGAAAAGAAAAGAAAAGAAAATGGGCCTTGGACCAGGACCCAGAAGAGGGAATGAGGACCTCCAGTAGGGAGAACCAGACTGGAGGAGGGAATGCTTGTGGGGGTGGGGTTTTAGGAATTCAGGGGTGTCAGGGTGCAGGAACGGATCATGCATGGGTCAGTATCTAGGGTGGGACATGAGGTGATGATGGAGGGTTGGTGTGGGACTATGGGAAGAGGAGTCAGGAAGGTGAAGAAGACCAGAATGAGACAGCAGCAAGAACCACAGGAGAGCTGGGGGTGGGACCCGACTGAAGCCCAGGCCTCCCAGCCACTGTCTGCTTAGAGCCAGGCTGGCCAGGACCCAAAGCCCCAGCTCAGTGTCTCTCTCTTGGGGTGGAGAGAGAAGTCAAGGCCCTGAGCTCCTTCTAGGGCTCTGTGATCAGCCTGTTCCGTAAATCTCAGGCCATGTAAATTTGGTGCATAATTGGGAGGCACTGCAGGTACCTGCGGCTCCAGGATAAAATCCAGGCAGCTCCGGAGAGAGAGCAATGGATCATGAGTTACAGGGAAGGCCGGTGGGACCCAGTGGTGGCTGGCCCAGCTTGAGGCATGAGTTATCTCATGCTGGGCTGCCCTGCCATGCTGCTGCGCTGCAATGCCAGGCTGATATTTACTGTATATTGGTTTTTAAATTACAGTACAACATTGATTCGCTGCTCTTTCAGTTCAGCCCTCACTCTCTGTCCCTGTTCTGCTCGGCCTTTCTCTGCCTCTCTGTCTCTCTCTCCATCTGTCTTGTCTCTCTCCAATTCAGTTTTTAATGCAGAGTATTATCTTACATTGTATCATGTTACCCTATGGAATTAGGCTTATGCTGCTTTGTATTTATTGGAGGATGCATTATATTAATCCCTTCCATGCATACAGCACTTTATACATTTTAAAGCTCTACCTGCAGCCATACCTGTCTTCTTTGGACCCCATGACAGTGAGGAAGTAGGGCAAGCAGACTTGTCTCCATTTAAACGCGAGGAAACTGTAGCTCAGGAAGGCTAATGGAATGACCAGGTCATGCTTGCATTATATTATATTATAACATAATAATAATGGCCACTGGGTATTGAATGCTTGCTGTGAGCCCTGTGCTATTCTAAAATAAGCTTTATGTACTTATTTTATGCCCACATTCATTCTGTGCAGTAGGTATTATTACTTCATTTTACAGGTGAAGGAATGAAGATTCAGAGTGGGTTAGTAGCTTGCCCAAAGTCACACAGCTATTACAGTAAAATTCAACTTTGGATTAGCTGGATTCAAACCCCAGCAGCCAGCTCCTGAGCCCCCTCTCTCAACCAGGATGCATGCTGTCACGTGCTGTGATCCCTGAGTTGGATTGGGGGTGGGAGAGTGGGGATGGGGTGGGATGGCTTCATGGTACTACAAGAGGCATTCTTGTCCTCACATGACTTCTGTTTCTTTATGTTTTCACTGCACCCAGGGGAAAGGCCTGGGGACCTTGCAACAGCAGGAAATGTCCCCAGGGCAAGGGGCCAAGTTCCTTTACCCCAATATCCACAGATGGTTAGGGCCCCAATATCCACCATTTTGGCCCCCAAGCAAGGGCAGAAGGGCAGGCGCAGAGTAAGGCTGGTGGGAGCCCTGGCTGGGTGGTGTGGTTGCCATCTGCCCTCCTTCTTTCCTGTGTCCATGGAAGGAGGGTGACATCCTGACCTCCATGGGGTCTCTCTCAGGACTGCCTTTGTGTGTTCCCTTGCCCTTTGTTTAAGAGGCAAAGCTGCTTGCAGCCCAGGAGCACCTCGGAGCTGGGCTTAGCTCCCAGGAGCACAGTGAGCCAGTGGGCAGCAGGGGAAGAGCTGGGGGTTCTGCGCACTCTGCCAGTTCCAGCCCGCCCTCACTAGTGCACAGCAGTGAGGAGGCCCTGCTGCGTGCTGCCCACTGCGGTCTGAGATGCCTGGTTCCTGAGCAGGAGTTGGGAGGGGTGACTGGGTCTTGTGTAGACCATCCTGAGGAGTCCTTCCTCTCCAGATCCTCACATCCTCACTTCCTCCATCATCCTAAGGACCCATTGCCATGGCTGGAGTCAGGCCACAATATGCTACTTGCCATGGCCCAGACACTTATCTCCCTGTCTCCCAGGTCACACTCATGGCGAAGTGTGTTTTGGGAGAAGCAGGGATCCCCTGTGCTGTCTGCATGCCCCTTATTGGGGTAGGTGGGGGAAAAGGGTCCTGAGCCTGAGGATGTTGTGAGTCCCATGACTCCAAGGAGCCATCCTTGGCAGAGTGCAGCCCTGCACATCTTCACTTCCGTGGCCCTGCTGTGAAGTGAAGCTTGCTCTCTGCCCACTTCTCACTCTGTCCTTGCTAATGGGGCCCTGCTCTCTCTCCGGAGCTGCCTGGATTTTATTCTGGAGCCGCAGGTACCTGCAGTGCCTCCCAATTATGCACCAAATTTACATAGCCTGAGATTTATGGAACAGGCCACACATTTATGGAAAGTGTGAAGTATAAAGGTAAAGTGAAGCTTATACTTTTTCCTGTGGGCTCAGAATCATCCAGCACTCCCCGCCACCCCCCACCCCGTGATGGACACAAACTGGGAGCATAACTCCGAGGCTGATGTTTCTGTTGCTTTTCTTATTAACAGCTGCTACTTGATGAGCAGTTGATATGTGAGAGGAATTCTAGCACAGTGAGTCAGGCCTGGGAGTCAGACAGCTGGGTTCAAATCTCAGCAGTTCCACTTAGGAGCTGTGTACCCTCATGCAAGTCACTTAGCTCTTTGAGCCTCACTTTCCCCTTCTGTAAAATGGAGCTAGCACCAATACTTAATCCCTAGGGTTGTCATGAGTATAAAATGGTAAATAGCTACAAAATGCTACAGCACCTGGCACATGGCATATGTTATTAAAGTGTTTGTCTATACCATATTTATATGCATTCTCTCATTTTGTCTCCCAACTACTTTTGCAAAGTAGGTATTACCTCCCTGCACATGTGAAAACTGAAGCTCAAAATATCAATGAGATTTGCTCCAAGTCTAGGGTGACCACCTGTCCGAATTCGCCTGAGACTAAGGGGATTCCTGGGATGCAGTACTTTCAGTTGTGGTTTGTTTGTTTGTTTGTTTTGTTTTTGACACAAGTTTCGTTCTTGTTGCCCAGGCTGCAGTGCAATGGCGTGATTTCAGCTCACTGCAACCTCTGCCTCCCAGGTTCAAGTGATTCTCCTCCTTTAGCTCCCCGAGTAGCATCACCATGCCTGGCTAATTTTTGTATTTTTAGTAGAGATGGGGTTTCACCATGTTGGCCAGGCTGGTCTCGAACTCATGACCTCGGGTGATTCACCTGCCTCGGCCTCCCAAAGTGCTGGGATTACAGGCGTGAGCCACTGTGCCCAGCCAGGACTTTCAGTTTTGAAGTTAGGAAAGTCCCAGGCCAACTAGGATGAGTTGGGCACCCTACCCAGGTCACAGAGCAAATGCATGGATGAGCCAGGATTTGAATCCAGTTGTTTCTGATATCCACTGCCATGCCCTAAGCCATTCTAGACACTCTTGGGGATGGAGCCTCTCTTAGCTGCCCACATTTATGGAGCTCCGGCAGGCTCAGAGATGCTGTCCCATTTCATTCTCACAAAACGCTGTCACTTAGGCAAATTACAGCAAAGAGGGAACTGAAACACAGAGGTCGAGTAATGCACCCTGGGTCACCTAGCTAAGAAGTGGCCGGGTTGCGACTGGCACCCAGGCCATCTGGCCCCAGTGCCCCACACTCCTGACCACTCTGCTGCAGCTTGCCTCCTATCCTTTCCAAATTCCCCCCAACTGTACCTGGTCTCATTTTTCATCCCAATGGCCTCTGGAATAGTCAGGGCAGGTACTTTTAAACCTGTTCTATAGGACAGAAAACTGAGGCTCAGAGAGGCCAAATTCCTAAGCTAAGGTCACACAGCTTGTAAGTGATGAAGGCAGGATTAGATTTCATCAGGAGTTCTCAGCTGATGCTTCTCACTCTTGTTTTCGTGTTTGATAAATGGGCAGGATGCCTCCAGTCCTTTTCAGTTCTGTTCAAATTCATATGAAGTTTATGAGGTCTCAGTCATCACTGGGGCGGCTATGCAGGCAGCAGGTTTGGCAGGACATGGGCTCGTGCAGTCCTTTGGCTCCAATATTCTATTTGATGTAGTTGTCATTATCCGATCCTTCCCCCAGCAGGTAGAGGAGGCACCTTGTTGCAGAATGAACATGCCCACCTGCTAACAGCCCATCTGCTGACTATAGGAGCCCACCAGCAGCCCCAGGGTTCTCTGTGGACTTCCAGCTCTCACTCCTTCCACTAGCTGGGGATTAAACATAGAAAAGGCTGCATTCTCCTGCTTGGGCAGCAAAGATGCTATTAATGCCAGGCTGGCTTCTAAGGCAACTAAATAAACAGAAAGGACAGGGACAAGAGTCTATAAATTCTAAATGATGTTCAGGAAAGTGGCCTGGGCCCCAAGCCCCATAAAACCCAGGCAGCCTGCTGGGCTGGTGGTGCTTTATTGGCCCCTTCCTCTGCTGCGGGGTCATATGCCCATCAAGCCTCCCACTTGTAAGGTACTTTTTCTCTTTAACTTCCAAACACTTCCCATAGTAATTAGCATTTCATGGTTGTCTTTAAGCCACTCATATGGCTACATCACTCCCCCATTTAACAGATAGGAAAACTGAGGCACACAGGGGGCTAATGAACTGGATAATGGCCCGGGTCCCTTGATGCTGATCTAGAAAGTTCTCTCTGATGTTCATACTAAGTAAGCACTTACTACATGCTGGGCACTGTTTTAAGCCCTTTGTACTTATTATCTAATTTATTGCCCATGACAACCTAAGGCACAGGTACTGTTATTTTAACTATCATCTCTACGTCCTAGTGAGGAAACTGTGATATAGAGGGTTTAAGTAACTTGCTCAGGCCCACACATGTGATAAGTGGCATGCAGGGATTTGGCCCTACACCCTCAACCATCACGCTGTTAGCAAAGCGTGGGAGCAGAACGGGAGGAGGGGTAGCTGCTGTCCTGAAGGGCCTGGTTCTTTGCTTCTTCCCAGGAAACCTGTTTCGGAGCCCCCCCTGTTTTGGAGACCCTGTGCTCTGGGCAGCTTCAGAACCTCCAGAGAGACATAACTCAAGGAGCAGTGAGGGCAGGCGAGGGGCTGGGCAGGTCGATTGAGAAGTGCCATGGAGACAGCACCAGGCTGGGAGTCTGGACACTTGCATGGCCACACCAGCTCCGCCACCAACTTGTTGTGGGGCCCTCAAAGGCTCTTCCCCCTTTCCTGTCTCTGATTTGGATGGAGGTGGGGCATCACATGATTTGGGGATCCACCTGCTGGTGGTGACGGCAGCAGAAAGGAGGGCCACAGAGGCTCCAACATCGGACCTGGCCCTGCCCTCACTGTCAGAAGTGCAGACCCACATTGGGTGCCCAAATTGCCTGCTAAAACCTGGGCTATTTAAAACACCCAGCGCCACCTGGAATCTCGAGGTTCCGCTACTTTGGGAGGACTCTGGGTTTCAGCTCCCTCCCTCCCCATTGCCCTGCCTTATGGGGTTTGCTGGGGGTTAGGGAAATGATGGACCTTGGCTGCTGCAAGTTGTCTGCAGTCCAACACTGCTTTCCCATGGTGGGTGTCAGAGGAGGGGCTCTACTGAGGGCTGGAGTGGTGCAGCATCCTCTTATTCTGGCCAAGGTCTGTGAAGTCCCCAGATCAATGAAGGAGAAAGAAGAAATTCTTCAATGTGTTGCCAACCTAACCAGCCTTGCATGATTCCATTCAACTCACTTGCAGTTAACAGATGTTTACTGAGCACCTAGTATTGGTCAGCTGCTAGGTGACAGAGGCTAGCTAATTAGACTTAGTTTCTGCCTTCAAGGGTCTCCCAGTCTGGTGGGGAGGCAGAGAGGTAAACAAACAATTATAATGCACCATGATGGTCCTGTGACTGGAGGCAGGAGCCTGCAGTGCTTCCAGCAAGAGGTGATTCCTCTCCAGCTCTGCTTCCGGGGCCTCTTGCTAAATGGCTGCAGCACCCTCTTGAATGGCCCCATTAAGTTCCTCTAGGCCATTCTCCCATAGACAATGCGCACACCTTGCTGAAGATGTTTCAGTGCATTTAGAGTAAAATCCTAACCCTTTAGCTGGCCTGCCAGGCACTGGCCCTGTCCATTTCTTTACCTCCTTTGTGCCTTCTCCCCATGTCTAGCACCCTGAGGGAACCATGAACATTTACTAGAAAAGATCATGTTCTTTTCCACCTCTGGGCCTTTGCATTCTGCCTAGAACACCATTTCTCTACAGTCTGCATGGCTGGACACTACTCGTCCTTCAGATGTCAGCTTAAATATTGCTTTTAGGGATGGCCTGACCACTCCCACTCTAAAGTTTGGCCCCTTGCTGCTCTCACTAAGAGCAGCTTCCCCCGGCCCCATGTGTTCCTTTCCACACTCTGTATCTGCTTGTTGGTTTATTGCTTCTCTCTTGCAGCCTGTGAACAATGTGGGGCAGGAATGGGGAAGGGACAGGGCGGCCCAGGGTTAAAAGTGCAGACTGGTGCTTAGACTGCCTGTGCAGAAATCTGGCTGCACAACTCAGTGCTGTGTGACTCTGGGGAAGTTGCTTTATCTCTCTGTGTCCCAGTTTCTTCATGTGTAAAATGGAAGAAATAATAATACCTGCCCCCACAGAGGTGTGGTTTGGGCTAAATGAGTTAATATATGTAAAGCACTTAGAACAGTGTCTGGCACATGGCAAGTGCTCAATAAATATTAGCTATCATTATTATTTTTATATCCACTGCTTAGAATAGTGCCCAGCTCAATAAATATTTGATGATTGGCTGAGACACCTGGGCTGAATCTTCAAGGAAGTAGTTGAGGGTTGGTTAGAGAGAGAATGGTGACTCTTAGCCCTGGTTGCATGTTGGAATCACCTGGGGGGCTATAACAAACACTGATGCCTGAGCCCTACCCACAAGACAGTTGCCAGGCCATTGATGTTTTAAAGCTTCCCTAGGATTCTGATTCTAGGGTTGAGAACCACAGAGATGGGGAAGGGAGACATTCACAGCCCAAGAACATGGTGCAGCTGGCAGTGCCATGCTGGAGGGAACGCAGAGGGTGAGGCAGGGGCAAGGGAGTTGAATGGCAGCACAGGAAGTCAGGGCCGGACCTGAGACGGCCCTGCATGCTATGCAGAGGAGCTTAGTCTTGGTGGGGAAGTTGATAGAGGCCCTGGAAAGCTTTTAAGCTGAGAATGACATGGTCCAATTTGCCTTTAAGGAACTTGGCCTAGGTAGCTGTGTGGAGGATGGATTACTGCGAGTGAAATTGAAGGCATGGAGATCAGAATGCAGAAAATCTTCTGCCACAGTGAGAGCAGTGCGGAGCCAGGCTTGAACCAGGCAGATGACTTGCTGGTCCCCAGTTTAATTACTTAATCCTCCTTGGCATGTCTGAACAGTGAAATCTGGGCAGTGCGGCATTACACCTGGCCGCTCCTGCCCCCAACCACTATGCCAAACGGGTGTCACTCTGGGCTGATATAAACCCCATATGGTCCTGACCATGGAAAGGCTTTTCCTTCTGGTTTCTAAGCCAGACTTCTGAGTCTCAGTGAAGATTCTCTAGTCCACACCCTGTTGGCCTCTGGGGTTCTTGTTTCAACCTGGAAATCCCTCCCAGGCCCACTTCCTCATTTATGATCCCTGCCCTACCCCCTGAAAGCCCTGAGGTCTAAATGCCTCGAATGTACCAACTCTCCCTTGGTTCCAGGCCAGTCCTCCCTTGAAACAATAGGCTCCCATCCTCCAGGGCTTCTCCCCCAGTGGAGGCTTAAATATAGTCTCAATCTTCTGTTGCCTGGATTATAGGTGGGGACTCATGCTTCCTGCCTCCCAGCTCCCTGGCTACCAAGCTATCTCTCCCTAATTGTTCAATTTTCTTCCCACATGAAGCTGTGGGTCCCAGAGCTGCCTTTGGAAGGCAGGGCTCTTGACAGAGTGACCCATGTCCTTCCCATTGTACCACACCATTTATCCTCGCTTGGAGGCAGTGTAAGTGGGTGCTCCCGTCTGGTTCTGTGTGGTCTTGGGCAAGTCATCTGATCTCTGCGTGTCTTAGTTTCTTTATCCGTTAGAATAGAGGTGAAAATGGGGGAGATACAAAATTAGCCGGGCATGGTGGCACATGCCTGTAATCCCAGCTACTCGGGAGGCTGAGGTAGGAGAATCACTTGAACCCAGGAGGCGGAGGTTACAGTGAGCCGAGATCGCACCATTGCACTCCAGCCTAGGCAACAAGAGCGAAACTCCGTCTCAAAAAAGGAAGGAAGGAAGGAAGGAAGGAAGGAAGGAAGGAAGGAAGGAAGGAAATGGGGGAGACGTTTAGTAACCCAGTGACACTGGGAATAATCACAGGTTTGAATTGGCCATCTGACTCAGAGGATACAGTAGGCTTTAATTTAGCACTGTGTTTCTTAGCATTAGCGAGGCATTTGGAACAGGACAGGAAACAGAGCACACGTAGGATCTTTATCTTCGTCTTGTGGGGATGCCTGTAAGCCACCCACATACATAACTTTTTTTTGCCCCTCACCCATGTGGGCCATTTTGGCTGCTGTTGATAAAACCTGAGAACCGTCTAAGAGTCTCCTTGATGCAGAGAAGCTGCTGTCTCAATTTCCAATATACCATCTTAGACACATAGATCCCAGGCCTGCATGCCAACTCACAGTTCCCCAGGCCCACAGATCAGGGGTTTCACACGACACAGGGCAGACACCACAGTCCACATGTATCTTAACTGCATTGTGGGAGGGCAGGCCTGGGGTTATTTTCCCAGAGAGGCCTAGGCCAGCCCAGGCTGCTGTCAAACCTTGACTGAGGCTTAGTTATCTGTACATATTTCTCTTAGGAGGAAGACAGTCAGTAGATTGCTGTCAATTCACACAGGTAAAACCCAGTTTATAAGAGAGAGAGAGAGAGAAGAGAAGGAAGGGGGAAACTGTAGACCGTCTGGGAAGAGTGAATTTTGTTTGTACGTTTTGGGGGTAAATTGATCATCTGGCAGCTGGTAGAGCTATTAGTTTGGGCATTCCAGTTCTTGAGCAGGCTGTTTAGGGGCATTGAAGAATGTGATGGCAGTTGTGGGTTTTCCAGCAGAGCCTTAGGAGTTCATCTGTGGGGTATAGTCTCTGTAAGATGCCTGCTGGTGCCGCCTCACCAGCACCTCCGCTTTAGCCAGGCCAGGTCTGCCCCTTGACCCTGTCAGAACTCCTCAAGGTAGGCTGCTGTGGAATTCAATGGGTAACGGAGTGCCTAGTCCTCTAAAACAGTGAAGATCAACAGCAAAGTGCTTGTATACAAACATGTCCATAGTCAATGCTCAATGTAAGTTCTAATTGCTATTCTTTCCCTCTCATGGGTTCCACCTCTGTTGGCTTCTCTGGCTCTGTTGCCTGGTGTCCCATATCTTCTCTGGAGCTGAGATTCAGAAGTGGAGAGGAGGAAGATGGGGACACAGAGAGGAAGTCAAGGATCAAGACAGCTTTGTAATCACGTGTTTTAAGGAATGAAGTGGACAGGTTGCTTCCCTTATGCTCTTTAGGGACTGGGGTTGAGGGAGATTTATTTTTGCTCTTTCTTTTAGCCAAGGCAGCATCAGTCAGAAGGGCCTCCCACCTCATAATTTTGTCCTATTGGCTGGAAGCAGGCTGTGTCCGCCATTTTGATTTTTCTCCCAGCTTTGGAGGAAAACTAGAAACCCAGAGAAAAAGTGCCTTTTTCTTTCCTCATTGGAATCCAGGGAAGAGGACCTTGGTAGCAGGAGACTGTTCCTTTCCTGAGTGGTTCCAACCCTTTTCTCCAGGAAGCTAGGTAGGCTAAGTAAGGGAGGGAGTCTCAGGCTGACCTTGGATCCTGTCAATCCCAGGGACTTGCAGTATGACCTTGATCAAGTGTCTTCTCCTCTCTTTAAAACTGTTTCCTCATCTTTAAAATTGGGGGATGTAGGGGCTACAGACATAATATTGTAAAGACTCTAAGGAAATGGGCCTTCCCCTTCCTACTGTCAACATACTTTAAGTGGTTCTCTTTAAGCTTGCTCTTGAAGATCATCATACCAAGTTTTGGCTTGAATATAAATGTTAGGGATTTCTTTTATTATTATTATTATTATACTTTAAGTTTTAGGGTACATGTGCACAATGTGCAGGTTTGTTACATATGTATACATGTGCCATGTTGGTATGCTGCACCCATTAACTCGTCATTTAGCATTAGGTATATCTCCTAATGCTATTCCTCCCCTCTCCCCCCACCCCACAACAGTCCCCAGTGTGTGATGTTCCCCTTCCTGTGTCCATGTGTTCTCATTGTTCAATTCCCACCTATGAGTGAGAACATGCGGTGTTTGGTTTTTTGTCCATGTGATAGTTTGCTGAGAATGATGGTTTCCAGCTTCATCCATGTCCCTACAAAGGACATGAACTCATCATTTTTTATGGCTGCATAGTATTCCATGGTGTATATGTGCCACATTTTCTTAATCCAGTCTATCATTGTTGGACATTTGGGTTGGTTCCAAGTCTTTGCTATTGTGAATAGCGCGGCAATAAACATACGTGTGCATGTGTCTTTAAAGCAGCATGATTTATAATCCTTTGGGTATATACCCAGTAATGGGATGGCTGGGTCTAATGGTATTTCTAGTTCCAGATCCCTGAGGAATCGCCACACGGACTTCCACAATGGTTGAGCTAGTTTACAGTCCCACCAACAGTGTAAAACTGTTCCTATTTCTTCACATCCTCTCCAGCAACTTTGTTTCCTGACTTTTTAATGGTCGCCATTCTAACTGGTGTGAGATGGTATCTCGTTGTGGTTTTGATTTGCATTTCTCTGATGGCCAGTGATGATGAGCATTTTTTCATGTGTTTTTTGGCTGCATAAATGTCTTCTTTTGAGAAGTGTCTGTTCATATCCTTCATCCACTTTTTGATGGGGCTGTTTGTTTTTTTCTTGTAAATTTTTTGAGTTCATTGTAGATTCTGGATATTAGCCCTTTGTCAGATAAGTAGGTTGCAAAAATTTTCTCCCATTCTGTAGGTTGCCTGTTCACTCTGATGGTGGTTTCTTTTGCTGTGCAGAAGCTCTTTAGTTTAATTAGATCCCATTTGTCAATTTTGTCTTTTGTTGCCATTGCTTTTGGTGTTTTAGACATGAAGTCCTTGCCCATGCCTATGTCCTGAATGGTATTGCCTAGGTTTTCTTCTAGGGTTTTTATGGTTTTAGGTCTAACATGTAAGTCTTTAATCCATGTTGAATTAATTTTTGTATAAGGTGTAAGGAAGGGATCCAGTTTCAGCTTTCTACATATGGCTAGCCAGTTTTCCCAGCACCATTTATTAAATAGGGAATCCTTTCCCCATTTCTTGTTTTTGTCAGGTTTGTCAAAGATCAGATGGTTGTAGATAGGTGGCAATATTTCTGAGGGCTCTGCTCTGTTCCATTGGTCTATATCTCTGTTTTGGTACCAATACCATGCTGTTTTGGTTACTGTAGCCTTGTAGTATAGTTTGAAGTCAGGTAGTGTGATGCCTCCAGCTTTGTTCTTTTGGCTTAGGATTGACTTGGCAATGCAGGCTCTTTTTTGGTTCCATATGAACTTTAAAGTAGTTTTTTCCAATTCGGTGAAGAAAGTCATTGGTAGCTTGATGGGGATGGCATTGAATCTATAAATTACCTTGGGCAGTATGGCCATTTTCACGATATTGATTCTTCCTACCCATGAGCATGGAATGTTCTTCCATTTGTTTGTATCCTCTTTTATTTCATTGAGCAGTGGTTTGTAGTTCTCCTTGAAGAGGTCCTTCACATCCCTTGTAAGTTGGATTAATGTTAGCGATTTCTATAATGATTTGGGATCTACGTCCTCTGCTAGATGGTCCTGGCTCTTATACATCCTGCCCTCCAATTTTTCTTAGAGTTTGGGAAAGTCTAGAAACTCCAGATCAGTCTTGTTGAGGCTTTCAGTTGAACTGACAGGCGTCCTGATGGTGTGTTTCTGAGTCTTTGTCTCAAATGGTCAGAGCTTTGGTACAGAGCAGTCTGACTCCATTACACAGGTGGAGGGGCTGCTTTATGCAGACTCCTGTGATGGTGGTGGAGGAGGCTGGGGGGATTTTGGGGTTGGAGGATATGATCACACTGATGGTGGAGATGGGTATTGTGGTCATGGTGTGGGCAATGCTGGGGAGGTAGGTAGGGCATCATGGGCTGTTAAGAAGCATTTTTACTATGAGCAATGGAGAGGCACTGAAGGATTATAATTTAAGGGAAAGGAACCCAGATTTACATTTTGAAAAGATCACTCTAATTACATTGTGGAAAACTGATTGGAGGATGGTGAGAGTGGGTGTATTAAGAGAGCAGTGGAGTAGTTCAGGAGAGAGATCATGGTAATTTAGATTATAGTGGTGGGGATGGATAGAAGTGTGCAGGTGCTGGACCTTCTTAGGTGGTAAAATCAACAGGACTTGGTGATTAGATGACACCTTGATCCCACTGGGGGAGCTGTGAATGTGAAGGAGATCTCAAAGATGAACTTTGGGTGTCTGCCTTGGGCAGCTGGGTAGATGGTTCGATTGTAAACTCTATGACAGCAGGAACTTAATTTTGTCTATATGTATCGCCAGGTGCTGAAGCAGAAAAGCAGCACCTAGCACATGCTAGGTCCTCAATCAGTGTTGGTTGGATGACTGTTACTGTTAACTCTTGGTCATGAACATGACAAAAGGTATATATTGTAAGCTGTGGTCCCCATGTTTGTGTCCACCACTGGACATGAAACACTCTTGGAGTTGGCTCACAGATGGCTAATATAGGGGCCAGACCTAAGACTCAGCTGAACCCACATTGGAACCCTAGGTTCTTCCTTTACTGATTGTATGACTTGGGGAAAATTAGGTAACATTCCTGAGCCTCAACATATTCAACTCTAAAATGGAGATAAAAAGAATGCTGACCTTACAGGGTTATTATTAAATGAGATAATGTTAGAAAGCACTTAGCCCAGTGCCTGGACCACGGTTGGTAAGTGCAGTGGTGATCATTTAAGAAAATAAATTACTTGTACTCTGAATCCAGCACCTTGTGGGCACACAAGGTCTGTCTGTGGAGTAATCAGGTGGTGAAATGAGAGAAGGGGTGGTATCCATGGTAATCGTAGTGCTAACAAGGACAGGGAAGTTATTGAAGACCTTGATGACAGGGCTGGAAATTGTGGGGAGGCTGAAGCTACTTCCACATCTGTCTTATCATCTTATTGTTTCTACCTTGATTTCTATTCTTGTTTCTTGGCAGCCCAGGAAATGAGGCTGTTTGTGACATAGCCCCCAGGACTCATGGCAGGCCCTCAGTGTTGAGGGGGAAGGCAGAATGTCTGGGGACTCAGCTGCTTCCATATCTACCTTCGCCTCAGCTGAATCCCAGCTTAGTCACTAAAAACAGTGTTTTAAAAATAGCAACAGGTGATGTTCATCCAGATGGAACCCCCTAAAAACAACTGCTCCCTAATGGTCTTTGCACTGTGATAAATGACTGTGGATTGACAGGGAGCCCCTGGCAGCTGCTGCTCCCTGTGCCTTTCCTCCCTTTGATGAGAAAGTGAATATTCAGCAAGCCTCAGGACCCTGGAGGGCCCCCCAGAGGAGGAGGCAGAAGGAGCTCATTGGCCCGGCAGCTGTCCCTGCTGCTGTGCTTGTGAGTCTAGGCAGGAGAGAGAGAATTATAAGTCACAGACACGGAGCAACTGAGCGGATGCAGAGAGGCAGATATTTCCAGAGCAGAGCGGAGAGAGGAGCCCATTTGCACCTGGGTTATCTGTGGGTATCATGTGTGTGCACGGAGGGGTCTCTACACATGCAGTCCCTCAAGCCACCTGTCAGCTTCAAGTCAACTCTCAGGAAGACATGGGTAAGGCTGAAAACCAGCTAATGGGCAGTCAGCACTTAAGGAAATCTTGAACATAGCTCTCAGGGAGACATGCTTATAACACTCCCATGCACAGACACACACAAACTGACCCCCACACCGCCATGGCCAGCCCCTACCTCAGATTCACCTGCAGCCTCTTGAGAGCCACAGCTACAGGCAAGTCCCAAATCTGGCCCCTTGGGGATAATAGAGTGTGTGTGTGTGTGTGTGTGTGTGTGTGTGTGTGAGTGAGTGCACGCACATAAGCACGCTCACATGTGCCTTTGCATGTACCATGGAGGCTTAGGAGTCAATTTCTAGGAATGTCTTCATCTCCATGCACAGACAGAAATAGGCTAGGTTTCTTTTTAGAGCTTTCTCTAGCTGATTAATATGTGTGTGTGTTGGCAGGACAGGGAGGCCCCATCCCTGCTGCTTCTCTGGCGGCTAAGGGTCCTTTAAGTTTTCAGAGCAGCAGAGGGAAACTCCCATGAGCTCTTGCTTCTGGATGGAACTGCAGGATCCTGGCAAAATGGCCCAGTTTTTGGGTGGACCCCATTTTCTCTTGGGGATGTGAAATTGGAAACGTCATCTCTTCTCTCTCCCTTCTCTCCCCCTCCCTTTGCTCTTCACTGCCCTGCCCTCCCCCTGTACCGTACTTGTTCACCTGACCAGTTTCTATATTCCTACTCATCCAACCCCAGGAAGCCTTCTAGGGCCCTTAGGTCTGCATTAGACAGGTGCCCCTCCTCTGTGGTCCTTAGGCAGCGTGTACTTCCCCAAGCCCAGTAGTTCATTGCGTAGTCATGGTTCCTCCTTCCGTCTGCCCAATCTCTACCTGACCCTAACCACCATCCACAGGAAGCCTTCTGTGATTGCTATAGCTCAGCCTTGCCCACAACTCCATCTCATTCATGATCTGTACCCCTCATCTGCCTCTTATCATGTGTTGATTTTTAAATGATCCTTCTCTATCACTTTCCATACGCCCAAGTTGGACTGTCATTTTCCAGAGAACAGATTCTATGCTCTCTAATCTCAACTCCATTCATTCAGTCATTCATTCGGCACATACTTCTAGAATACCTGCTATGAGCCAGACACTGGGGCCGTGGGGCTGAATAAGACTGATGGTTTTCTGCTTAGGGACTCCTTGACTCCTGGTCATCATGGTGGAGGGGGAGATGCCTAGGGTTCCCTGAGGCCTGAGCAAGGAAGCCTGAGCCTGGGGTGGGCCTCCCAGGCCTGCTGTATTCTACCCGCCTCTCCAGCCCTCTGGAGCTTGTTGTCATGAGAATTCTCCCTTCCTTCCTGACTCTCCCACCAGGGATAGGTGTGGATTAAGCGGGGCTCCTGTTTTTCTAGTATCTAAAAAGGCTGTGCCTCCCTTGCTTTTATGTCAGCTTTTCCATGCTGAGTAAGTTTCTATCAAACTCTAGAGCTCAGGCACCTTCTGTGGAAGCCCAAGAAGAGAGTAACCAGTGAATCTCTTTGCTCCCTAGTACCCCATGTACTGACAAGATCCACAGCAGCCAGCCCCTGTGGAGGGAAGGGCACTGTGTCAGTGTGGCCTGCTTGTTTGCCCAGTAGGCCAGCCCCTCTGGCAGGTCCCGGCAGCCATAGAAACAGTGCTCATGGGGAAGTTCTAGGAGACATGGATTCTATTCCCAGATCAGTCCCCAACCGGCCATTGCCTTTCTCTGTGGAGACTTCAGTTTCTCCATCTACTAAATAAGGGTCACTGCAAAAGGTCCTTGGGGTCTCTTTTAGCCCTGACCTTCCATGTGAGGGCCTGGGCCCAGGCCAGCTCTCCTGCACCCCACACAGCTCTGTCTTTTCTTTTCTGTTCCCCTGAAGGTAGGGGACCAGTCCCTGAGGATTACACAGAACATCGAGAATCTTGGGGCTCCTCTCTCAGTTGCCCTTTCCCTTGGGCCTGAGTTCCTAGTGCCACCTCATGGCCCTAGAAACTGCAATGTCTCTGAGGTCCCATTGAAGGTACCTCTCTTCTGAACACACCCTGCTTATAATACTAGGTGAAGGATACTTCTGCACTGAGTCAACAAACTTCTCAGAACATCTCTTAGCACAGATGGACACTCCACATATTTGCTGAATCAAATTACAGACAGGGAAGACAGAGGCCCAAAGCAATTAGAGTGTGGTAGGTTTGGAGATGATCTAGATAATCTGTTAGGACTTTCAATCTCTTTTGGCTTAAACCCACTGTAAGACATATATTTTACATGACAACTTACTAAATACATTTGAAACATACAAATAACCAACACTTGTATAATGGAAACAGATATACTATGACATGATGTCCTTACCAAGCACAGTGCCCTGTTATCTATTCTATTCTGCTCTGTCCTATTCTATCCTGCTCTACTGAGCATGCTGGTCATGACTACAGCATTGATTCCATGACCAACCGATGGATCATGAACTGCGGTTTGATAAACACCAATCTGAGTGATTGGCAGATCTGATTTGATGTGAGTTAGTAAGAGAAGCTTTGCCTCCTGGAGTATCTTCTGTCTGGCTGATCCAGACAGCATTTCAAACAGCAGCAGGCCAGCAACTACTACAGAGCCTCCTGAATGGAGGAGTCAGGCACACCCTTGCCTGCCACCTCTGCCCCATGATGGTGCGGTCCATCATTTCTGAATATGTTGGGTCTTTGGCCTCAACTGGGCTTCCCCAGTCAGGCATGGTGTCTCACACATGATGGCATCCTGGTGCCTGGTCATGGGAAGAGCCTATAGACCTTGAACACATGATCCCTGAAAAGGTGGGTGGTATGGTGGCCGGTGCTGCTGGTTAGAGCGCTGTCCCTGATGGGTGCAGGCGTTGGTGGCTTGTGGGCTCAGTCAGAGCGCCTCCTGGACTAGATTCCCTTCAGTTCACAAACACTTATTTAGCACCTTCTGTGTTTTCCACATTGTGTGAGACATTAAGGCCATAGAAATGAATAGTTCTCAAAACAAATGTTTACTGAGCTTCCTCAAAGTGCTCCACCCAGGGCTAACCGAGACAATGCAGAGAGGAAGGAGATGCAGTTTCCAGGAGCTGGAGGCCTGGGGGTGAGGCAGGTGTGGGCAGATGGTTAGAACTCGCCTTGGCATGGGGAGGGCCAAGTCAGGACTGTGCCTGGGAACGGAAGAGGGAGAGAGGCCAGCCCTATTTACCAGCTGCTCCCACATGAGTGGGACTTGGAAGAACGGCAGAGAAGGAGAAATGAAGATTTGTGAATAAGACTGGGGAGCCCGTCCAGGATGGGGAGTCAGAGGGGGCGGATGAAATGCCCTTCAGTTTTGGGAGGGTGCTTGGGCAGGGGTGGAGTAGGCAGCTAGGGTAGGACATGCCCAGGGAAGGGGCAGGCTTGAATTACATCCTGTCCTAGCCCCTTTAGGGACTCTGGTCCTAGCCAGTCTCAGAGGCTGGACAATTTCTCAGTGTCAAAAGGCCTGATATTAGCAAGGTATTAGCTAGAAGGGCCAGGTAGCCCCCTCGGTCCCTCTTCCCTCCCTCCGCTGCCCCTACCCCCATAGTGGGCCCCAGGCCAGGCTCCCATAGACTCTCCTGGCCAGCTTAGCCTCTCCACACTCAGGCCTGGGACCACCCCAGCTGAACTGGGGATTCCCAGGGTGTGGGGG
Organism: Homo sapiens; assembly: GCF_000001405.40. Lineage (NCBI taxonomy): Eukaryota > Metazoa > Chordata > Mammalia > Primates > Hominidae > Homo > Homo sapiens. The sequence continues at coordinate 40,559,423 of NC_000006.12, read as the reverse complement.
TGACCCATCCACCTCCTTAGATCCACTCTAGGCAGAATTTATAGCAGCAGGAGTCATAAACTAAATTCAAAGTAATGTCTCAAACAGTGGCATCCGGCAATAGACTGAGTATCTCAGTGTGGTAATGGCTTTACTTAGGGGCCCTGATTTACAGCGTCATCAGGAAGGCTCACTGCCGGGCTCTTCCCAGGAGGAGCATTTATAGGCTGACCCCTCCCCATCAGGCCCACTGTCTCCCTCTCTGCACTTGACACAGAGTAGCCTCTCTCACCCCCACCCAGCGGCCATCCATCCTCCCCCCAATATCATCAGAGGCTTCATCTCTTACCATCCTGACACCCCAACATATGCTCTTCCCCATGCCCCCTCCGTTTGATCCATGGCCCTTATTGTCTTTACAAATCACTTCTTTGGGACACCTGGGGTTGCCTTCCCAGCTAGCCTTCCTCTGTCCTTCAGCTTAGTGCTCACACATCCGTGAGTGTGCGTGCTACTCTCAAGCATGCATCCTCTGCACAGTGTCACGGGCAAGCCCGGCTTTGGATTGAGATGCCTCTGATTGTTGTGTGATCTTGGGTAGGTTACATAACCTCTTTGTGCCTCAGTTAACTTATTTGCAGAATGGAGGCACTAATAACGTTAACCTCACAGAGGTTTTGTGGGATTAAATGACAATGTCAGTAAAGTGCTTGCAAAAGCAGAGTAGGAGCTTAGTAGTATTAGGAACAGGTGCTAACAATAATGATAAAGACAGTAATTTCATGTTTCTAACGTCAGTCTAGCCCTCGCCTTCCCCCACTGGGCCCCAAACTCCACAAGGTCAGGAACTCTCTTCTCCACCTAACTGAGGACATCTCCTCCAGCCTTCTCTCTGCTCTTCTTTACCTTCCTGGGATCCATGTACCTTTCACCCTCAGCTCACTGACTGTTTGAATCCCAGAGCAAGGTGGCCAAACCCTCAAATGCCTCAGCCAGAGGCAGATCCATCTTTCTAACGCTGGGGACTCAAAATGGAGGGACAGGTTCTTAACAGAGTGCAGTGGCCTAGACCTTCCACAATGCGGGGAAGGAAGTGCTGGCTGTTCCTTCACTGGGCACAAAGCTGCAGGCAGGAAAAGAGTCCATGCAATGTCTCCTCAGGAGCCAGGGGACACAGGCTGCTGGCTGCTCCTGCCTAGATCCACAGGGAGAGGAGGTGTTAATCAGTCGAACAAGTAGGCTTGTGCTGGAGGATCTCTCTGGGGAATCAGAACAGCTTCCTTGGGGGCCTCAGCTTACTCATTCCCAGAAGAGCCAGACTCCACCCATCAGTCAGAAGGCTCCTCCTCTTCTCCACTCCTTCACGTGCGTGGAGTCAGGAGGCCCACAGAGCACCACATCAGGGACCCCCACTGCTGGAATATATTTCTTCTTTCAGGCAAGTGGACAAGCGAATCCTTGCCCAAAACTTAGAAACCAGGTAACAGCAAAACCATTGGGGATTTTGTTATAAAAGCCTTCCGTGCAATGAAATAACATCATCATTATCAACAATAAAAATAATCACTCCCATAGAAGTTGCTGTGTGACAAACATTGTTCTATATACTTTATAAATATTAACCCACTTAAACTTTGCAAGGATCTTATGACATAGGTGCTGTTATCATCCCCATTTAACAGAGGAGACACAGAAAGGCTAAGTCACATGGAAGAGTGAGGTCCCATAGCAGGGCCAGGATCTGCACACTTAATCATTTGTGTAGGACCATCTCTGAGCTTTTGGATGCAATGGTTTGGGTCCTGGCTGTGGTATCTCTGCAGCTATAGTTTCTCTCCCTGGGCACACCCCACTCTCATCTTTATTTGTAGGTATCCTACTGGCCTTCAGGGTCAAGGCCTGTCTCTGACCCCAGGGCCTCCACAGAGTCTCCCTGACCCAAACCCAATGGAACATTCAATCCTCAGACCCCTGACCACTGTGCCTGTAGGTCTTATCTTCCTGTGACTCTCTAGGATAAAGGCCAGCAGTGGTAGCCTTGACCCCGCCACCATTACCACCATGGTTGCCCCATCTCTGAACCCCCATAGCTCTGTTTCCTTGACTAGTAATATTTTTCTGACCTTTATGCTTTATCTCTGAGAGAGGACATCATTTCTGCTGGTCAGATGTCGGTGCCTTGGGGCCAGGCTGGTTTGTATCTTCTGCTTCCTTGGAATCCGCAAAAGGTGGGCCATGTGCTGGACTCATGGAGACCTCGCCTCGGGTGAGTGAGGAGGCACTGTCTCTACAGTGAGCTTCCAGCTGCCCCATCCCAAAGGCTTAGAGGCCTGCACAAAACGAAGTCTTTGCATTGTGGCAGAGAGGCTGTAAGGCACACAGATGGGGATGGGGGAGCCAGACTTGGGGAAAGGGAGACCCGAGGAGGCATCTGGCCTCGAGTGTTGATTATGATCCTGGTTATTATTATGTCTCTAATTCTTAAGGAGCTCACTGTCTGAAGTGATGTGGATTAGACAAAATCAAAGGATGCCTTGAGCTGGATTTGTGTCTTGGTAGATGAAAGCATTGGTGGCCATGGCCTCAGGAATTCTGTGAGTGGGTCAAACTTGGGGTCACTCAGACAGGGGAACAGGAGTTCAAGAAATCAGCCATCCAGAAGGTGGCCAAGAGCATCAGTAGGAGTGTGTGCGTGTGTGTGTGTGTGTGTGTGTGTGTGTGTGTGTGTCTATGTAGGTAAGAGAGAGAGAAACAAAGAGAGAGAGAGAGAGAGAGAGAGAGAGAGACCTGGTTCTAATTCACTCTCCACACTGACTAGCCATATGCCCTTGTGGCCATTTACCTTACCTCCCCTCTAATAACTTTCCATCCTCAGGACAAGCAGTGTAGCATCCCCAGAATGACTAATGGCAAAGTCTTCTGCAGAATCAGGGTGCAGGTGAGCTCCTTCTGTGAGTGACTGCACTGGGGCTCTCTCCCCTTCCCTTTCCTCTGTCCTTTCAGAAGTGCAGGTGGGGCTTCATGCCCCTTATCCTCACTGCTCTGTGCCCTCAGCACAGCCTCACATCACATTATCCTTCTGAGCAGAAGGGCCCCTGCTGTAGGGCAAGAGGGGCCTGTCAGGGTGTCAGAGCCCCAGAAAAGGGCCTGTGTTCAGTCGGGGCTGGGTCCCTGCTGCTAGACAGGAAAGCTGGCTACCCAGTCTGGGCCAAGGTGTAGGAGGGGCTGTGGGAGGGCCTCTGATTTCCATGGCTCCTCCCAGCTCTCCCAGACCCCAGTTTAGAACCATAAGGCCAATTCTACACCTGCCAGACTGCAGCATGGTGCGGGGGCTTTCCAGGTGGCTCAGGTGGACTGGGTGGGTGGCATTTGAGGAGAGCAGGTGGGCTGACAGTGACGGTCGGCGTGTGCCTGGAACAGAGTGCATTCTCCCTGTATCATTATTGTTGAGATTATTCTGATCTTCATTACGCCTCTTGTTCTTCAGGAGTTCTGAGTAGATTTAGATGTCAGCAAAGAAGGAAGATTTAGTACAGTAAAACAGTCACTGCCAGATAAGAAATTATATGGACATTGTGCATGTCAGAGAGCGGTGTGGGGAGGGATGGGTGGCCATTGGTGGGGATTTCGAGGCAAGGTAGAGAGGGCTGGAGCAGACTCAGACTCCCCACTGAATCTCATCTACTCAGTGTGGCAAGGCTTCCTGCCATGGGGGTGGGGGCAGGGCTGGGGAACAGGTTTCTGGAGACTTTGGGAGGACAGGAGAGAAGCAGGTTGGGGAGCAAAGCTAGGTCAAAGAAAGTTGGTGAATGCAAGCAAGGATGTGGGGCTGAGAATGAAAGAATTATCTCACAATTCCAGGAGGCACAGACTCCTCCTCCTGCACCCTGGAGCAGTGGCATGTGAGGAGGGGGATCTGCGTGGCAACACTGTCTCTGGCTGTTACCTCCCGGATGGGGCTCAGACAGCCCATCCGTAGCTGCCACTTGTTCGTCTGTGATCAATACTTCTGAGAAAGGTTTACTGCATCCTGCTGGCGTAGTCTCACTTGTGGAGGGGAGAGGAGGAGGAGGGTCTCCTCACCTCCTTACTGTGGGTGAGCTCATCTCCGGCCCAGCCTCCCCACCGCAACCCTCAGCTGGTGCCTATCCCCCTAGGGCCCAGCCTTCACCTCTCACCAGGGATGACCTCACTGGCATGGCTTCTTCCCGGAGGGGCAGTGGGCAGGAGCCAAGGTTCCTCCCCATCTCCTCACAGCTTGCCCTTGCGGGGTGCTGAGCAGGAGCAGGAGAGGGGCCCCCAGCAGAGCGCTTTTAATTCTACTGGCCTTTCTAAAGCTGGCAAAAAGAACATCTTACCCAGGGAAAAGAGGTCAGACTCAGGGGAAATTATTTAACCAATTGTAAAGAGGACAGAGTTATGTTAGAGGTCAGGAGGAACTTTCCACCAGCATGCATGGAAAAGGTCTTTTCTTAAATAATTATAACTAATTATACATTATTAAAAATGGCTTTGTTAGAAACAGAATGTTGCCCTTACCTCCTGCATTTGCTGTGGAAAGAACTGTGCCGGTAGGCTGATTTACTGAGAGGTGACTTTTAACCAAGAAACTGTCTGAGTGCAGAGATAAAAGGTAGACTGAGGATAGGTAGTTGAAAGTCAGGACAAGAGCGATTTTTCAGAGGGGGAGTCAAGTAGGAAGGGGGTGATCAAAAAACAGTGTTTGAGACTTTGGGCCTCCTTGGGTCTCAGTTCACCCATCTGTACAAGGGACCTCATTTCAGCTCAGCTGCCTAGTGGTTCTATGTGGCGAGAATATGAAGGGGTGGCCTGGAGAGGTGAGCAGTTGTGAGGTCCACTTTACATTGCATTCGTGATTGCTCTTGGGAAGCGAGCAAAAGAATACCAATTCCCATGGCACCTTTCTGTTCCCTGTCAATTTGTCTTCCAAGCTGTTTCTGTCATTTTGTCTCTCTGCCCATCTACCTCTCCCTCCCATTCACCCCTACACCCATCATCCATCCACCCATCCACCCTTCCCTCCATCCATCTTGCATTCTAGCTCTCTCCTGAGTGGAACCAAGGCAGGGAGACAGCCGTTTAGGAGGCCCAACGAGAGAAGCCCCTAAGGAGGGCATGAGGTTAGTCCACTATATAAAGGCCTCCAAAACTGAGGTGGTCTCATAAATGAAACCCTGGGTCCATTTGACATCCATCCTGACTTCCAGGTAGCCTGTTCTTGACCAGCACCTTCCTTGTGCTTTAGTATATCTCATGGAACATTCCTCTCCCACTTCGGGGGGACAGGAGTAAGGGCAGGAGCTTGTCTCAGCAAAGAAGCCCTGGTTCCCAGGTGGTGGCAATGGAGGGTCGTAGGTAGATGGGTGGGGGAAGAAGGGGGTTGACAGTGATTCCTTCTCTGAAATCCTTGAAGGTCCCATGAGAGAGAGAGGCACCTGAAACCACAGGAGAGACAGCGGCCTCTCTGGGTCCTTGAGTAACAGTATTCATGGCTGGAAGGACATCAGTTATCCAAAGTGTGATCTGCAGAGAAGACCCCAGAGGTGAGAAGCACAAGGCTGGAACCTCAGCCTGCCTCTGCCACCAGCTTCCTATAAGTAAGGCATCACCTCAGTTTTCCCACCTATGGAGTTCAAATAAAGCCTATATTATCCACCTGTAAGACTACTTACGGAGATAATGGATAAGTGTATTTCATCTTTATAATGTAATTAAATCTGAGGCGAATTCATTAAGAACTGTGGTTCCCTATTGACCAATTTCATTTGTTACTTATTTATTCAATTCCCTGAGCATTTGCTATGTGCTGGCTCTGATCTCAGAACATGATGCAGAATGGCCTTGCCCTCCTAGACCTTCCCCACCAGAACACAGTGGGGAAAGACCTCCCCTATTTACAAATGGAGTGTCCAGAAGTGCCATCCTTCACTTGTCACCTGAACTTGGTGTTTGCTCAGCTCCCCAAGATGTCCAATGTGTGAAATGCTTCCTTCACTTAGAGAGTATCCAGCTTTCCTTTGACGTGACTCAGTTTCCCTTGTGGCTTTAAGCCCTTACACGCCAGTTATATTTGTTTTTCCTCTGCTGGGTAGGTTTTGTTGACTATTTAAAAAATTGATTGTGTTGAACTCATTATTGCTTTGTTTAATAAGTCGATCTGCATTGGCTGATATTTACCATAGCCAAGTTTCCTTAAAGAGTCAGGTGGTAAAGGCAGGCTAAGCCACCTAGAGGCTTCTTTCTCCCAGGGATGTGGGTTAATTAGAAACTAGAAGTGGCTGAGAAAAGCAACATGCCCTCCTCCACCTGGCAGGCAGAGCGGAGCGAACAAGAAGGGAGATGCATGACTGTTGGAGAAAGAGACAGAGCTGAGGGGCACACACCTGCTCGGAGAACCAGGAAAGCATCAGCTAGTGCAAATTTCAGAAAGTGTAGCTCTTACTAACTTGTTGAATAGCTGAGTATATTAATGAAATGATTAGGTATGGGATTTTTACTGATTAAGATAAATGAGAATAGGATAAGAACACTCCAACACAGAATTATTCTAGTCAAGAAAATTCCATAGTACATGATGGGAACTGATTTTTTTAAAGGATGCTTATGGACAAAGATTGGCAGGAATATGCAAATATGAAAAAAATAGTTGCTGGGGTAGGGTAATTAGAGTATGAGTGTTTTTCTTCCTTTCCTTTTCTAAAAATCTTTTAATGATAATTGGTTTTATAATGAATTTTTTCAAGCAAGAAAGGAAAGAAAAATGGCTTTTGAGACTTTAGTGACTGATGTTTTATATTTGAGTTATTTAATGCTTTTAGCTGTAGATATGATTTGGTATATATCTATCTCCTTTGGCAAGGTGTAGTACTTCTCAGGGATTTTACTTTTTCAGGTCCCACATAACTGTGTCTGCTCAGCTACATGTGTAAGAAATTCCAGTTTCCACAGGTGACAGGGAACAGATGTAAAACAATATTTTAACATAGAGAGCTTTGCTATTCAAAGGGTGGTTCACGGGGCAGAAGCACTGGCATCACTGGGAACTAGTTAGAAATGCAAATTCTTGGGCCCTGCCCTAGACCTACTAAATTTGAATTGGCATTTTAACAAGATCCCAGGTGATTTGTATGCACATTAAGATTTGAGAACCACTGTTCTAGAACAGTGGTTTTCAAGCTTGGGAATGCATCAGAATCACCTGGAGGACTTAGTAAAACAAGGATTCCTGGGCTCACTTCAGAGTTTCTAATTCAGCAGGTTTTGGAGTGGGACCTGCGAATTTGCAGAATGGAGCTGCAGATTGAAGACCACACTTTGAGAACCACGGTGTTAGAGAATGAAACAAAAAGACATAGCCCCTGGTGTGGGAATAAGTGTGCCTCTCACCTTGTATAACTTGTATAACACACGAGGATTTTGTATAAATGGATTTTTGTATCTGTGTGACTTGGGTAGGTCTTTTTTTTTCTTTGGGCTTCAGTTTCCTCAACAGTGAAATGGGTGAATTGGACTTGATAGGCTTGAATCTTCCTTCCTTCTACCGCTGATCTTTCTTAACATTTGATTCTATCATGTTGGTATGTCAGAGCAGATCAGAGTAATTATATTTATAAAAATTTCTGCTGTTCTTATTAAGAATGTTCAGTGAATTCTTCAATCACTGTGCGTTGCTAGGTTCACTGCTAGTGTATGATCTTAGCATCATGTCCTGTGTAGTTCTATCCCGGAATCAATCCTCAACAGCCACTTTCTACTCAGATGCTTGATGGTGTTCACCTTTGTGTATTCATTTGACACATAGTTATCAATCACTATCTACTCCCTGCCATCAGGTTAGCTGCTATGATTAAATCCAAATGAATTAATTAAACTCAAGAGATAAATGTTACAACAGATAATAGAAAAACCAACTCAACTAGTTGAAACGATCAAGGGTATTTATTTGGTTCATGTATTTGAAAAGTCCAGTGGTGATGTGGGCTTCAGGAGAAGCTTGAGCAGGCCTTGGGCTCCATTTCTCATTGGCTCTATATTCTGTCTTCTGTGTACTGGCTTTGTCCTCCTCGAGCTGACGTCCTCCCTGGCCTCATGTCTATATACCCTGCTTTCTTGAAGAATGTGAGTTCCTGAAGGACAGAGACCCTACCTCAGTTGCTCATTGAAGTATCTGCCATTGCCCAGAATAGTGCCCGGAATGCAGTGGACCTTCTGTAAATCCCTGCCCCTAAGCGCTTTGTCCCTAAGAGTCACCCCCAGTGGACTGACTTGGATCACATGTTCCTCTGGACTAGTCTCTGTGGCCAGGGTCATGGACTGTCACTGATTAGCCTAGTGTCATGAACCTCATCCATCCTTGCGTTGGTTTACCCAGACTCACAGGAGGCCCTACACCGACATCTGGAGATTTTATGACGCATCTCTTGAAGGCAACGACTCCCATCCACTGCAGTCCACCTCTTTGGCTGCCAACACATACTCTTGTACTACATATGCACATTTAAAAATACTCCATCTACATATGATATACTCACCCCATGCCCGCGGGGAGACGCTGTGGAGTTTTACTTAGTTTCTGCCTACAACTCCCTGTCCAGCATCTCTCAACACTGTGAGTCCTCTTCATCCTCTCCAGATAGAACTCTTTATGGCCTAGGCACTGACTTGTTAAATGGTAAGCTGTTTACACCTCAACACACCCAATATACACCAGTGGAGAAAGAATATGAAAATTGCAAAAAAAAGCAAACAAAACTATACCACTCCCATTTGGAAAATAGTAAAATTGGAAAGCCACATTGTGGCCACTGGTCTGTGGTCCCCGGTACCTTCTTCTGGCAGTGCATGCTTTCTTTGGTTAGCTAGTCTGGGGTGGAAAGTTCTTTCTTGTCCATTGTCTTCTCTGGACTCCTCTGAGATGAATATTAGAGAAGGCCTCTCTTCTGTGCTACTTTGACGGATGCCCCCTACTGGATGAGGATGGGAACTTGAAGTATGTCTTAAGGTTTGAGCAATCAAAGGCCATTGCCAGCCAGGCTTGACAATGTGACTCTCTCTAAAGACGTTAGATTACCAGTCCGTACACTTCCCAGTCAATATCATGTGCCAATAACTGCAGCAAGAGATACTGCTGAGTCAGTCTTAAGTCTGAGCATTGTCTCCTAGCAACAGAGCTGCTTGCTCTGCTCATACCCTAGCCCTTCATTTCATAGCTTCGGCCTCCATATTGGGCTGTACCTCCTAGGGGGTCCTCTTTGCCTTAGGATAGGGCATTACCACTGCCGTTTGCTTACTGGCTGTGCCGCAGCTGCACCCTCACAACAGAAGTAATTGTCCTCACTGCCAGAAAGAGAGTAAGAGAGTTTATTTATTTTTATTTTTATTTTTTATTTTGAGACGGAGTCTTTCTCTCTTGCCCAGGCTGGAGTGCAATGGCACAATCTCAGCTCACTGCAACCTCCGCCTCCTGGGTTCAAGCGAATCTCCTGCTTCAGCCTCCCAGGTAGCTACAGGCAAGCACCACCATGCCTGGCTAATTTTTGTATTTTTAGTAGAGATGGGTTTTTTTGCCATGTTGGCCAGGCTGGTTTTGAACTCCTTACCTCAGGTGATCCGCCTGCCTCGGCCTCCCAAAGTGCTGGGATTACAGGTGTGAGCCACCACTCCTGGCAGAGGGATTATTTCAACAGTTGTTTGTGCATGGTCTGGGGATTCACACTTCCTGGTGAGCCCAATCTTATGTTTCACTGTGGTTCCCACCACCTATCTTTGCTCACATACAATAGCATCACTTTTCCATCCCTACCAGACTCCAGATTATCATAATCTCAGGAAATTTGGATTATAGGCCACAGCAATAACCTCACAATAGCAAAGCCATTTTTTTTCTCTCTTTTCTCTCAATGGGCCACTTTGAACCAAAGGTTGTCTTTTTGTTGTAGGACCTTACTTTTTGTTGAAAGCCATATGAAGTAATCAATTTATTCCAATATCCTAAAATTTCTTGTCTTCCATAGCTTTATCAGGTACATAGCCTGAGACCAAAGGAAAATGAAGCAGCAGTTTAACCACCCTCCTTGTCACTGCATGACAAGTTTTGCCAATTCACCAGATTAGGGGCATGAGAGCTTGCTACTAGCCCAGTTGACATCTTGGCGCAAATTAGAAAAAACCTCCTCTCTTTCTCAAGTCACTTGACTGTCATTTTGCTAGAAAACTGTATTGCAAACATACAAATCTGTTGTGACTACCAATGTCATTGATGGCTCTGAGCTGTTCAAGGCACAGTGTGCCTGGAGGTCCTGAATGGCAACATCTTTGTTGCTTGTTGTCCCACCCCATTGGCTTGGTAATGTCTACCCTGCTGACATCATAGGGTCAATTATTTCCGCATCCCAATTCTGTTACCAAATTCTCAATTCACCGGTTGAAACTGATTACAAGTAGGCAAAAACCCAGTTTGATCTAACTTTTAAAAATGAATTTTATTGGCTTGTGTAACCAAGTGGTGTGGACCTCAAGTATGGGTTTGTCAGAATTCAGCTTCATTTCCCTGTGCTCTGTGAACTGGTTTTGTCCTTAGGCTGGCCTTCCTCCTCATGGTAGCAAGATGGCTATAGCAGCTCTAGCAGATGTAGGCTGCATGTTCATAGGGCAGAGCATCTAAAGGGAGAGAGAATACATTCTCCCAACAGTCTTGGAAGGAATTCTGAGCTTCACTCTGATAGGACCTGTTTAGGCTATATATTCCTCTCAATCACTGTGGCCTCCAGAATTAAAATGCATTGGTTGGAGCCTCAACCTTCCAGGACCACATAGCTCCCCAAGTCAAAATTAGAGCTTTTGGGATAATAGCTGTACATACTCCTGATGTAACTGCAATGCTAAAGTGCTGATGGCTTTCATTTATTGAGTCCTGCAATGTGCATTGGAGCCTCAAAATAACTTGTAAGGTAGGTACTATTTTTCTTTTTTCATTTTTTTTTTGAGATGGAGTCTCGTTGTGTCACCCAAGCTGGAGTGCAATGGCACGATCTCTGCTCACTGCAACCTCCGCCTCCCAGGTTCAAGTGATTCTTCTGCCTCTGCCTCCCAAGTAACTGGAATTACAGGTGCCCACCACCATGTCCAGCTAATTTTTTGTGTTTTTAGTAGAGGCAGGGTTTCACCAGGTTGGCCAGGCTGGTCTCGAACTCCTGACCTCAGGTGATCCACCCACCTCGGCCTCCCAAAGTGCTGGGATTATAGGTGTGAGCCACTGTGCCCAGCCAGGTACTATTTTTATCCCTAGTTTTACTCCCCTGTAAAAATAGATGAGAAAACTGAGGTTCTTATGTAAGTCACATGGCTGGCAAATACTAGAACAAGATTTGACCCAAAGTCTGCCAGGCTTTAATAAAGATGATGCCTTCTGGCTTCATCTAGTTGAAGCTGCATATTGTTCAGGGTCCCATCAGGAAACAGAAGACACATTCAAATGAGTTATATTAAAAGAAACTATTTACAAAGGTGTGGGGATGGCATAGAGAAACCACAGGGTTAGTGAAATACCCTGGGGCTGGTAACACTGGGAGGCTGTTACCTCCCCTAAACTTGGAGGGAGAAGGGAGGCAGTAGTTCCTGGACCCCAGAGAATATGTGAGCAGTATCAAAAAGGTGTCTCACCAGGTATGTCACCTTTGCTTGCGGGCCAGACTCGTGATGAGGAAGCTGGGGGTAGGAGGATAAATAGCCCAAACTCACTCTCCTTTCTCCCTCCCATCTTCTGTTGATCTTCCCAGTTGACCTCCCCTATTCAGGAGGCAGAGGGCATGATGCCCACTGGTGGGGGCTGCACTGACCAGCCTCCTGGACAATGACCAGGGTGAAGAAGGGTGTACTGTGGACCTGGAGGGTCAAATGGAAGATGCCCAGTATAGGGGAACTAGGGCGCATACACTAAATGGTGTAATAGAGCAGGTGTTAGGAAGCAGGAGTGTCACCATGGTTTTGGGCCACTAACTGACATTTAATTAAGGTTTGTGGCCAGGCGCGATGGCTCACACCTATAATCCCAGCACTTTGGGAGGCTAAGGTGGGCAGATCACCTGAGGTCAGGAGTTCGAGACCGGCCTGGCCAACATGGTGAAACTCTGTCTCTACTAAAAATACAAAAATTAGCCAGGTGTGGTGGCATGCACCTGTAGTCCCAGCTACTCGGGAGGCTGAGACAGGAGAATTGCTTGAACCCAGGAAGCAGAGGTTGCAGTAAGCCGAGATCGTGCCACTGCACTCTAGCCTGGGTGACAAGAGCAAAACTCTATCTCAAAAAAAAAAAAAAAAGATTTGCATTATTGCCATTTTTTTTACAACAGAAATATACTCTTACATCCGTAAAATATGATAGCTGCAGTTTCTTGAATCCCCACTTTATCAAGTACTTTATATATTACTGTATTTCAAATTCTCTCAGTAATACTAGGAAGAAGGTCCTATTTTGTCTCATTTGACAAATGAAGAAACTGAGACTCAGAAGGGTAAAAATAGTGCAGAAGTTAAGACCAGGGCTTTGAGGTTGATTGCTTGAGCTCAAACTTGACTCTATCGCATACTCACTCCTTGCCTCTAGGCCTGTTATTATACCTTTCTGTGTCTCAGTTTCCTCATCTGAGAAATTAGATAAATCTAGTTCCTGCCACATAGGGTAGTGAACCCATATACACAACACTGAGAACAGTTCCTGGAAGAGTCAATACTCAGTAAACTTAAGCTCTTGCTATTCACAAAGTGGTCCAAGATCACAAGGCTTGGAAGCTATAGAGCTGGGATTTGAATCCAGCTGGACTCCAAAGTCAGTGAATCTCACCTTATTATCTCATCTGATTCATGAGAGTTGGTTAAGCCAATGAGGACATATCATGAGAGGCTTCCTGGACTTCCCACCAGTGTTGGCCAGGAGGTAGTTTAGGACTTGAGCCCAGCTACTCACCTTTGCCCCTAATAAACCTGAATCAGGTGGTTTAAGAAGCTATGGGGAGACCTGGGGTCAATATCGGCAGGTCACTGAGATGAATAATGCACCTTCTTCCCAAGGAAGAATGAGCCCTTAGGTTACAACGGGAAAGTTTTGTGCAAACTTTTGGAACATGCCAGACCTTTAAGACCAAGTGGGCACATCAGAGCTGCATCCTCAGCTGCATTCAAGGCCCCGCTTCTCTGGGCTGTTCCTCCTGTGCTGCCTGTAGCCAGAGCCAGCCAATCACCCGCTGACTGTGCGTTGTCATGCAAATTCCCTTTACCTCCCCTCTCTCAGCCCGTTTTGCCCAGCCAAGCTGTGATCCTCAAAAACAGCCAGGCAGCCTGGTCCCTCTCTCTGGAGTCTCCCCATTGTCAAGAGTGCAGGATGGAGCCCACAGAAGCTACTTGTCTAAAATGTGGTTAGTTGACTGCCAGCGCTAAAATATTATCATTCAACAAATAGCTATTAAATTCCTGGGCAGGCATGATTCTAGGAGCTGAAGATACAACACCAAAAGAAAAAGAAACAATTTTTAAAAAGTCCCTGCCCTCATTAAGCTTATATTTTAAAATACTTCTCTACTCATGGGCCAAAGGATGTTGGCAGCCTTCTTTAGAGGGGCCGTGGTTGACCTTTTCATCTCATGAGACCCAGGCCCTGGCTTCATTCCTCCTCCAAGTGCCTCTGCCTCATCCTTTTCCCCTGCTTTTCCTCTTTCTCTGCTCCCTTACTTCTCTCTTTCCCTGTCCCACTTTCCTCTCTTCCACTTTCCCATTATCCTCTCCCCTCTCTCTTCATCTCTCCCCAACCTTCCTGACCTCCCCTCTTCCTCTTCCTCTGCCTGGGGCCATGGCTGTGTGTCTCTGCCTCTCCCCTCCACCACTCCACTGCAGGCAGTAACCCACTTAACATGCTCCAGGGGTTGGCCCAGTGCTTAAACATGAGAGAGAGGGGAATACAAATCACTCAGTCAGTTTGTTTTCAATGACCCATCGTTGGTGCTGCCCAGGGAGGCTGTGGCTGCCTGCTCTGCATTATGAGTGAGTGAGGGGCCTCGTAGGAGGTCCTAAAACTCCAGGACCTTGCCCTGCCCAGCCCAACCACACCACCTTCATTCTGTGTCCAGGGACCCAGGAGGCTCTGCCCTTTACACCCTGAGAGAAAGAGTTTATAACTGCTCAGTTCTCCAGCATTAGAGGCCTAAGCTCCTTGCTATCTGGTCAGTTTCCAAAAGGAGAAAATATAATACCATTAATGAAGCATTTATTATGTGGTAGGCACTTATGCTGAGCACTTTGCATGAATTCGCTCATATGATCTCTCAATAATTCCACAAGGTAAGTAATATTATTACCCCTGATTTGCAATACTCTGGCTCAGAGATGGGAAGTGACTGACCCTGGGTCAGCCACTAGTAAATGGCGAAGCAGGATTTGAATTCAGGATGCTGTGCTTCTAACCACTACCCAACACTCCCCTCATTGGCAGCACTTGTTCAGTTGCCATTATCCTAATCATCACAGCTGCGCATTTGCTCTCTCCTTCTCATTATAAAGATGCAGGTTTAGGGTCCAAAGAGGAAAGGAACCTTGCTTAGGGTCACACATGGCGCTGGTCACTGAGTTGGCAGTAGGTCTCTCTGGCCAGTATCACTTTTTCTGCACCATGAAAATGCAGGTTATCCTCAGCGCTGCTGGAATTCGGGAGATGGGCCATCCCTTTATACTGGCAGGCTTAAAGCGGGGAGGTGGTTGCTGCTGATTCTCCGTGTGAGCTTGGACTAATTTCCTTCCTTCTCTTCTGTTACAGGAGGGCATTGGAGCAAATTACTTCATAGACCTTTCCAGATCAGACAGTCTGAATCCAGGGTTTGGGAAGGGGAGGTATAGCCTCACAGAGCTTTGGAAGCAAACGTCTGTGGCCGCTCAAGTACCCAGCCAGGGTGCTGCAGGGGAACACAGGCACACACATGGCTGTTTACTCAAATCCACTGAGAAATGCTCAGCAGTAAGATGCTCTAGAAGAGGGGTTGGGAAACAAAGGCTGGCTTATATCACAGCTTCACAGTGACACTGAGAATTCATGCTAAATATTTTTTAAAAACCAACAACAGGCCTCAATAACTTAGCGTCAGGTGGGACTTTCATGCCTGGCATCAATGGGAATGGGTGAGACACTCTGCGGACTTCCGTGGGTCAGGAAGGACATTGTGCTTGCCTGGTATAAGGGTTTGAGCTCAGAGCCAGGCCTGGTGCGCTCGCAGCACACACTTTCCTCTCCCCTTCTTTCTCTTTTCTTTCTCTCAGCTGTGCAGATTGGATAGTTCCTTCCAGGCTTGGATAGGACTGGCTAATTGTGCCCTGGTGAGAAAGTCCTTGGGTAGCCCAGCATCTCAGGGTGGTGCTGGTTGGCAGCCAGACATGCCAGTCCCTGGAAGGAAGCTGGAGGTCAGCAGGTGCTTCCCCAAGATATGACTAGGACAGGATGAGTGTGTCAGGCCCAAGTCCTTCTCAGGCTTCTGAGCTGAGCATTTAGAACCTGGCTGCAGGCATTTGCCACACCAAGGGCAAGACACTCTCAACAGGAGCACTGTATTTCATCAGGACAGGAAATGGGAAGATTGAGAGGAGGCAAAAACCCAGGTGGAATCCCTTTTCAGCATGCTGCTAGGATGCCTAGCTTTTTGCTGATACAAAAGATGCCCAGGCAAGGGAAGCCCCCAGTGCCTGCAGCTGCTTCCCGCTCAGGATTTGACCCATAATTATAATCCCTTTCCTTTGATTTTCTCTGTGAAAACAGCCACATTCTAGCTAGGCTTCGAGCTGAAAAAAAGCACCATGTCAAGCTTAAGAGATTTATAAACATGGTGAAAAATCACAGGCTTGTTTTCCCACAGCTTGTTTCGCTAGGTGAGTGGAGGGAGGAGAGGAGAGAGGACAGCAGAGTTAGGATGGTGGGAGGAAGAAGTTGGAGTGGGGAAGATACAGATGTTCAGGACACCTGGGTGTACACAGACCAGGAATTGAATGTAAGTCAATAATGTGACTCATATAGCTAATGTCTCTGCTGGCAATGAGACAGGCACATACATGACGGTGCATACATATAATTTCTGTGTGTCCTGGGCTCTAACCAGAAAGGTTTTATGTGGCTTGTGTAAGCAGAGAAACCAGAATGAGAGAGAAAGAGACAATTATCCCTCTGGACTCTGCGCTATAAAGCAGGGACTGAATAAGTCGGAAGGCGTTCATGCATTGCAGGGAGAACACACTTGTGGTCTTTGCGATGTGCCTGATCATGTCTGAAGGCTCCATTCAAGATTACTTCAGAATATCACAGCTTCTGGAGCTGGCAGGGGCTCTGGAAGTCATCAGGCCCAGTCACTTTAATGGTTTGCCACCCATTTTGCAGATGAAACATCTAAGTGACGGGATGTGGGACTGGGAATTAGGACCCTTATCCTTAGCACTCGTTCACTTTGCAAACAGCCTCTGTCTAGAGGGTGCTTTGGCATTAGATGCCCTTGGGGAAAATGTGGATACTTGGCTCTGGGGAGCAGCAGTTCCTGCTGCATCTGCAGAGACCTAGGGCACTAATCCCTTGGAGAGAGCAGCTGGGAAAGCCCAGCCCTCTGGGGATGGGCTCAAGGTAGATACCTGAGGGACCCACATTCTGGCTGGAGCTAAGAGAGGGAGAGGTAGCAGGGCCAAATTCTCCTGTTGAAAGAAGCAAGGCCTGGTCAGAGTTGGGGAGCAGGGCTGGGTACAGAGGAGAGGATGTGAAGGTCCTTTAGTATCTCACTTCCCTCCACCCCACCCAGCTCAGAGGCCCAGGGTGCAGAGCCCCCACTGGCAGCCTGGATGGTGGTTGCTCTCCTGGAGACCAGTGAGGAAGCCACTGCTGCCCAGGGCTGCTGATTGAAGCTGGGATGTCTGTGTATCTCGGTGCTCTGCAGATGTTTTCCAAATCACTGTGAAAGTCTCTGCCATGCTCCTGTTTCACTGCAGCACCTCCCGCCCACCCATCAGCCTGCTTCCTGAGTTCATCCCTCCTCCTCCTGCCCAGCATTGCTTAGGCTGCATCCTTAATGACCCCCTGCTGCCACCGCCACCTCTCCGGGCCAGGTTTCCTAATTGGAAAACTCACAGCCTGCATCCCATGGAAAGGCAATTCACCCAGGGGCCCAGAAAGCTCATCGCAGGGTGTGTGAGGCTTCCCCTGGCACTCTCCTTGCTTCTCATGTCAGAGTTGATGCCAGTACACCTGGAGCAAGCATCCAGCCAAAAGCAGCAGTTCACTTGGAAATGGAGTATGTGTGTATTTGCGTGTGTCTGCGTGAGTTAGAACCACCAGGTCTCTGTCCACATGACTGCAAGTGTGTGTGTGGCAGAGTCTCTCCAGGTGGCTGGGAGGACAGAGACACATACTGAGCTGGTGGTGTGGACCTGCATGTGGCACTGCCACGTGTGCCTCTGGGTGCCTGCCTGACACTCTGCATGCTGCTGCTATGGTGTCTGATGGATGCAGGCGTTTGCATAACATAATGAGAATCTCTTTATGGCCCAGAAACCAACTGTTGGGCATGTGTCTATGGGGAGGGGGTGCTGGAAGACTAGGGGGCTGTGGCTGCCCTGGCAGAGGCCCACGTTTCAGGAGAGTCATGTATCCCTGCATCTTCTGCAAGTGAGAACATTCCCACGGGCGGCAGCTGTGACCTGTTACCTACACCTGTGGTCGGCATGTCTGGGAGCGTGCCAATGATCTGTATCCCCTGGGCTCTGCTCCACACCCCAAGCCTTCTCTCTGTCATCTTCATTCTCTGGGTGGGCAGAGGAGGCTCCTGGGGTTTCCACTGATGCCATCAGCACCCTGATGTCTGCCTTTATGGTTTGCCTCTACCCCCGCCCCGTCCTGGATCTTGTGAATACCCACCCAGGCCCTATCACCTCTTAGGGACACCTGGGAATTACGGTGAACAAAGCCCTCGGAGAGCTCACAGCTGTGGCCCAGGGAACACATTCCACCTGGCTCAGCTGTGAGTTCTTCCTTGCACTGTGCCTTGTGCAGAAGGTCCTCTTGGGGAATGTGAGGCGACTGAAAATGGACAGGTGTGCCCCACATGAATGGTCAGGGAGGTGTCATCCCACACAGGTTGTGGGGTTGGGAATATTTGGGGTGTCTGTGCAGCAGCATTACTTAGAGTTCAGGCTGGACAGAACCATCCCAGCTGGAAGCGACCACTCACTGTGAGCCTGGGACCCGCTGATGGCTGGCTGGCCTGGGGAAGGAGTCAGGATCTGATGGTTGTACCAGTGATGTGGGATGCTGCGGCAGAATTAGGACTCACCCTGCACCTGTGCCTGGCTCTGTGCCCACAGCAGTTCTGCTGCAGAATGAGGGAGAAAGTGGGCACCGGGGCCACAGCATAACAGCATAGCTCACAAGCACTTGTCCTTCTTTGCCGGGGGCACATCTCATTCCCTCCTGACCCCCAGCAGCCTCCTGCAGCCTCTGATAGACCGCTTCTGGCCCTGAGAGCAAGCTGGGAAAGGGCTTTAGTTTGCCAGTCTGCCCTCTTCTGTCATGGAGATGTTTGCCTCCCTGGGCGTCTGCAGACCTCTGCTGTGCTCCTTGGGCATCTGGGGGCCGTGGTGTGTGTGTCCCCAGGACAGGGTGCTTGCCCCACCGCTGGGTGAGTTGCCCTCCACATGGGGAAGGAAAGGAAATAATACTCTGCAGAAGGCCCCGTGTTTCTCCTTCATAATGAAAACCCCATTGTGTTTTCTGCTCTCAACGATACTGCGGCAGAGGCAGTTGGCAGCCCCTCAGGGCAAGATCTTCCTTCCCCATGCTGCCAGTCACAGCAGATCCACAAGAGAACTGCACCCTCTGAAAGCTCCCTGACTGTCTCCTCCTCCCCTCCTGAAGCGTGTGGAGTGGGACAGTGCTCCCCGCCCCTGTGGTGGTGGGGAGGGAGTGGGCAGAACCTGAAGGTCTGATGCTTGGGGCCTCAAAGGAAGACACCCTGATGCTTTGCAAAAGCTTGGGATCTGGAAGGAACTTAGGTTCAACATACTCATTTTACAGATGGCACTCCTGAACCCCAGAGGAGGGACGGGCTGGCCTAGGGGCCAACTCACAATCAGCAACATTTACAAAATGCTTATGAACAGTGCTAGGGCCTGTTCTGAATGTTTTATTTGCAGTGACACTTTGAGTAGTATTTCCCCGCACGCACCTGACAAGGACACTGAAGCACAGGGTACTTAAGAGTCTGTCCCAAGTTTACACAGCTAGTCAGTGGGAGAGCTGAGATTGACACCCACGTCAGACACCACATGTGTTCTCTCAACTACTGCATCCATGGCCTGTGCGGCGCCAGGGCTGTGACTCCGACTCCCAACCCAGTGCTTCTTTTCCACTGTGGCAGCTTTGCCAGATCTCAAGCATTACAGCCTCTGTTCTCTCCTGGCATCTCACAGCATCCTGGAGAGGTGATGGAAGAGGGGAGGATTATCCTCTCTTGGTTACAGATGGAGAAACTGAGTCAGGAATCATGACATCGATGACCTACCCAAGGCCCCACAGTGAGTAGGGCAGGGACCAAGATCAAAACCAAGACCGCAACCTCCCACACCCCTCTAAAACCTCTCTACCCTGAGTAGAAGTTTAGATCTCCGTTTATTTGCTCTAAACACAAATATAAACCAACCAGTTGTCTTGGGCTCCCCAGTGCCATGGGGGCTGCGAATCCTGTGTGAATGAAATGAGATGTGGCCTGTGTATGTTGGAGATCTGTGCACTTGGGATGTGCCTCCCACCTTGAAACTTGAATGACAGTTCCTGAGGGTAGAGATTCTGTTTTCTTGTCTGCTGTACCCAAAGCTCCCACGACTGTGTCTGGCACATAGTGGGTGCTCAAGAGATATTTATTGAATAAACGAATGAATTGAACCTGGAAGCTTCCCAAGGCTGCTGAGAGTGGATGTTTTCCCCATCACTTAGAACTCTCTGTCTTTATTTATTCCTCTATTCTCCAAACAGTATTGGCTTACGCTGAACCCTTGTCAGCTGCCAGGCTGCCAGGGAAGAAACATCAAATGCTTAAAGCTGGGGAAATGGTACCTCTGAGACAGTGTTGACAAGATGGGGGTCAGTGACCCCCCAAAAGGGAAGGTCACTTCAAGGCTCTGTTTAGGAAGGCTCCAGATATCCGTGGCTAACAGCTGTTCCTTAGCCTCTGCCCTCTGAGGTCTGGCCCTGCAGAGGTGAGGCCAGGTAGTTGGGGTGGGTGGGAGGTGGGTCTTATTCTCAAGGAGGGGGATGGGGATGGTTTTGGGGCTGAGAGGGTAGAAGATGGAGTGAGGAATGGGCTGTTAGCTGTCCTCTGTCTTAGAGAGGGAGGAACCTGGACACAGCCCAGACTTCCACCCATGAGGGTGTGAAAAGACCAGAACAGGGTGAGGTGAATACCTGGGGTGCAACATTCAAGAGGGTACCACAACACTAGGCCATGGAAAAAATCATCTTTTAATGCAATATTTCTAAAAATACAAATTAATGCAAACATTTCTGATGAGCACAAAAAGACAGAATCTGACACTGTGCTCGCAGGACTCACTGCCCTCCTTCCCCCCAGCCCCAGTCCTGGACCTGACACACAACGGGCATATCTGAGACCGGGGGCAGGTGGAGAGGGGCTGCGCTGAGAGGACGCCCTGCGTCAGACACACGTGTGAGAGTCTAGGAGGAGAAGCTGGGAATGGGGATAGCCCCGGGGAGGTGCCAGTAGAAAGCTGTAATTTGGAAAGCAGGGAATGATTGGGGTTTATGGTGGTTGGGGTTTTCTGATGAGGATCTTGCGCAGCAAGGACAATATAGTGGCCAATTTGTTGTTGCAGAACAAAGAGAAAGAGGGCCTTGGATGCGAGGATTTCTCTTCTTAAGCCAGCCAGTCTCTCAGTGTAATTGGACCCATTGTGTTTCTGATAATTCATGTTGGGGTGCAGGAATCCTGAGCTGGGGTGGGGGTGGCTTCCACCTCTGGAATGAGCTGTCAGAGGGAAGGTAGTGGGTGGCAGGGGGCCCTGGAGAAGGGGGGCTGCTACACAGCTGGAGGCCCGGGAGTAGGGGAAGCCTGTTGGCTCTGGGGCTTCCCATCACTCCGCCGAGCCCCAATCTTCCTCCTTCTCTCCCCTCTTCCCAGGTAGCCCCCTCACTTCCTGCCCCTCCCCACAGTGTTGAATGCCTAGGGTTCATGAGATTTAACTCCTAATGAAACAAATAATTGTTTCTCCCTTTACCCTTTCTCAGAATAGCAAAGAGAGACCTGGAAGAGGCAGCCTCTGCCTTAGCGTTCCAAGGCGAGCGTTGGTGATTGTGGGAGGGTCCCGGGGGTGTTGTCCCTCCTTAGTCTTCAGACCTGAACAAGCTGAAGCTGGAGCCACAGGAAAGGTGATGGGGCAAGAGGGGCTGCATGGGCCATGCTCCTCATTTCCCATGTTCCCTGCTCCCTTCAATCTCTAGTGTGCCTGGGATCTCCTGATTGCAGCTGGAGCATTAAAGGGGCTGGGAGGGGTCCTGTGCTTAGCCCCTCCCTCATATGTCCCCTCCCTCCACCCTAGGCCCTCTGATGTCCATCCAGCTTTAACACTGAGGGAGTCCCCTTAGTCCCTAACTGGACACCGAGGCTGTGGGGACTGGAGAGCAGCATAATGCCAGGTCTCTGCCCCGACAGTGGAGCTTGTGGTCTGGTGGGGAGGTAAGCCACCCCCACAGACAGGAACAAGTCTCATTAGGTTTGGCTCAGGACCAGAGGAGAGGCAAAGATGGTAGGTATCAGACAAGGGTCAGAGTGGTCAGGGACGCTTCCTGGAGAAGCGTTGAAGAGGCAGTTGAAGTGGGCCTTGGATTCAGCTCTCTCACAGCAGCCCGCTCAGTTCCCCTGATACTTCTTCTTGGAAATTTCCTGCCTTGGGTTTCCATAGTTGGGGCTGGTGCTGGTTATGGTTGGTTGTGACTGGTGGGGGCACACGCAGAACCTGTGGCCTTTCCCTGGTTGTGGCCCTGGGAGTGAGGGGATATGTGCCTAGGAAATGTTTCTACTGGAAGAACATTCATTCTGCAAATATTCCTGAGGGCCTACGATGTGCCAGGAACTATTCCCAGTATTGGGGTTCCTGCCCCCATGGGCCTTACACATCTAGGGTGATGAGCCTCTGCTGGGTGCTGCGGACTATGCTGGAAGCTATTCTGGCAATCACAGTCCTTTTAGGGAGTGAGCTCCCCGTCCCTGGAAACAATTACGTAGAGAATGGATAACCACTGCACCAGATCCCCTGGATCAAAATCCAGCTCTGCCGTGTACTAGCTCCATAACCTTTGGCAGGGTATGTCAACCCTCCGTGCCTCAGTTTCCTTACCTTGAAGACAGGAATAATAATAACCCTATCTCATTGTGTTGTGGTGAGGTTTAAGAAAGCTTGGAGGTGTAAAGCCTGAAAACAGTGACTGGTACATGGAAAGCACTTGACAAATGGCACCTTTAGATGAAGAGTGGTGACTGCATCCATGATTATCCTCCAGGGGTGCCTTCGCCAGGGGCCAGGAGATAAGGCTCAAGGTCTTGGAGGCTCCACACCCTCTGATCTGCAGATTCTGAGCTGCCCTCTGTCTGGCAATTCTTCTCTGGCTCCTGAGCTTTGAGGGGCAGGGCTTCAGGTTCCTTGGTGGAGGCTGTACCCTGCATGGAGTCCCTGCAGGCAAGCTCTCCCAGCACTCTGCGGGACGGGTCCTGAGTTCCTCCAGCTGCACCTCCTAGTGGTTGTGGTCCAAAACAGGCTCCTCATTTCCCATGTTCCCTGCTTTGTCTCCACTGTAGTCCCAGGCCCTTCAGTCCCTTCACTGATTCTTTTCATTTTTCTAACTCAAGGCAGCTAAGGAAATTTCAGACCTTCATTTGCTGTCATTCTGTTAAGTCACACTGTGACCTTGGGGAATAGTTAACATGTGTGTAATACATGTTCTGGGTTCGGTTCCAGGAAGGCAGTGACTTTGACTCTTCTCTCAGACTAGAAGTACCTAGAAAGTAGGGATTATTTCTTCCCATTCAGACTGGGGCTCCCTGAGGACGGGGCTGTGTCTCCCTCAGAGTGGGGCTCCCTGAGGCAGGGCTGTGTCTCCCCTCAGACTGGGGCTCCCTGTGGACAGAACCGGCCCCCCACTCACCCTGGGAGCTGCTGGAGCACCTGGCTCTCTCCTCGAGGTTTGCCCAGGCCTCACCCCTCAGGCAGGAGCCTCTGAGCCTTTCCGGGTCTCCTGCTCTGCCTCTGCTTGAAGCAGAACCTCCGGTGACTGGTCACATGCAGCTGGCCATTGACCATGAACTTCTTTATTTCCATCTCCCCACCTGACTCCATACTGGGCCTGCACAGTGTCTTTCTAACATTCTCACTCAGGCTGGACCCATTGGCTTCTGCATCGCTGAGCCAGCTGCAATACCAGGTGACCTCCTTCTCCTTGTCTTTCTTACTGTCCCCTTTCCCTAATCGAATTATTTTTTCTCTGCATTGTGCACATCAAAGGAAGCTTTGGCTGACCTGGGTTCTCTACACTCACTCAAAACACTCTGAGAACAGTGATGAGATGGGCATAATAAGAGTCTCAGTGCATTGTCAGCAAATGTGGGGCCTGCACCCCTTCCTGTTCTCCTTCCTCCCCACCTGCACCTCCCACCAATGTAGACTGTGCAGCTAAGCAGTTAACAGACAGATCAACCTGGGTCAGCTGGAGGGCAGGAGGAGGGTGCCTGGCTCATAGTCCCACCCCCGGCCAAGGATGTGTCTGGATGGGGAGGAGAGGTAAGTGGTGGTTAATGGGGTCATGTCAAAGCCATTTTCCAACAGGCTGCAGTGGGGATGTCTCCTGACCCCAGGCGGGTTTCCAACCACCCCCAAGGAACACCAAGGCAATGGCAGGGACAGTCCATACCCCACCCTTCCCTTCTCTTTGGAATTCTGGGTCCTGGTCACAGCCTAGGTTCCAGGCTGCTCTAAGCTCTCCCCAGGCATTCAGGACACAGCTGCCTGCCTAACTCAGGATGAGCAATCATAATAGTCATGATAATGATGGTAATCATCATGAAGCCTGGTTGTAAATGCTCAGAATGCCTCCCAAAGGGCATTCCCTTTCATCATCTCATTTGACAGGCAGGCGAGGTGGCTGAGACCCAGAGGGATCACAGGTTTATGATCCCATAACAAGGTGGCAGCCACTGAGGCTTCCCATGCTATAGAAACTCTCTCTTCTTGACCTTATCTTGCTTTCTGGGATGACTCCAAGACCCAAGGCTCGACCTGCAGCTGCCCAAGGAAGGTAAACTAGAGTGGTGATTAAAAGCCTGGGCTTTGTAGTCAGAAAGATCTCAGTCCAAGTCCCAGCTCTGCCACTATATCATGGGCCTGGGGGCAAGTGGTTCCAGCTGGTTCCAGCTTTCTGAGCCTCAGGCGCCTCATCTGTGAAATGAGATCCTGGTACTCATTGCCTAGGGATTTTCTAAGATGGGCGCGGGGCACCTGGCATTTAGGAAGTGCTCAGTAAGTGGTATCTGTCTTGGTCTTGGCCAAGAGGTCCCCTGTTCTAGACCACAGGCTATGGGTCACCTTGCCCAAAGACTGGGCCCAGAGACCTGGGGAGAGTGATGACCCTAGAAGGAAGGTGAGGAATGAGCGCCAACAATAATAATAGCAATACCTGATATGTGTCAGGCACCATCCTGAGCTCACTGTGTGTATTTTCTCAGCCAAGTCTCATAAAATCTTTATGAAATATTGTTATTATGAGGTCCATTTTCCAGAGGGGAAACTGAAGCACAGGACAGTTCCATATTTGTCCAGGGCCATAGAGCTGACTTCAGAGCCTGCACAGATCTTGTCCGCCTGCCGTTGCAGAGCCAGGTACTGCCAAAGCTACTATTTGAACTCTCCATAGAGTTGCTAGTCCATGGATCAGCAGTTGGGGGGAGTGGGGGGGTCTCAGGGTCTGGGGAGCCCTCTTGTGTTACATGGACATTTCCATGAAAATGTGCAATTCACATTTTCCTTGGGGGAGCTTTCACCATTTCTCATAAGAGTCCATGACCCCCAAAACGTGAGAACAACTCGTCTAGTTCATTGAGCCCATCTCACAGTGAGAGGATGGAGACCTAGCAGAAGTGACTGGTCACATAGCTGCTGGCAGAGCTAACACTGGGTCTCAGTGTTCCTGGCCCCCTGGAATGTTCGAAAGTGGTTCAGAGAACAGGCTCTGCCGTTCAGACTGCCTGGTCCACCACTGACCAGCTGTGTCCCTGTGGGCAAGCTACTTAGTCTCTCTGTCCCTAAGTTTTCTCATGTAGAAAGTGGAAGGGAAGTTGTAACAGTGCCTATGACATGAGAATTAAATGGCTAGTCCATGTGAAGAACTTGGAGCAATGCCTGAGGAATTCCGAGTGTCCGGTGAATTTGGCACACTTGGCCCTTCATCACGCCAGTGTGGTATCATTAACTGTAATGATGCCACGCTGCTCCAGCCTCCACCTTGCAGTGTGGCCACAGGTAGAGACCTTCCCTCTCTTTCCTTGGTCCAGGCTGTGCTTAGGTCCACCTGAGCTTTTAATCCCTCCTTTCCTCCACAGCATGCTTCTCAGGAGTTTTCTGTGGGTGCAATACTTGTTTGTCAAGTCTCCTCTATCAGGATGTGAAGTTCCCACATCTAAGGGCTACTTCTGCCTTTATTTTGTGTCCAAAGCAGGGATGTTCTGGCCTCTGCTTCCCAGGGCATTTGGTACAGGCGAGCTGACCTGACTGAGTCTAGGAAGTTGTACCTCACTTTGGTGGGGGTGAGAGGTAGGAGGAGAGCTTTTTTTTTGGTTTTAATCAATAGCCAGTAATGGTCAGAAAAGACTACTTGAGGGTCCCTGAAAGAAATTGAATTCTCTCTCTGTCTTTCCCTCTCTCTCTTTCTCTCTCTCTTTCAAGTGTGTGTGTGTGTGTGTGTGTGTGTGTGTGTGTGTGTGTTTTGAGCAAGAGAGGAGTAAAGTAGAAAACATCCCACTCATATACTTTTTAGAGCAGGGAACAGATTTTTAAAAATTCAATTGGTACATAAAGTAATAGAAAATGTATTTTGGTTCTGTATTTCTTCCAGTCAAGGGAAAGAAAAAGAAAAGACTAAAGAGATAGAGAAAAAGAGACAGAGAGAGAAAGAGAGACAGAGAGACAGAGAGACAGAGACAGAGGCAGAGACATAGAGACAGACAGAGAGAAAACAAAACAAAATAAAATACTCAATGGGTAAAACAAGTAAATGTTCACCAAGACACCCCAAGAAGCCCTGGGAAACGTTCTCATCCTGTGGGAATTTAACACTGTGCCACTTAACACCTTACAGTTGGCCGTTGCATTTTTACAACCACAGGCAGCCTGTCACTTCTTGGTACTTGACCCATAGTCCAGGTGAACTAAGCTACGGATGTGATGAAGCCTGAAGGCTGGAGGCCTTCATTATTGTCTTGCTGTTATTATCATTGTATTGTGTTCAGTACCCACCTGCTGGGGGCTCAAGGTACAAAATTGACAGGGTTCCGCCCTTAATGAGCTCCCATCCCAGTTGGAGAGGCAGACATGTAAATAATGATTATAATAAAAGTCAGGCTGTTATAATTACTGTAATAAAAGTTCAGAAAAAGTGCACGGAGGAGAGATTAATTAATTCTGACTGGGAAATCCGGAACTGCTTTGTAAGGAATAACTGATGAGGCATCTTGGAGGAGGTACAGGATTTCCGTAGGCAGGGCAGGCAGAGGCAGCGGAGGTGGGATGGTTTTTGCATCAGACAACTTGGATTTAATCTTCAACTATGCCACTTCCTGGCTGTGTGGCTTTGGGTTGGTGACTTAACTTCTCTGAGCCTTCATCTATGAAATGAGAATAATGGTGTCCCACTACATATCTCATAGGGCTATTGTATCAAAAGATAAAGCACATGACATTGTTTTGTAAAATATAAATTGAACAAATATAAAACAAATAGCTATTAGGGGGCATGTGATTACTATATGGGTGAGTGTGACCACTAGGTCCATTATATTCCTATACTGTGTGGAAGTCCATTCTAGCCATCTCTGGGATATGATGACCCCAAGTAGGACTAGACTGCCACCTGCCTAAAACTGTCTCCACAGGAGAAAGAATTTCAGGCAAAGGGGAAGGCAGCTCCAACTGCCTGATACATAGTGGGCCCACGGTAAGGCTTGAGAGAGCCTGCAGCTGTGTGCTGTGCAGATGTCCCTGGTGTGGGTTCACTAGTCAAACTTCAGGAGATGAGATTGGAAAGGTAGGTGGGGTTAGAATGCAAACTGAGCTTCCATATATGCAGGAACTGTGCGGACACCTGAAGAATTCCTGCATGGAGACTCGGGAGATTGCCCTTGCCTCCAAGATGTTCACAGATCCCAGCACGGAGACTGCTTTAGGTGCCAGGGGCTAGTGGGGTTCTTGGACAGAAAGTGGCACTGATGGGTTGTGTCAGGGCATCTTACTGGAATGTAGATGATAGAATAGGGAACAGTGGCCAATACAGGCTTGTAGGGAAGGACATTTGTATGTGACAGCTCACACAGAAGATAAGGAGGGGGCAGTGGTAGTGGAGATGGAGAAGCTATGGATTAAAAAAACTATTGTATAAGTAGAATCAGCAGGAACTGAAGACCATGGGAATCGGCCTCATAAACAAAAACTGGCACACAGATAAGACAGCCACAAATGCTGCTAGCAGAGGGAGGGAGGGGGCAACGAATCAAAAACAGCTCCAAGGGCAACTGAAATTCTGCTCCACTGCTGGAGGGAGGATCTGGGAGACAGACACTCTCAGAAGACCATTGGGTAGAATTGACTACAGCTATCTTGAGGCATACTTTGTGACCCTCCTAAACACAGAGGAAATGTAAACATATGCCCCGGCAAGATGTGTTCCTGGGCGTTCAGAGTGCACCATTCATAATAGCCTGGACTGGAGACTCAGAAATGCTCATCAGCCATGGAGACAAGCAGTCAATCATGATGTGCTCACATCAATAAATACTACACAGCAACAGTCATGAACAACCGAAAGTTATGTTGCATGTTCTTTGAGAATCTCATGAACATATGAAAACAGCCAGGCATCAAAGACTAAATATTGTAGGATTCCATTTATGTAAATTACAAATCAGATGGCCTATCTGTGGTATTAGAAGTCAGAAAAGCAGTTGCCCAGTTCGGGGAGCAACCAGAAGGAGCATGAGGGATGAGTTTTGTTCTGTTTCTCTATCTGAGTGCTGGTTACATGGTCTGTTTATTTGGTGCAAATTTATTGAGCTTATAATATGCATGCTTTTTTGGATGCATCTGGTATTTCAACAAACATGCTTTTTTAAATGTTCCCTTTCTCCCTTCCAAAAATGGCTCCAAGGATTGTCGCTTGGTGCAGACAGGCAAACAGTGTTGACAGTTAGTTACCCAGACCAGGAAGGCAAAGGGAGAAGCAGCATATGAAGCAGCAAAGAATTTGCTTTGGATGAGGCCAAGGTGCCTGTTAGACAGTCAAGGGCAGGTGTGAACTTGGCACTCCGAAGTGAGTGTGAGGAGCTTGGACCAGGCCTGGTAGAAGCATAGAACTGAGGGCCATCAGTAGAGCGGGCATTGTGGAGCAGGGGGCAGGTCCCCCACGTGGAGTGTGGAGAGTGAAGAGAGCAATGGGTGCTGGGGGTGACGGGTCCTGGGGAGAACCAGGGTTCAGGGGCAAGCAGAGGGGCAATCCTCTGAGGAAGTTGGGAAAGGGGTGATCAGAGAGAGGACAAACTCAGGAAGAACAGAGCGTTATAGAGATCATGGCCAACAGGGCCATATGTTGCAGAGAGGCCAAGCATGGTCATTTTGACAATCACCACCACTGCTGCTGTTATGGCTTTCTTCCATGTCTTTTCTGTCTCAATGAGCTACTATTCAGTTACTCTTTCCTATCCTGAACCTCACCATTCACGCTTACCATAACTTGGGCCCTTGTTCATTTCTGGAACTGCGTGTGAGCCAAGACTTTCCTATCCCAGGCCTGTGCAATTGATTGCCCTGATCTGAATGTAGAGCATTCTTCCCTGTTAGACTTCACCTTCTATCTTTCTAAGCCACAGGGGAAAGTAGAGAAGAATGAGGTTTCCCCGAGCAGGCCTGTATGCTTGGGTGGCACAGAGTCCAGAGGATGGGTGGAACAGACAGCAGGCATTGCAAAGAGAGGGCGTCTGTCTCTGCTTCATTCCTTCTGCGACGACTCTCTCTGGGCCTGCATTTCCCCTTGCTTAAAGTGTGAGTGTTACCTAACACATTCACCCATAGGGGCCACCTGTAACTTCTAGCTGGAGAAAAGTGGAAGGTTTGTAAGCAAATGAAAATCTGTGTTTCTATTTGGGTATCTGCAATGTGAAATGAGGACGTTTAAAAACAAGAATCCTTCAAATTAGCATAATAATAATAGCTCCTGTTTATTGATCCTTACAGTGTGCCAGGCACTAGGCTGAGCATGCACTTTTGTGATCCGGTTGAATTGTCACATCCACCCTGTGGGGGTTATGCAATTATGACTCCTACTTAATGGCTGGGGAAATTGAGGCACAGAGAGTGTCAGTACCTTGGCTGAAGTGTCTCAGCTAATAAGCAACAGAGCTGGGATTTGAACCCAGACAGCTCCAAGTGTCTGCAATGAAATGTGACTATTGATTTGAATACAGGGAGTGGTGGCAGAAAACTATGCATAATCTAAATCCACAGACAGTCCATAGGCTCTTTATTTTGGGTTTAGAATGCCCTACTTGATGGCTTGGCAGCAGATTTATTTACTTTCTATATTCCATTTGATTTAAGCAAATATTAAGATGAGTTACTTTTCCCTTAAGCCCACATTGACCACCTGCAGGAAACAGTGTGGATAGCATGGTAGGCAGTTTGGTCCACAAATTTAAGTAAGCAATAAATATCACATTTTCTTTATTTTGTTTGCACTGCCATGAAACTGACCCTGAACCCCAAACCTCCTACTGAGTTGGTGGGAAATTCCGTTTCTGTCATGACTGGGACTTTCCCTTCCCATTCAGTCCAGGGTTATGCAAAGGTCCTGGGGTCCTTTGAAGCGCTGGCTGACCTCTCACAGCCTCGCAGTGACTTCAGAGCTGCCCTGCTCTCTCTGCTTCTTCCAGATACCTCAAATTATTTCCTCCCGAGCTTAGGCTTGTGTACAGAACAGGAGGGGCAGTGACCTTAAGCATCTTTCATTTTCCACCCTGAGGCCTGGAAAATAGAAAAGGGCAATAGGGAGGATCAGGACAAATTAGTGTGTGTGAGTCTGTGGGGAGCCCCTGCCTGCTAGAGAAGCAGGAGCCACCCAGGCAGTGCCTTCCCCAAACGTGTAAATAAACTGAGCCCAGAATGTGTCCTGGGGTGGCAGGAATGGGGCTAGCAGTGGGACTAGTTGGAGCAACCAATCTAAAAGGCTTCTTGGAGAATCCATGGGGACCCGGGGTGAAGATCAGAAAGCCCAGAATATCCTCTGTGCCCTAGAAAGGGAGAAAGAAGGAATATAGACAGTCCCCAACTTAGGATGTTTCAACTTAGGATTTCTGACTTTACAATGATGCGAAGGCAATTAGCATTCAGTACACTCCTAGACTTATGATCTAGTGATGTCCAGAAAAACCTAAACCCATCGTAAGTTGAAAGTATTGTAAACATTCAACTTATGTAACCTCATCGGAAGTCAAAAAGCATCTGTATTAGTCTGAGCCTGGAGCCCTTAGCCTATGGAAGGAGCCGAGTCACTGGCTTTGACTCCCTCCACTTTGACTCCCTTAGCTAAGAGGGTCCACCTTAGCTCCACAAGGACAGCCGTGGCAGGGCAGGCCAGAGGCATCAGGACCTAAGCACTGGAGGGCTTTAGGGTCAGCTGGTTCAGCCTCCTCCTCATGTTAAAGAGCTGGGAGAAGGTGTGCCTCTCATTGAGCGACTCTGTTGAGTGCTCCCTCTTCCCATGGGCATCTACAGTGTCTGAGAATCCAGGCATTCCTGTGTTCAGTCTGGTTGCCCTCACCCAGCTATGCAGCTCCACTTCGGCAGGCCGCCAGTGGGGACAAAGGGCTGGAGTTAGGGAGGACATGTGATTTTAACCTTGTTAGAGTTCAAAGGTTGACAACAGAAAATTGAAGCTTTAAGATAGCTCTTTTGTAAAAACTAGGATATGCTGTAGGTGTTAAGTGTTTAAACTCTGGCGGAAGAAACCTGGGTTTGAATTCCCACTCTGGCCTTAATCAGCGGTGTGACCTTGGGCAGTTTACTTAACCTCTCTGAGACTCCATTTTCTCCTCCATAAATGGGAATAATAACAGTCACTTTGTAGGATTACATGAGTTTGTGTGTTTAAGACATTTTCAGTTAGTAACACATATGATAATAGCTATTATAGCTATGATTATTGTTATGTCTGGCAGCAGGAGGTTCCTCTGTCTCCTCTATATGACCCAAACTACAAACTGAACTTGGCCCCAAATTTAGAACATAAGCACGTAGTTTCAAATGCCTTAAGGTGCTCTTGCTTTAATTATTTTAAAAACAGCATCATTAACTGATCATTAATGAGTAAAATAATTTATGTCATATGATTTTCAAGCCCTGGTCAAATATACTATGGTACCTTTCTCCTTAATCACTCACATAATCACTCTATCTTTAGCCAAGTGTATATTGGCTCTCTTTCTCAATGATTTAAAATCTAGCTTCCTTCTTATATTTCAGGCTGACATATCATCTACAGTGGCTCCAGGTCTCTTCCTTCCATGACTGGAGACTTTGAGGTCCTAGAAAGAATCCAGGTTTTGTGGTCAGAAAGATCTGAACTGAAATTCTGGTCCGACCCCTTGCTGTCTGTGTAGCTTTAGGTAAATATCTTGTCTCACTGTGTATGTCACATCATAGGCTACAGGGTCAATTGAATAAAATAAAATCTACCAAGCCCCTGGTGCAGAGTAAGCATCATTGAACATTAGTCCTTGCCTTGTCCCTTTTCATTTTTCTTTCTCTGGCATGACTTTGGCTGTCCTGGAATGCATTGTTAGAGAAGGCCCTGGAAGAGGAGGCTCAGGCTGTCTGCAGCTCTAGGCCTTCCTTCAGGTAGCTTCTGGAAAATAGCTCTCCAGTGCAAAGAAGATCAATTTCCATTTTACTTTCAAGGATGAGTGAAATGCCACTCTTCCAAAGGAATTTCTAGAAATGCTGCTATTCGATATCACTGGTCTCACATTTAGGGGCCCTTCCCTTAGCCACATTGGAGTTACGGCCTTGTCTCACTGAGATCCTGATGACAAATCCATATTTATGCCCTCAGTGCAACCTTTTAGTCCTACTCAGTCCCTTTGAGGTCACCCAGTTCAGGCAATGATCAGTCCTGCCCAAAGGAATGATCCCAGGAGCCAGGCAGACCTGGCTTTGAATCTGGCTGCACCGTCTCCCAGGTATGTGATGCTGTGAGCTTGGCTTCACTTCCCCAGATCTCAAACTTTTCATCTTAAAATGTGGGCTAAGGGTGGTTCCTGAGGCTTGGGTTAATGAGGTGGTGGGTGTGCAGGGACAAGAGATGCAGGAGGAGTTTGAGTGGGGAGGGACCGGATGGCCACATCCAAAAGGAAGCCACCCACTGGCCACACAGGTCTGCAGAGTGCTGGGCACATTGCTGAGCTCTTGGGGAAGAGCTGGCCTAGCCCTCACAGTGGACAGAGAGTGGGAGTCAGATATGGAGAATGCTGCCATGGTGGAACCCCCAGAGCTCCAGGGCAGGGGAGAGAACGTCATGCAGGTGTGGAGAACTGGTGTGCTAAAGACAGGTACTCATTCACAAGATCCAGGTAAGGTCACGCCTTCCTGGGAGCATAAGCTAGGAAACCAGTACAGGGCAGATCAGAACTGGGAGGAGGCAAAAGTTGTCATTTTCTGTCTTTGCTAAGGTTTGTTCTGTGGCCTCTTCAAGGAAAACTATAGAAGAGACTGAATTTGGCACTTGGAATGGTGACGCATACACACACCATTGCTTGAAATGACCTTTTTGCTCACTGGGTAAAGGCCAAACTGTAGTGTTGTGACTAGCTGCGGAGCACGCTGGCTGGATTCAACCCCGGTTCTGCTAGCTGATAAAAGAAGCCTTGTTTTTGTCTTCTGTGGAATGGGGACAGCAGTAGCACTCTTGTTGCAGAGATTATTGTGCAAATTACGCAGTCAGCCCATAAGCAGTGCTCAGAACTGTGCCCTGCACATAGCCGAGAAAACACTACTGCTATTAAACCAGGAAAATCTTGAGAACAGGAACCTTTTCTCTCTCCCTCTTCCCAGCACCGATCTCGTGCCTTCGTGTTCAGTGTGTATTTGCTAAAGATGGTGACGTGTAGCTGGCCCTCTGAGGGGGGTTCATTTCAGCACAGAAATGGAAAGGGGAGAACTTGGGGGAAGACTGTGTCTTACGTGGTCTTGCGGGCAAAGTTCCAGGGCCAGAAAAAAGCAAGATTGTCCAGGTTGTAAGAGCCAGGGCTGGTGGTTGGAGGCCTGGCAGTGTGGGAGGGCTGGAGCAGCGAGGCTTCCTGGAGGAGGTGAGATGGGTCAACTGACCTAAGGGGAAAGTAAGAAGAAAGTATGGCAAGAGGAAGGAGGCACCACAGGAACTGAGGGGCAAAGGGTGGGCTCGGAGCATGTGTAAATCTCAGTTCTCTTTGCTCATAAAGTTCTGCAGATGCATATTTCTGTCAGTTTTATATTAACATTTACATAACAAGTAGATTGAGAGATTGCATTATTTACATATATATGGGAGGCCGGCTGGAACTGGGGATCCTCAAGTCTGTACATGACGTTTCATTGATTAATAAATTAGACACTTACAGATCAGGCACAAATCAAATCCATCCATTTCAGGCACCCATCAGGTGCAAATGAATGTAAATTGGCAGCTTCATTTGCATAGGGAAAGCAAACCATTTAGTTGTCATTTGTCATATGCACCCTTGAGAGGCTGTAATTTGCCTAGTAGAGCCAGCCTGCAGCAGGGCCGCCCTTGCTTTCTGGGGTGATTTCTGAGACTGCTCCAGCCAGGGGCGAGCAAGGGAGTGGCCTATGGAATGCTCCTGTGTCCTGCTCCCCTCCTGGAATCACCAGCATGGCCCCAGAGGGGGACAGCAGAGCCAGGGCCAGGTGGGGACACTGCCTTGTCACAGAATCAGAAATGAGGTGGCCAGGACTGGAAAATCTTCAAATCCATCTATGCCCACTTTGTATTTTATAGATGATGAGCTGAAGTTCAGAGAGGGGAAGTGACTCTCCTAAAGTCACACAGCAATGTAGCTTCAGTGCCAAGACTAGAACCGAGTTCTCCTTACTCCAAGCTCATTACCTTTGCCACGATGCCCTAGTGGTTCTTTCTAACAGGAAATAAAGGAGCAGGGTATGGAGCTTCTAGAATCACTGACCCCTGACTCAGTTTCCTGAGGCAAGGGTTGGAGGTCAGGGGGTGGAGGTTCAGGATAAGAATGAGTTGTTACTATTAGGATCCAGTTTTCTATAAGCTTCTGTCATGGCCTGATTTCAGGGCACCTGGAGGGCCCCTCTCTCCTGGGCATATTGACCACCATCCCTTTGGCCCCCCAAGTTCCTTTAAAGACAAAAAGAAAGGTCTTTTGTTATACATGAAAAGACACAGTTTAAAGGCTGGTTGGGTTGCCAACAGAGTGAGTGAGAAGGAGCGCCTCGGCCCCCTGCCTGCGTGAGCCAGGCCTCCAAGAAAGATGGAAAAGGTACAAAAATGGGACCCCAGAGGCCAAGCTTTATTTACTTCACAGCCCAAGAGAGACAAGAGATGAGGGCTGCAGGGGTGTGTGTGTGAGTGAGAGAGTGTGTGTGTGTCAGTATGTGTCAGTGTGTGTTAGAGGTGTGGCGGGTCGGGGGTGGGGAAGCAGTAAGTCAGGGTAGGGGGAGGTGGCTGACCTTCAACATCAGTTATCAGGGCAGGCAGGCATCCAGGTGATCTGTCCTGGTTATGGGACACCTGTTAGAGGCAGGGGGATAACTGAATTGACTCTGATGGGATTTTTCTACATTTTAAAATCTGCATGTGTTTTGTTTTGGTAGGTTAGGGCATCAAATTGGGATGTAGTTTTATTTTATTTTTAAAATCTCTCCCTCTGTGTGCTAAGAAAACAGGCTAATGGGGACATTATCCCCCAGTTTTCCTGTACCCCTGTTGTTCACGATGATGAGGAAAACCACATTTAATTTTCCTGCAACTGCTGGGAAGTGCCATGCAGCTTGGGCTGGCCTCCCCAGCCCCTCCCCCTGCCCTTCCCAGCCCCTCCCCCTGCCCTTCTATGCAGACACAGTTGGATGGCAATTGGAAGAGTACTGGCCCTGGGAAGACCCAGCTTTGAGCCTCAGGTTGTGTCTAATCATCTCTCTGTCCTTGGGCCAGTCAACTCACCTGTTCGTGCTGCCACAGAGACAGAGGTACAGGAGCTCAAGCACAGACCTGGGGTTGGCATTCCTGCTCTGCTGCAGGCTGGTTTGGCATGGCCACGGGACTGCCTTGTGGCCTTGGGTGTCTTAAACTTTCATAGCAAGCTTCATGTGTTCATGAGTAAACAGGGCCAATGATAGAACTTATTTCTGGTGCAATCATACATGCCCATGCATGCCAGTTCCTGCCCAGGGGCTGGCACAGAGTAGGTGCTCAGTGGATCAAAGGTATTATTCGTAGCCTCTGTGGTAAAGTCTTGTTATGCCTTCTTCATAGGGCTATCGGTAAAAAAAAAAAAAAAAAAAAAAAAAAAAAATCACCTAAAGATGCTTTAGGGTCCTAAAGCACTAAAAACCAACCAAACAAAAGAGAGTTGGCTTTATGATTAAATTATCCTTCACCACTTTGATCAATGGGGCTGAGGCCCATGGTTAGGGCATGGTGGGGCGTGGGTGGGGTGTGCCCCATTTTGCGTGAAACCCACTCTTGCTGAGTTAGGTGGGCGATGCATCAAGGGGCCTGTCTGCAAGAGCAAAACTGGAGGCCAGAGTCCTCCAGAAGGAGGACAAGGAGGGGTTCAAATTCACCATGCATTGAGCATTTATTGAGCACCTGCTGTGTGGCAAGGACCTTCACAGGTGTTATCTCATTTGGTCCAGTGACACATAGTCTGTTGTTCCTCTGGGCTTCAAATGGCCCCTTGAGCCCCTGAAGCAACAGGACCATGGTAACAAAAGGAAAGCTCACACCTACTGAGACACCTTGCGTCACAGTGCATGTTTGCACACTCAGTCTCCCTAACGCCATTCTGATGGCAGATTTGCTAACTTGGCCTAGTGCCTGTGTGTCTGTCCTTCCCTTATTACACACTCATCTTCCAGACAGGTGCATTCACATCCACTGCAGGCCCTGCACCTTACACTCAGCCCCAGTTTCTGCCCATCATACAGAGGACAGAGTCACAAACATGACACAGGCTCAGGGAAGGCATGAGTGGCTGTCATCCCTGATTCCCCCTTTTTTCTTTGAAACCCCTGTGGGGTCCCACATAGATGCAGCTGCCTGGTTCTAAGCTAGTGCTTTTCAAACTGTTGTGCTCCCAGGATTCCTCCATAGGAAGGGGCTCTGGAGTAGGGGGCAGGCCAGGGCCCTGGAATTCTGGTGCAGGTGGGAAACAGCAAAATTTATACGGTCCCCTCGCTAGCCCCTGCTTGCTGGTTCCATCCCAGCTACCTTTGGGAAAGCTGGTCACCTGTTGTTAGGGGCAGGAGATGAGGGAGGTGCAGAGAGCAGTTGTCCTCTTAGAGCTGTGTGCAGACAGGAACCTCTCTGCCTCACCTACCCACTTCCCCCAGGAATCCACACCCTCATACCACCCTCCAGCTTCCCTTGAGATTGGGGCAAGCCTGTGCCTTGGGTAGTGGGCTGGGGCTCTGGGCCTTTTCTTCTTGCAAAATTGGCTGGATGCTCAGCCTTCTCACTCCATGGGGTCCCACTCAAATACCCCAACTTCCTTGCTGTTGTCCACCTTCCTGGGCACCCTCTAGGCTGAGCCTGACTTTTATCTGAATTTGTCCCTCCTCCCAGAATGGCAGTCAGTAGGCCTTCGGTCCCACATTGCCATTTAGTTTTTCCATGTTTTGCCCTGCACTGGTGCAAGCTTGCCCCAGCTCCCTGCCACCTCTTCCCAGCAGGACCTCCCAGTATGCCTTGCAGCTGGCAGCACCACATACAACGTCTGGCTCTGTGAGGACCCATCCTCTCTGGCTGAGCAGCACCATAGTACCCCATAAAGACTCCCTGTCTTCCTTCTGGTCTTGGAGGCATGGCCTTAATCCTTGAGAAACTCTTCAGCCAGCCCATTCCACCAATGAAAATCCAAGATCATGGAAGAATGGAGCATACCTTTTGCTTCAAAGCCCACAGCTAGTTCAGTCTCAAAAAGCGGCCATGTTTGGGAAGGGGTGCAGCACTGCTAGCAGCTCCCCCTGTGGTCTGTGTTCAGCTTCTCCCACCCCTCCCTTTTCATCGGTGTCTTTATTCTGTTCTATTCCAAGATGTAGGAGATTGATAAGAGGAGGTGGGTCAAGGTGACATTGCCAGCACGTGATACAGTACAGCCCAGCCTGAGCTAGAACCTCCTTGTCTGGACACCTCCCTGCCTCCTCCCCTCCCTGCCACACAGTCCCTCAAGGGCAGAGCCCAGAGCATCTTGTTGCTGTTTAGTGAATCTTGAGTGATAATTATATGTATAAAATCCGACTGCTTAAACCGTTCAGGATTAATCGGCACCAACATACAGAAATGTGCCTTGCCTGTAATTAGTGATTCTCTGGCAAATGCATTTTGCAAAATAGCACTTGATTTTAATAACAGGCTGTTAGTATTAGAAAGCTCTGCACATTTTGTTTCAAATTGTCAAAGAAGCCCCCTCTCTCTGGCTCCTCCAGCCCCCAGCCTCAGCTTACAGGTGCCTGGGACTCTGAGATCCTGTCTGGGAAGGGAGTGTCAGTGCCCTTTCTAAACCTCTCCCCACTCCAATCCCCATGCCTTCAGGGCACCTCAAGAGTGCCTTGCTGCTGGCAGGTTCCATGTGAGAATCCCAATCCTTCTCATCCTCCCTTCTTTTCCCCTCCTCCTCTCTTCTCTCCTCTATTCAACATACTATGGCATACACACTTTTCCTGTCCCCTCCTCTTCTCTCTCTCTTTCCTTCCGGCTGCACAGTCCTCTCTGACTCTAGTTGTGTCTCTCTAGCGACGCGGCCCCATGCCTTTGAAGGAAGGACTTGGAGTCTGCCTCCCTGCACTCTTCACTGTCTCTCTAGTGGCTTCTCCCGCCTGGCCTGTTTGTTCCAGTGCGTATGTCATTGGTCCTCTAACTCTCAGCTTGCCTGGGACAGAACTGAGATAATGTTTCCACCCTGCTCCTGGCTGCTGGGCGCGGCCCCTCTGAGGGTGCTCGGTGGTGATATGGGGTTGGCAGCCTCCCCAGCTACATTCACGGCCAAGCATCTGCCATGGAGACCACGAAGGGGCTGGCTAGCCAGGCCTGGGCAGAGGGGGACAGGTCTAAGGTAGGGCAACTCTCCACCCCTCCCTCCCCCTACTGCAGCCTGCACCAGCCTCCAGAGGCCCCTCTCCTTGCTGGCACCACTGTGTCAGCACAAAGCCAGCTGCTCGTCCTCCTCAGATTGTATGAACAGCAGTGGCCATTAGAGGGGACCTTCCCGATGAGGATGGGAGTTATAGGAAAGGACAGGAAGGCCACAATGCTTCTGGCTATGCTGGACAGATGGCTGGATGGTTAGGTGGGACCCAAGTCTGCAAGGGAGGGGGCTTCTCCTGCAATGGGAGCATAAACCTAGCATTATCTCTTCTTTCCCTGCTCCAGCCCCAGAAATGACCCGCCTCCCATGTTCCATAACCTCCCACCCAGTTGCCCAGGCTGGAGCCCAGAGTGTCATGCTTGCTCCCCCTCCCTGCACCTCCTTCTACAGCCCACATCCTTAAGCTGCCTGTCCTGTCTCCCAGCCCCTCTGCACTCCTCCACCCCTTCATCACTGCCGTACGCCAGAACTGCAGCATCATCTCCTCTCGGGCTGGGCTTCCTGTTTCCTGCTACAGTTCTCATGGTTGCCAGAGGATTCTGCCTAAAACCAAAGCTGAGTCTCATCACTAGATTACGTAAAATCCTTAAGGGGTCTCTGTCACCTCAGAGTCAGGCCTGAACTGCTTCCCCTGGCCCTGCCTACCTTTGCAGCCTCATCACGCACTCTGTCCTACACACCCTTTATATCCATATATGCCACATTGTCCCAGCACCACTCTGCTCTTGTATATGCTGTTCCCTCTGCCTGAAATGCCCTTCCATGCCCCTTCTCCTCTGAGCAATTCTAATGCCTAGGATAGTGCTTGGCACATGGCATGTGCACACTTCAAGTTTATTGAATGAATGATAAATCTTACTCATCATTTCATCCCCAGCTCAAATGCCTCCTTCTCTGGGAACGCTTTCTTTCCTGCCCTATAGACTCACCTGCTTCCCCTGTTTGTTATCAGGGCACCTTTTACACATCACCTTTCCTATCCCTGTTGTATTCGTCAGCACTTGCTGAGTAATAAGCCACACTAAAACTCAATGGCTGAAAGCAGCAATGCTGAGCCTGGTTTGACTGGAGAGGCTGTGCACATAGCTCTGCTCTCATGGCTGTCATCTTACCCCTGAGACCAGCAGGCTGGGCCACGCATATTCTTGTCATGGCCATAGTGGAGGCACAAGAAGACAAGAGGACCCTATGAGGTCTCTTGAATCTGAAGCCTGGAACTGTACATCACTTCCACTTTATTCTGTTGGCCAATGCAAGTCATATGGTCAAATCCAAAGTCAAGGGGTGTATTCTCTGCCCCTCACGGGAGGAACTTCAAAGTCTTATAGAAAAGAATGTGAATACAGGGTTGGATGGGCAGATTTGGGACCATACCAGTGTTTGAGTCCTAGTCCCACTGCTTATCAATATAGACCAGTCATTCCACCTCTCTGAAGCTCAGTTTTCTTGATTTTAAAGGGTTGTTATGAGATTTAGAATCATTCATTCACTCCCTCAGCACATATTGTATTGATTACCTGCTGTGTGTTGGACACTGTTCTAAACTGAAAACACAGCTGTGAACAAAACTGATAATCTATGGTGAACACTGAGTTCAGTGTCTGGCTCAGGTAGTGAGTCCCCTAACTCTTTCCCTGACCCCTGCAGAAGGGGTGGTTCTCCTATGGTTAGCACCCCTGGGGTTTGCCCTGGTCATGCTCAGATCTGCCCTCTCTCTCCCCACTGCTCAGTTCAGCCCCCACTGAACGTGCTGAGCTCTCTGCTGCCCCCAGACTCTCCACTTCCATTTCCTCTGCCTGGAACCCCCTCGCCCACCCACCTTCACCGACTTGCTTCTGAGCCTGCTCCCCTGGCTCAGTTCAAGCATCACTTCTCTTGGGTAACATGCACCACAGTTTGTTATAATATGGTAAACCTTCCAGGGCAGAAGCCATGTCCTGTTCATTTTCATGCCCCTAGTGCTTGGAATACAGTAGGCACTCAATATGTGTATTGGTTGAATGACAATGAATGGATGACTAAGTGTATCCTGAATGATCTGTACTGGCTCAAGGAGGGGTTGTGTGGGAGCCATCAATGTAAGGACATTAGAAATGATGCTAGCCAGCTTTCCTGGGGCATTACTAGGTGCTTACCCTGGGCCAATGCTCTGAAGTGCACAGGACCAAGACCCCGCTCTGACTCACATCTATGGTCAGTAGATTTTCAAGGAGGGAGCAGCATAGGAGGTGAGCATGCAGGTCTGCAACCAGACCTCCCAAATTCAGATCCAGGCTCTACCATTCACTAAGCCGGGTGAGCTTGGCAACTTACTTAATCCTCTATACCTCAGTTTTCCCCTCTGGAAAGTGGGATCATAGTAGTATTTATTTCATAGAGGTGTTGGAAGAACTCATTGAACAAATATTTATTGGTCACCAGCTGGAGAGAGAGCAGGGAACAGAATAAAATTAGCATAGGATTAAATAAGATGTTACATGAAAAATGCTTAGTACAGGGCCAAGTTCATAGCATACAGTAAGTGTCCACAATGGTTCTTATTGTTGTCTAATTGAAGCCTATTATTTGACAGTGAAGAAACTGAGGCCCAGAGGGAGCTAGGCATTCACCCAAGGTCACACAGCAAATTAGAGACCAGACTGGGACTAGCATCCAGGTTTCCTGATGTTCAAGCCGTGCACAGGGCGTTTTATACTTCACCAACTACTTCTACTTGGAAAGGGGGTGAACTGGGAGATGAGGAGTCAGAGAAAGTGGGTGGGGAGCAGGAGGAAAACAGGCCTGATCTGCCCTTGGACCCCCTCTTAGCTCATGTGAACTTTGATTGAGTGATTCAGTCTCTGTTGTCATTGCCAAATTGTCCGTACTAATGGAGTTAATTCCAAAGGGCAGTTAATCCCATAAACTCTCTCCCCAGCTCTGCCACGTACACACTATGCCATCAAGTGTGTGTTGCTGGTGGGTGGGTGTGCGAGGAGAGGCTGCTAATTAACCCCCCTAATTAGGCTTTGCACAGACTGATACTGAAATAAGCCTGCCTTCTGCAATGCACATACACAGGTGTTAGGGAGGCATCGGGGCAGGGAATGCTGGTTAGCATGAAGGTTCCAAAATGAACGAGCAGGGAAATGGATAATCCACATGGAGGCCTGGCTCTGTGAGTTGAAGGAGGCTTAAGAACTTCTCTGCCTTTGTCCAGGGGCCACATCAGAGAGAAAGACTCTACAGCTTGCCCAGAGTCGAGCTTAAATGGAGCAGCATGATTTTTGTCTGAAAAGTCTGAGATGGGACCAGTGGAAAGGTGTGCATTTTAAGAAGGATTTGCTTCCCCATCTTGTGCCTTCTGTGTCTTGCAGCACGACCTGGCCCTCCACCTAGGAATCATACCTTCATCCCCCATACTCATAAGGTAGGGCTAATGTAGTTCTCACTCCCTGGTAATGTTCCTTCTACTTGGTACAGAGGTCTTTTGGAGACCATGTGTTAATTAAATTGAATGGATGTAGGTTGGGATTTCAGGCACTTGGTAATCTTTGGTGAGGGTAGGGGTGGGGAACGTACTGCAGCTAGGGATGAGGAGAGTGAAGCCAGTTACCTCATCAGAACCCTTGGGTGATCTAGTCCTTTTGCCACAGGAGGGCTGTTCTTTCCAGCAAGTGCTGATTTCTAGAATGGGAAAGTAAGCCCTATGCAGGCAGGGACTGTTTCTGCTTCATTCAGCAGTATATCCCAAGCACCTAGAACAGGGCCTAGTTCATAGTAGACACACAATAAAAAATAGCTATGGAAGGAATGGAGAGCTCTGCCCAGATGAGGATGAGACCTTCCTGGCCTTGGGGTCTTTTTCTGCCCCTTTCTTAGATGAGAATGAGCTCCATAGAGGGGAGGTGTATTTCTAAGGTGACATAGCAAGCAAGGCTCAGAATGGGGACCCACTCATCCTTGGCTGCTCCTGGCCACCCCATGATCTTCCAGGAACCTGGAGACTTGAGTGGGAACAGTGCATGTGTGGAGGGGGTGTGTGAGAGAGATAGCTGTGGCGGGAATGAGGTCAGGGAGGTGGGACTTTGCCAGCAAGTTGGTGGGCAGATGCTGGGGGAGAACCCATTTGGCAGGTAATTTTCTAATTAGCAAAGCAGGTGGCATCAACTAGAGATTCCTGCAAATTAAATCAGGTGACCCCTTCTCACCTTCTCACAGTGGCATGTGGGCCACCCTTCCCCAGCTGCCTTCAGATGGCTGAAAACTGCATCCTTTCTCTCCCCCAGCATCCTCATTCCTGTTTCCTTGTGGATGTCATGGTCTGCTGTGAAGTCTGCTTGGTGACCCGTCCAGACCTGACTTGGTATAAATGATTTTGTTGCAGAGAATAACAAAGTCTCAGTGTTTATTTGGCATCTGTTGGGATATCTGGAACCCTAAACAGAACGGAGGGGAGCTGGGGTCATGTCCCTTCTTTAATGATTGGGAAGACTGAGGCTTAGACTGTGCTGAGTCACTGCTCCCAGGTCACCCAGCCTGAAGGGGTTTCTTAGTCTGGGTTCCCCTAGAAGCAGGCTCTGAGACCAGAGTTTGAGTCTAAGTAATTTATTTGGGAGCTGGGCCCAGAAAACACAAATGGATGGTGAGACAAGCAGGAAGGCAGCCCACAAAGGGCAGGTTTTCAAGCCACCTATCCCTGGTGGCAACTGGAGCCTAATCCCCCTGGGAAACCATCAAGCCTCAGAATGGGACCACCTGAGGAGTGAGTGAGCAGGGGTATTTATACCTGTATGCTGAGGCAATGGTTGAAGACTTCTTTTTTTTTTTTTTTTTTTTTTGATATGGAGTCTCACTCTGCTGCCCAGGCTGGAGTGCAGTGGCACGATCTCGGCTCACTGCAACCTCCTCCTCCCTGGTTCAAGCAATTTCCCTGCCTCAGCCTCCCGAGTACCTGGGATTACAGTCACATGGCACCACGCCTGGCTAATTTTTTTTATATTTTTTAGTAGAGACGGGGTTTCACCACGTTGGCCAGGCTGGTCTTGAACTCCTGACCTCAGGCAATCCGCCCGCCTTGGCCTCCCAAAGTGCTGGGATTACAGGCGTGAGCCACCGCGCCCAGCCGGAATTCTTAGGTTAAGTGTGTGGAGTGTTAATTCCCTGGCAGCTTTGACCTACCATGTGGGCAGGTAGAGTGGCTTTGATGTGACAGAAGCCCTCAGGTGAAGGATGTAGGTACTGGCAGCTGGGAGCCAGGCACTGTCATGGAAAGGGCAAAGGGATCTGCAACACTGGGATTCAAACCCCCAACAGAGTGACCCTCAAGCTCACGCTTTTTATACCAAATCTCACTGAACCATGTATTCTGCTCATTTTGTCTCCTGGGTCTGCTGTTTTCAGGAACCAGGTCAGCACACAGTTTCCAATCTGGAGGTCTTTTCAACATGCAGTTGAGGATGGAGACGCTGGCCACAACATATATGACATTCCCCTGCCAGCCTCCCTCAGCATCCCTCTGGATCCCCTTCCCCCCTTTACTCAGAGTGTGTTCAGAAAAAGCACACTCATTTTAGCATGTGTCTGAGTGAGGCCAAATTAGGAAAGTAAGACTACAGTAAAAATAAACTCACTAAAGCATGCCAAAAATAAATGGCTTTTAGATTATCCACTGTTCTGGATTATGCTAACCCACTAGAGAGTGACCAGGACTGCTGCGTTCACCTGCTGCAGGCCAGGCAGTCTGGGAGCTGCCCAGGTGGCTGGCCCAGGGTGGTGGCTACTGCTGAGAAGTTCTAAAAATGGGGCCTCCAGCCAGGGGCAGCATAAGAGGGGGTGCTGCATAAGGAAAAAGAGATATACTTTAAGAAATGGGAACTGTTTGACAGCATTTTCCCCACTCTGCTGCTTCTCCAGGAAGC
The DNA here is from genome assembly GCF_000001405.40 of Homo sapiens. Taxonomy (NCBI): domain Eukaryota; kingdom Metazoa; phylum Chordata; class Mammalia; order Primates; family Hominidae; genus Homo; species Homo sapiens. Next base: position 40,514,812 of record NC_000006.12, on the reverse strand, counting down.
TAATAGGTATTATGAGGGTGGGAGAGAGAAATGAGAAGGGTTATATGGTCAAGTGATTTTGGAATTGGCTAAATCAAGAAATTTTGAAAATTGTAAAAGTCAAAAGCCAAAAGTTTATTTTTACTGCAGACCTTCTCAGATCCTTTACCTTTCTTTGGCACATAACAATGCTGATTTACCTAGTCACATGTAACATATGGCTGGGTGTGGTGGCTCACACCTGTAATCTCAGCACTTTGGGAGGCCAAGGCGGGCAGATCACCTGAGGTCAGGAGTTCAAGATCAGCTTGGTCAACATGGCAAAACCCTGTCTCTACTAAAAATACAAAAATTAGCTGGGTGTGGTGGTGCACGCATGTAATCCCAGCTACTCAGGAGGCTGAGGCAGGAGAATTGTTTGAACTTGAGAGGCAGAGGTTGCGGAGAGCTGAGATTGCACTACTGCATTCCAGCCTGGGCGACAGAGCAAGATTCCGTCTAGAAAAAAACAAAACAAACAAAAAAAACTCATATAACATATGTATTACATACATACACTATGTATAAAATACATGTGTGTTTGTGTTGTGGGGGGTCAAAACTATCTGGAGCATGGAACGCTTTCTTTCACATGGAGTTCTTAGGAATTGACAGAACACCCTGTAGAGCATTCCTTGGGAATGCTGTTCAGGATTTTTCCAGAGCTTTTCCATACCTGCCTCTCACTGGATCTTATTAAAACAGGATTATGTCACATCTTGGCTTCAAATCCACCAAGACTCCCCAGCCGGTTGGATAGTGCTGAGACATTTTAGCCTGGCATGGTGGTCCATCATGACATGGACACCTCCCTGCTCCCTTGTCCTCTCTGGCCAGGCCCCCTCCTGATAGCTCTCCAGGGTCACCCAGAGCCTTCAGACCCCCGAGACTTTGCACACACTGCTCCTTCTGCCGGAAGTGCTTCACTTGGTGGGCTCCCACTCACTTTTTAAGGTTCAGGCTGGATATCAGTTTTGGGAAGTTTCTCTTGATCTTGCCCTCATCTTGATGAGACCTTCCTGACTACTCTTAAAATCTCTACCCCTTCCCCTAGAGCTCCCTATTCCCCTTTTCTGCTTTATTTTTCTCCCTGGCACGTATCACCTTTGCACAGATTATATAGTTAACTTAATTGGTTTGTTCAGTGTGGTCTGTCGCCCGCCTCCGGAATGTCACACCATGAGGGTGGAGATCATTTTTCATTTTGTTCCCTGCTCACAGTGCCTGGCACCTAGTAGGTGTTCAAAAAATTGTTAAATGAGGCTGAGCATAGTGGCTCATGCCTCTAATCACAGCACTTTGGGAGGCTGAGGTGGGCGGATCACTTGACGTGAGGTGTTCGAGACCAGCATGGCCAACATGGTGAAACCCCGTCTCTACTAAAAACACAAAAATTAGCTGGACGTGGTGGCATGCACCTGTAATCCCAGCTACTTGGGAGGCTGAGGCAGGAGAGTTGCTTGAATCCGGGAGGCAGAGGTTGTAGTGAGCCAAGATCTCACCACTGCACTTCAGCCTGGGTGATGAGAGTGAGAACTTGTCTCAAAAAAAAAAAAAAAATTGTTAAATGAGGGCGTATTGTTAACTGCTCCTTCAATTGTTCTGCTATATTCCTTCAAATGAATAATTATTGAACACTCGAGCTTGCAGACAAATTATAGCTGCCACACCCTGCCTCCCCAGTATACTGGCTTCTCTAGGGCACTTGCTCTGGGCCCTACCTCTGCGTCCCAGCAGTTGACAAGCCCCAGCCACTAAGGACATGCTAAAGAAATGCCTGTTACAAGCATCAGGCCTGACGTTTATAAACAGAAAAGCCATGGCTCACCTTGGCTGAGCTGGAAGATAGGAGACTGAATTTTGTAGGCCCCTAACCCCATCCTGCCCTGGAGGTTCTCTGTATATTTCACTCTCATCTCCCAGGCTGGCTGTTTCCCCATCACTGGGGATATTAGCTGGAGTTGATTTCTTCCTGCTCAGAAAGTGGCAGTGATTTTCTCTCCCCAAGGGCTCAGCATAAAGGACGTGTGTCTCTGGCACCCTCCTGGTAGATTTTTCTTATCCCAGCATGGTTCCTAAAGTGGATCCAGGGATCTATGGTGCATTGTGGTGGGCCCCCAGGAGGAATCCAGGGTCTGTTCTGTTTATTTTCAGTGAGGCTGAGTACACATCTGCCAAGGAGGGAATCCATTAGGCTAAACCAGGCCCAAAATGTGGCTCCTGCCAGGTGTCTGCAAAAACAGAGACTGGCTTGGCCTGGCCTGGGGGCACAGAATCTCTGCAATCAGGGTGTGTCTGAGATACTGAAATAGGTGTGTGCTACAGTATTTCATTGAATCTAAGATGCCTTTGATTAGAAGATAGACCATATTTTTCTGTGTCCCTAAGAAAGAAATATCGCTGCTAATTAAACTTTGACATGTTATTGATTAAAAGACTCACTCCAGTTCCAGTGTTGTTAAAATAAACATCTTAGAATTGACAGAATGTGGCAGTGTTATCCACAGGAAGCGGGGGCAATGGGAGGGTAAGTACCTCCCTAAGTGCAGGCAAAGGGAGACTGGAGGCCTTGGGTCTTTCAGGAAAGAACAGAGATGATCCATTGGCTACTCTCTCTTAAGTCAAGTGCGCGGGACACGTCAGTTCTCCTTAAGGGGGTTGGAGACTATGGTCAGTGTGCACAGAAAACCTGGGAACCTGGGCAGGGTTGGGGATGATCTGGATTTTAAGCGTCCAAAAGTCTGGCTTTCAGCCTCAGGAGTTCTGTGTCCCACGGTGATTCACTGCCTGGCTTTGCTCATCTTTGCAAAACCCTCCCTGCCTCTTCCTCAGCCTTCTTTTCCCTAGTTCCTCCCTCTTTCTCTCTGTTTCCACCTGAGCATCCTTTGGTCAAGGAAGAGAGTTACAATTAATTGAAACCTACACCTCTTGCATTTCTCCTTTGTAGAAAACTCAGCCTCTGACTGGAAAGAATCATCATATTAGAACTTTGAATAATTGTGTGCCCCTTCTTCTCCCTCACGTCCCCTCTCTACCTGCCAGGAGCTGGCACACCATCGGCACCCACACCTGGTTCTCACTGTCATCCCCTTGGGGTGCCCTGCCCTTCCTCCCTCTCTAGTTTGGCCCACATGCTTCCTGGAACACCCCTCGTGCCTCCTTTCAGAAACTTGCAGCACCTCCCTCTTGCCATAATGTCTCCCAGACAGAGAGGGTGGCACATGACAAAACAGAGCACACACTCCAGAGCTGGGTGGCCTGGGCTCAGACCCCCTTGCTGCTTACCAGTTTGTGACTTAGAGAGAGTTACTTACCCTCCCACTGCCCCTACTTCCCGTGGATAACAATGCCACATTCTGTCAATTCTAAGATGTTTATTTTAACATCTCTAGAATTGAAACGCATTCTGCAATCAATGACCTGTCCAAGTTTAACAGTGACATTTCTTTCTTAGGGATACAAAAAATTACCATCCATCTTCTAATCAAAGGCATCTGAGATTCAGTGAAATGTAGCATCTACTTCAAGAGTTGTGTGGATGAAGATGAGCTAACACATGTAGAACTTTTAGCACAGGCCCTAAAGTTCCTCAGTAGGTGACCCATACATGTTATTTTTGGCCCAAGAGTAAACTCCATCTGACCTTCGTGCCCCCTCAAGGTCTCCCCTCATTATTTCCCCTGGTGTGCATGATAACTCAACTCTGTGTTCCCTCCTGCCCCAGGCTCCCTTTGGCCTTCTCCCCCATGGTCTCACCTCTCTCCCTCCCCTGGAATGCCAGCTCACTTCCTATTTATCCTGGCTCTATCCTTTCTTCTTGCAAAACAGGATTTCTGAGCACATTCTGGCTTCCCCTCCCTATCTCTAGTGCCCCCACCCCTCCAGCATTGGCCTAGGGATTTGTGCACCTTTCCTTCATCACTGCTGTGTGAGTCTCGTCTTCCCAATGCTTCTATAAGCCGAGAACCCCGTCATCCTCACACACTTGCTCCCTGCATTCTGCCTGCCACAGGGCTGGGCATGAATAGGCAGTCCAAATGGCCACCCAATGCAAAACAGCATCCCTGTCTCCTCGGCCCTGCTTTCGTTTCCTCTGGCATGTTGTCCAGCCTGGCATTCTGGTCATGGACCTGTCAGCTTATCACTGGCTTCTGTGTTTGAATGTAAACTCCCTGGGGCACAGCTCTTATCACCCCACTCCTCACTGTGCCTCAGCACTGAACCCAAGGTCTGGCATCATGTAGGAGCTCAACAAATGTTTGTGAGATTAATATGCACTTTCTTACTCTCTGGCTGGTTTGTTGAATGACAGGGAGCAAAGGGTTTTGTGAGGGAGTTGACTCAGCTTCCTGAAGGCTGAGGTTCATGAACCAGGAAAAAGACAGGGGGACTTCAGATGACCAGGGAGGCATCAGTTGGGAATCTCCAGCCTTACCTGGCTTGATGCTATTCTCATTTTACCCTCAAGTTATGTGTTCTAGGTATGTGACTTTCAAGTTTTTTGGCCATATCCTACAGTAACACATAGGATTCCCGTCATGGCCTAGTGTTCCTTGGCATACCCACATGCACTCACCCCTTACCTGTGAAGCCCAGTGTTCCCTGGTATACCCACATGCATGCACCCACCCCTCCTACCTGTGCAGCACAGTGTTCCCTAGCATACCCGCATGCACGCACTCATCCCTTATCTGAACAACCCAGTGTTCCGTGGCATACCCACATGCATGCACTCAGCTCTCCTACCTGCACAGCAGTGTTCCCTGGCATACCCGCATGCACGCACTCATCCCTTATCTGAACAGCCCAGTGTTCCGTGGCATACCCACATGCATACACCCACCCCTCCTACCTGCACAGCACAGTGTTCCCTGGCATACTGGCATGCATGCACTCACCCCCACTACCTACGCAGCCCAGTGTTCCCTGGCATACTCACATGCGTGCACTCAGCTCTCCTACCTGCGCAGCTCAGTATTCCCTGGCATACTGGCACGCATGCACCCCCACCCCACTGCCTGCACAGTCCTGTGTTCCCTGGCATACCTGCATGCATGCACTCAGCTCTCCTACTTGTGCAGCTCAGTGTTCCTTGGCATACCTGCACGCATGCACCCACCCCCACTGCCTGCGCAGTCCTGTGTTCCCTGGCATACCCGCATGCAGGCACTCACCCCTTACCTTCATAGCCCAATATTCCCTGGCATATCTGCATGCATGCACCCACCCCTTACCTGCGGAGCCCAGTGTTCCCTAGAATACCCACATGCATGCACTCACCCCTTACCTGCACAGCACACTCTCTTTTCTGTGCCATTTCATTCTGCTCTCTACTCTTTCATTATGTTTCAATGCTGGGCATGACCCACTACATTGAGCTGCTGACCCACAAGTGGGTTATGACTCACATTCTGGGAAAAATTGCCCGACATCTCAGAACTACTGAGTGTGAAAGGTGACAGTCAAACCAGGCTTGCTAGACACAGAGCCCATGCTCTGTCCCATGAGTGATCCCACCTTGGGGGATATGGGCAGGAACTTATGTGTGTTAAGAGAACAAGATTATTCATAGAAAGCAAGTGAGAGGTTCTATCAGAATTTGGGAAGGAAGTTATGTGGAGTGTGTCATCCTTGGCTAGGTCATTGAGAAAGAGAGAGCCTGTTTTGTCAGTGGCAGGCACTCCAAAATATTTGTTGACAGACTGAGTGGATGGGTGCATGAGTGAATAATCCACCTCCCCACACATCTCTAGTGCAGACCTCACAGGTGGAAGGAGGATAGGCCCCACTGGTTGCCATAGTCCTTATAAGGAAGGGATTTCAAAGTCCTGGAATAGAAGGAGCCCTGGAGATGATCTTATCAACCCAATCATTGCATGGATGTGAGAATGAGGTCCAGAGAGGGCCCATGGCATATCCAAGATCATGATGTGGTCGTTAGCAGAGTCAGTGCTAAGACAGTGTGTTGAGTGGGGAGAGCCCAGGCTTCGGGTAAGACTCTGCTTCTGCTGTTACTATTACTATTAGTTCCACCGGCATATTTGAGCATTTATGGAACACTAATGTCATGCCAAGCACAGCTTTATGTGTCTTACATGTATTAAGTCTTTTACTACCTATGCCAACCCTTAAAAATAGGTACTTTTGTCAATTGCATTTTCCGGAAAGGAAATGGAGGCATGGAGGAGTAAAGTACCTTGCTCGAGGTGACCCACTAGTATGCAGTAGAACAAGAATTTGAATCTAAGTGGGCTCCTGAGTCTGTACTGCTGGAGACCTAGGTGCAGGGAGCAGAGCCTCTTCAGGCACAGAGAAAATACCAGGGTCCTCTTGGGTGGATCCCCCCCACCACCCACTGCTGATCAGACCCCTCCAGAAACCCCCATCTCCTGCATTCATGAGCAGAGGAAGGAAAGAGAGCAGGGAGAGTGATGCAGCTACAGTGGGAAGCTGTGGGGTGGGAGATGAGCAGAGAGAGACCAGAGTGGGCACTGCAGGATGGCTGGCAGGAGGCCAAAGCCCTGATCTGCCCCTTACCTGCAGCATGTCCTGGGCAGAAAAACTAAGAGCTATTAAAATTTGTAGAGTGGTACTAGATACAAGCCACTGTGTCCAGCACTTTGCAAAAATAATCAGATTCAAGTTTAGGTGGAGGTGAGGGCTTGGAGGGGAGGTAACTAGCCCAAGGTGACGGCTGGTGAAGGAACAGAGCTAGGCTTGGGCACTGTCTCACTCAGAGTCCTGAGACTTTGCTGTTAACTCTGTGCTGTGCTGCAGGTTACTGGCCCACTCCCTGCCTCAGTTTCCTCACCTTTCCACTGGGGCAGAGGCTCCCACCTTGAGGACAGCTATGACATGCATACAATGTCATAAAAGGCACACATTTGTTAGCCATTATTCATCTTACTGTCATCATAGCATAAGAATCATAGTGCTTGTCTCTGAGTTTTGGCTTGAGGTTTAATCAGATTCAGATAGAATCTGAAACATTTCAGGGCCTGTGTATTTTGTGAGTAGGTCGTTTCAAATCTACAAGAGGCATGATCAAAACAGCAAATCCAAACAAAACAAGCTGTCGCCAGCATTTCTTGACACTTACAGTGTGCCAGATGCTGGACTAGGCATTTTCCCCTCCAAAACAGGTGAGGGCATCATTCTTCCCAATTTTCAGAGGAGAAAACTGAGGTTCCAAGGGTCCCAACGGCCTGCCCAACCTTAAAAAAGAAGGCCCTTTGGCACTGAGGTTAAGAGCAGGGTCTTCAGAGCCCTCCACCTTTAATCCGCACTCCCATGTCCCACTTATACGATCTATGTCACTTGACTTCTCTGAGCCTGTTTCTGAAGCTCAGCCCTCTCTCAGCAAGGCATTGTGAAGATTAAACGAGACACTGTGTGTTCAGGGTTTAGTGTCATGTCTGACACAGAATAAGCACTCAATAAACAGTGGTAATCAAAACCCCATCTGTGTTTTGTTAGGGTACAGAAGACAGGTAAAAAAAATCCCCTTTTAGATCATGAACTAAACCAAGGCAATATTAGTCTGGCTCTGAGACTAGTTTGACGTGTCAGTAGACGTTTATTAAGAACCCACCATGTGCCAGATGAGTCAAGGCTCTTACGGTCTAGTAGAGATGCCAGGCTGAGTTGAGTTGGCATCCATCCCCAGGATCCTGACTCCACATCCAAGGGCGGAGGACGTCATCCACGCGGGGAGCGGAAACAATCAATACCATTTAAGCACGATTACCTGACATCATTGCCATGCTTTCTAAATTAATAATGGCTCTTGATCTGTCTAGTACTTTATAATTTGAAAACTGTTCCCCTTTACAGGTATAAAACTACAAAATTCTGTGGTCTTTTTTTTTCAGCTTTACATCCCTGCTGGGTAAATTAGGGTCCCATTTGGCATCTGAGGAAGCTGAGGCTCAGAGCAGAAATGAGATGCCCAGATTTGCAAGGCCAGTTACTGGCAGTGTCAGGGCCAGAACTGCAAACTCCTGGTCAATGAATTCCCACCGTCCCTATCCTGGGCTCCTTCTTAAAGTGAGGCATGGTTGATCCCAGCTTTGGGGACAGTGACATATTGGAAGAGACATCTTCCAATAGGTCTGGGACAGTGAGGCTTAACAACGGGGGCAAACCACCACACAGTCTGATTTGCAGGGCATATAGGAACATGCCTGGGGAACCCGCCAGCATGCTAGCACCTTCCATTGATGAATGCACCTTCCTCATGATCCTAAATACCAACTAAATAAAGTAGCAGTTAAGACTGGAGACTAGATCAAGGCTCCACTCCTAGCGTCACAGTTCTAGAATATATAGAATGTAGATTTGACTCCAGTGAACATGATTTCTGAGGGTATCCTTATATTTTTTTCTTTTTTCGAATAGTTCCATTCATGCTTCAAAGAGCCAGCAGATTCATTCTGGTCAGAACTCTGCTTTCAGTTCAAGTTCCTGCACAAATCTCCACATGAAAAGAGAGCAGAAATCCACCCGGATGGTTTTTATTCTGATGACTTGTGGTGGGACTGCCAGGTTCCATGACACGGCTTATTCTAAGAGGGAGGGAAGCGGGTGTAGACACCCACTTTACTGCCCTTTACTGGTGTGACCTTGGCAGAGAAGCTTTCCTTCCTTCTGCACTTTGAGAATGCTGGAATAAGAAGCTTTCTAAAGTGCGTCTAGTCCTGATGTTGTAGAAATGGTGACAGTTCCAAGCCATGCCCAGGCTCCTTGAAAGATCTAGGCCCCTCACTGGAGGGCCCTCAGAGCTCAGGCCCAGCCTGCAGGATCCTGAATATTGAGATGGGGAACAGTGGGTTCATTCATTCCAGTGCACACTTGGCCACACTGTCTCATGTCAAGGTCATTTGAGCCCCAGACCCCTGCCCATCTCCACGTGCCTTGGATCTCTAGCTGGCCAGCTGGCTAAGCCAGCCAAGCTGAGGAGACCCATCCTGGGGAGTCACAGGTGGGACCCCCCAACCCCTGCCAGGAGGCATGATCTTAAGACATGGGGGGAAGATAGGTGAGACCTGTGTGAGGCAAAGTCCCACAGCCAACTCCACTGAGTGCCACCCTAGAGGCCCCTGCCCTAGGCTACCCAGTGATTATGAAAGAGCTGCTCCCTGTCAATCAGGGCCTCCACCCCACGATGAGGGGTAGCGGAAAGGGCCAGATTCTGTTTCCTCATCCCACCCAGGCAAGGGAAGGCTTTGTGTGGCAACTTCCCAATTTCATGTTTTAATTTTCAAAAAGGAAATAAATTCTCTCCAGCTGTAGCTGTAATTGACTTTAGAGTTGTGACTTTATCATGCAAATGGTTATTTGCGGACTTTTAGAAACCTGCGTCATGGAGCGAAATTACATACTTAGAGACTTCCGAAACCATGGATTATGGTCCCAACAGATCCTAATGATTCTCTGGGTGCCATTAGGATATAACGTGAAAATGTATATTTAGAGGATGATTAAAAAGCAAACGAGCACGCACGGTGAAATTCCTTGTGGAAAGTGGTAATTAGACTGGCTATGAGGCTATTTTCTCATGTTAGGGATCTCACCGACTAGCACCTTGTCCCCCGCCCCCACAGAATCCCGGGAGACCCCACTGACAGGTTATAAACAATCACAGATGCCCACCTGAACCAGAAGAAACCTGCCACACAGGGCCCGTGCAGACAGAGCCCACTGGCTGCTTTGCCGAGGCCACGGGCAACTGTCCCCTCCAAAGATCTAGGCTCGTAGTCTTCACCTCTGCCCTCTGCCATCATCACATCACACACTCTAGAAATGGTTCAGTGTGAAATTGCTTTGACAGAGTGAGGGGTTTGCCCATCCAGCAAAGGAGGGCAGTTTTTAGGGACAGGAGCTTTAGTCTCAGGTAGAGTGACCCTGGTTTCAGACCCAACGCTGTACTCACAGCTCCCTAGTGTGCCTTTGGTCATTGTAACTCGCACACACATGTGAAACCAAGCTACTATAATATCAAAGGTGATTCTGTATACGAAAGAGCTTTGGAAATTGAAAAGGGCTGGAGAGTGAGGCTGGCCGTGACTCACTCCACACCTGTTTCTTGGTCTTGGTGAGAGCAGGTGATTTCTAGCTGGGCTTCAGGTTCAAGCCCTTCAAGAGGTCTTTCCATATACATTTCTGTACTGTTTCCTTCTGACCTTCACTGTCCATGGCTCAAGTGGATTTCTTGGGGAGGAGGCTCTCATTTGCCCACAGCTCCAGAATGTGCTTCTTTTCTCATTCCTGTTCCCACCCTCATAATGAGTCATGACCATCCTGATTTCCTCATACGCCCACTTCTTTAGTATGACAGTGGTTACTTTGTTGTGACCGGAGGATTGGTTAGAATTGTGTTTTTGGGCACATGGTGTGTGCCAGGCACTGTGCTAAGCCTTTCATGTTTAAGATCGTCCTGTGATTATTCCAATTTACAGATGAGGAAACTAAAGTTCCTCATCAGAGAAAGAAAGTTCCTTATCCCAGAGAAGTTAAGTAACTTTCCCAAGGTCACACAGCTACTAAGTGACTGAATCCAGGACCAATTGGAAAATTCTAGCTTTTACTCCTAAGTCATTCCAGCTTTTACTGGTCTCTTATGGGCAAGATGCAACAACCAGCCTTGGAATGGTTCTGGGCGGGTCTCTTCTGCTGTCTGCATTGGTCTTTCTGAGGGAGGCCCTTACCCCAGCCCTGAACCCATTTATTCTAGGAAGTGAACTGCTTCCCCCTTAATGCCACAAGCCCTCTGGCGACCCTCCTATCTCTCGCCACCCCTGCATGAACATCTTAGAATTGCCTCTTTTTTTTTTTTTGCCTCCATTCCATAACTCCTCCAGCCTTTCTGAATGGGCCTTCACCCCATCTTTCCAGCACAGGGGCTTTTCCTAGTGTCACTGGTAGCCTCTGTGTCTTTACATCCAACGAGCATAGTAAAGTCCTCTTCTTATCTGACTTCTCAGCAGCATTTGACTCTACCACCAACCTCGTCCTTCCAGGAGCACCTGCTTCCCTTGCCTCCAATGGCACGCCCTGAATCTTTGGCTGCACCTTGGCACATACTGGTGTTGGGCTCCACAAGGCCCAGTGCTCTACCCTCTCCCTGGGCAATCTCATCTGTTCTTGGCCTTCATTTCCTACCCATATGTGGATTATCTACAGATTTGTGTCTCCTACCAAGACTTCTCTTGAGCTCCGATCTGCACTGTCAACTCTACTCAGGATCTCTTCTTGGATGTCTTAAAAGTCCCCAAACGCTACCTGTCTACAATAGAGCTTGTGGGCTTCTCCAGCAATGGTGGTCTTCTTGCATGGCTCTGTGTCCCAGAGGACCGCCCTCCATCGGCTGCACCAGTGAGCAGCTAAGTGTCACTGTGGGCACTTCCCTCTGCTCCCCCACTACAGTCTCTCCATTACTGCGACTAGTCAGTTTTCCTGAGTAGCTGTGGGAGAACTGATCTCTCTCCAGTTCTTTCACTACAGCCTCCCGACTGTTCTGTCAGCTCCACTGCTGTCCTGCTTGATCCAATTTCCACACCAAAACTCTAATCATGTCACCCTCTCTGCCATCCTAACCCCACTGAACCCTCTGTTGGTTTTCTGTTGTTTGTGAGATCATCTCCATATCCGAGACCTGGCCCTCGTGGCCCTGCATGGCTGGCCCACCCAACCTCCATCTTTGTCACCCACCCTCTGCCCTGTCCTTGCTCTCTAGGTTCCATGGCCTCCCAGTCCCCAGAATTCACTGTGCTTCCTCCCTGATACAGTCTTGGAACATGCTGTTCTCTCTGTCCAGATTATCCTCTCACTGCTGGCATGCTGAATCTCCAATCTCAGCTCCTTTGTGATTTTTCTCCTTTGTGGTTCTATGACAACTGTCCTAGCTTCAGAGCTCTTCCTGGGCTGGGAGCCTCATCACCTAATGTGGCTGTCTGATCATTTCTGCCCCAACGCTCGACTCTAAGCTGTATGGGGGCAGGTGCCATGTCTGTCTGGGCCCCACTGGGCAACCCAGTGCCTAACACAGCATAGTGCAGGTAGTCAATCACCCACCCACAGAAACTCTCTGAGGACTTAGGTTCTAGTCACTGTCTGGGCTCTGGGAGACAGGAGAGTGAATAGAGCATTGACACATAGTCGTATTCAAAGGACACTCATCAATTGTTGAGTGAATGTCCCATTTGTGACTTGCCTTCCAATTCCCCATCGTTCCAGGAAGGACAGGAGTCAGGAGCTAGTGCCCTGCTGCCAGCTTCCAGCATGGAGGGAGGGGAGGGATGAGCTGAGACTCCTGTGCATGGGCGCACTCCTCCTGTAGACATAGGCAAAAATTTTCCAAGGGCTTGTAACTTCAGCCTTCGTGTCTTTTATGACTTGTCCTGACAGCCATTTTCACCCAAAGGACTTCCATTCTGCCTCTGAAATCCTCCCTCCCTTCAATCCTCCTTGAAGCCCTCGGAGATGACCTACACCACCCTGGCTCTGGGTGCCGGCTGGGCGCACACATCTGAAGGCTCTATGGCATCTCTCATATTCTAGGTTAGTCCAGGGCAACTCACTGAAGTTCTGTGGGCTTCATCTTCTTCACCAGCAAAGTGGGGATAATGACACTCCCCTCTAGGGCTGCTGTGGGCATTCAATGAAGTAGCAAAGACAGGGTGCTCTAAACCCAGCAAGGCCCTACAGAAGTGGAAAGGTAGTTATTTTTACTGTATTAACACTGCAGTGCTGCTTTCCTTTGCAGTTGTCTGTCTGTCTCCCCAGCAGATGACACCCTCTCTGGGTCTCCACTGGGCTTGGTACAGGGTGTGTGGAGTCAGGACATGCTTCATGAAGTCACTAATGACAAAATGCACATCAACAAGGTGGAATGTTCAGGCTACCGAGGATGCGTGGCTCTCTGCTCCCTGTTTGGCTCCACTCCCCGTGGGCTCAGATCTCTGATTCCATGAGGGCTTTTGCACCCCACTTTGCCATGCTCACAAGAGTGTCTGGCTTCATCTTTTGTAGGCGGAGACATCCAAGCCAGTGTATTGAAGGCAGAGAGAGGCACGCTGGCACGTGGCTGAATCCATACCCTGGAATATTTTGGCTTCAAGTGCCCTAGATTTTCTAAATGTAAAATATTAATCTGATTATTTAAAAATCAGTGGTGACTGGATGTGGTGGCTGTAAATCCCAGTACTTTAGGAGGGCAAGGCAGGAGGATTGCTCGAACTCAGGAGTTTAAGACCAGCCTGGGCAGCATAATGAAACCCTGTCTCTGCTAAAAATTAAAAAAAAAAAAAAATTAGCCAGGCACGGTGATGGGCACCTGTAGTCCCAGGTACTTGAGAGGCTGATGGGAAGATTTCTTGAGCCCAGGAGATCAAGGCCTCAGTGAGCTATGAGTATGCCACTGCACTCCAGCCTGGGTGACAGAGTGAGACCCTGTCTTAAAAAAAATAAAATCAATGCTTATGATAGGAAATTGGAAAGTGCAGGCAAGGGTAAAAAGATTACCCGTAACTATATCTTTCCTAGAAAACCTCTGATAACATTTTGTGCTTTTTTCCAGTCTTTTTAAATGAAAATATTATATATAATACTAAATAATATTTATATTATTTTAGACAGATAGATATATATGTAGGCATTTGTCCATATGACCTGCGTATGAAGAGAGGGCAATTTTTGCTTTTTCACTTAATATCTTACAGCATTTATTTACCCATGATGTTAAAAATTATTTTAAAATGTCATTTTTAATGGTTGTACCTGTATTATCAATAACTTCTTTTCTAATCAATAGAGTAATATATGCTCAATGCAAAAAAAAAAAAAAGTGAAAAAACACAGAAGCGTACAAAAGGAAAAAAATACCACCACCCGTCATTCACATCTTCAAGGATAACACAGTAGGCATTTTGGTGTATTTTCTTCCTATGCATTCTCTTTCCAAACCTGTAGATGTTATTTTTGATGCTATAGTCCATCCATAGTCTTCTAGGCCCACTGTTTTCCTTAGAGGCATGTAGTGAATATTCCCCAGTATTGGTGAATATTCTTGTAGCACATTATTTTTCTTAATAGTTGCAGTCCAGTGCACTGTTTGGATTACTCTGGTTTACTCACCCAATGCCTGATGGTTGGACATTTAGTTTCTTTCCACCTTTCGTTATTACAAACAACACTATGATGAACATCCTTGTATGAAAGCCTCTGTGTATAACCATGATTATTTCCTTGTACACTGCTTCTTTCACTCCTCTCCAGAATCTTTAAGGAAGGGACTTTTTATAAAGCTGTGGGCAGATCTGACAGAATCAACAAGGGCTGAGAGGCACTCAAAGACTTGCAGTGATGCAAGCTATTAGCCGCCTGCCCCTCGGCCTGAAGTGATAGGGAGGAAGCAGATCTGAGGCTCTGAAGCCAGAGGGAATGCCACAGAAGTAACAGCCTCACCCTCCACGTCCCCTGTGGCCTTCTCCTGGTACATCCCATGGGCCAAACCTGACAGGAAATAAGAGGGCAAGGGGGCCTTCCCCTGGGACACAGAGCTGGGTGAAGGAGTCTCTGAGGGGCAGGCAGAGTAGTCAGCACAGCAGAGCCTCCCGGTCTCCGGGGAGAACCTGTGAGAACACCAGGCTGATGGGGTTTCTCTGAGGGCCCAGGACCCAGGCATTGCTGTCTGCAGTCGTGGAGGCTAAGAGGGCTTTCGTGCTGGGCATCCATCCCACAGGCAGGGAGCTGGAGAGGCCTGCCACGGAGAGGATGGGAGGCAGGTAGTAGCCATCTTCTAAGGGTTATTAGAGCTTCCTCTATTGAAATACATACGAACTGCAGATTTCTTTCATTCTCACCACGGCCTTGTGAGGTAGGTGCTGCTGTTCTTCCCATTTTCCAGATGAGAAAACTGAGGCACAGAAAGGTTTTCAAAAACCTTGCTCTCACAGTAGAAGGCAGAACTGGGATCTGAGCTTGAATCAATGGCTCCAAACCCACTGACCTACTACCTTGAACACAGCCCATCAGCCTCTGACCTTGCAGCACAAACTCGCCACACTCTAAGGGGGAGTGGGTCACTGGTCTCATGCGGTGTCAGGCAGCAGACCCAGCACTTCCACTTTCCCCTCGGCCCACACTCTCTGCTGCCACTCTCTCCAGCTGGGGAAAAGAGAGAAACCACGAACACATTGCAACCTGAAGAGGAGCCCTGCGAAGCCCTAAATCCACTCCAATTGTATTTTCTCTTCATCCCTTGGAAAATAAAAATTGCTGAGTGTCTGCTATTTTTCCTGAAACTGTGTTGCAGAAATCTTCTCCTGGGCTCTGACCCTGGGAGTCAGCTTTCCGCCCAAAGCACATTTTTACGGCCAAGTTATTTCTGATTCTTTAAAAAAAAAAATGTCTGGAAGGAGCAGGCTCGGTTGTAATGTAATGGCTCAGCAAAAATCCCCGGCCACTGGGTCTGTGCTTGGCCCCGTCCTGACAGTGGGGAACCTGGGAAATGTCTTGAACGGCATCATCAGGGCTGGGGAGATGGGGGCTCCAGGATGCAGGCAGTCCCTTGCACCTCAACTATTCCATGGGCCCAATAGGGAGGGATGGAGATGATGTGATGTTGAACGGAGAGGAACACACAGCCTGGTAGAGGAATGGACAATGTACAGCTCTGACTTTGAACTTTAAAGGGCCTCCTCCTTCCTCATTCTAAGTGAGTTGCTACCTGGGGCATCATAAAAATGCCTTCGGATTTGTGTTTGAAATCGTGTGTATAAGTGGTTTGTGTATTTGTTGAGCCTGTGTTTGGGAGTGTGCCTTTCTGGGTGTGTCTGAGGATGGGAACCATGCTGGTCTTGCTTGCTGATATATCTCTAGTCCCAAGCATGCTTCCTGGAATGTAGCAGGTGCTCAATAAATGTTTGTGGACTATTTAAATGTTTGTGTAGAGTCTCTGTATATGTTGAATAAGTCTGTGTGCAAGAGTCAGAGGCAAAGTGTCTGTGCCTCTCCGTGGATGGTGCCCCAGAATGTGAGCTTCCTGAGGGCAGGGATCATGATTGGCTTCATTCACTGCCATGCCCCAAGAACCTAAATAGTGATTGTGTACAGCTGCCTGTCCATGTGGGTGTCGCAGAGTGGGCTGGGCGTGAGCTGAGTGTGTGCATAGCACATGAGATCATATGTGTGAGAACGAGTGTCCTTGGATATCTTGGTGCCTGAACTTTCAGATGTGAATATATCTGCATTTGGGAGCAAGTCTACATGCTTTTTTTGTAAAGATATGGGGAAAAAAGTATGTGAAGGCAGCCACAGTGCAGGTGACTGGAAGCAGAAATATCCAATAAATGTCTAGGGATATCTTTATAAATATGTCAGGATCCTCTCCTGCAGGCTCTGGACTCTCCGCCAATGGCCCTGGCATGTCTGAATCTGGGTGTTAATTGTAGACCCCTTCAGCCATGAATGCAGCTTAGATTCAATTATTAGGAAGGACCTGAGGGCAGAAGACTGGACTTTTTGGCAGAGAGACTCATTATTTACCTCTCTGGCTGTGACAGACCCTTCCAGCTGTGTCCCATCTCCTGCTTACACTTTCAATGCCATTTCCCTCCACTCAGTCTCCAGGGCTTCCCTGACAGTGACAGAGCCTTTCGGTGGACACGGATCTATAGGCGCGCTGTTGTAGAGTCAATGTTGCCTCCAGACAGCCGAGACCTTGTCTTCTTGCCACTTTCCTCCAGTTTCCACCCTGTCCTCCCATCCTTTGCTCCCCTCAGCACCCCAGTAGGCAGACACCCCAGAAGTGATTCTCTCCTTCTTCAAGGTCAGCTCCCTCTCAGGGCTGTTCCCCAAGAGTAAAGATGATAAATAGCTGTTGTAGCCTGAGACTGGGGAAGTGACATTTTTCTAGCCTTCTAAGAATCCCCTGTGTGCCAGCTGTTGATGTCCTGATCTTGTTTTTTTGATCATCCTTGCTTCCTGGGGAGCCCAAGGCCCTCTCTGCAAAGGCCATGCATCAATCCTGGGGAAGACAGGAAGGTGAGGGTGGGGGAGTTGGAGAGGTGTTATGGAAAATCTAGGACACCTGTGCTGCAGAGCCTCCTTGATGCAGGTGTGGAAACTGAGGCACTGTCAGGCACTCAGCTCTACCCTTCCGAGCCCTTTCCTATTGTAAGTACATTCTTTTCTGTTCCCCATAGACATGATGTCACCTTGTGTTCTGTGTAGTACAAGGGACTTATTAGATGCTAATATGGTAACGGGTGCCTGAGAAAAGAAGAAAACAGAGTGCTTATATGACTCCTGCTGGAAAACAAAGCCACAAGACAGCTTTGGAGGCAAATATCTGGATAGGGATGGGAGCACAGGGAAGGCTCACAGAAGAGAGAATGGGGGGCAGAGCAGAAAAGACGATGTAGAGCCTGGGTGAGCAGGAATTTATGAGGGCAACAGGTTGGGCCTGGTTGACTAAGAGGAGATGCTGGAAGAGAGAGATGCTAGGGTCCTCAGTGGGTGAGAACCAGGGAGTGGTTTGCTGGTAAGGGACATCTGGGGGGAACTGCAGAGGGGCTCTGAAGCTGAGGCAAGGGGCAGAGGCAAACGTGGAAGCAGAAGGCAAACGGACTTAGGAGTGAGGTGGGCAGTCAGAAATGGCTGCAGAAGGGCGTCACTTTGGGATGCTATAAACTTCTCTCCTCCCAGCTGCATGCCTGTTTTGGCAGAGCCAGGTGAGGGACTGACTCCTTTGCATGGTGCACCATAGATTGCAAAGCTCTATTACATCCAGTCACCCGACACCAGGAGGTGTGTTGGGTATGAGAACCCTTACATTATAGATAGGGAAGGCACTGAGTAATTAACTGGATTTTCAAGGCCCATCAGCAAGGAACTGAAAGCCTGAGATTATTAGTTAGGTCCTTTTAATAAGCACCTACTATGTGCCAGGTGCTTTTGAAATGCTGGGACTAGAGTCAGAAACCACCTAGATCAACTCCTTGCCCCAAAGGGTCTCATATTCTAGCAGGAGGAAGCAGAGGATAACACACAAACCAATCAGGAAAATGCTTTTAAGCACCAATACAGAAGATAAAATAGATTAGTGCAGATGTGGGTGGCAGGATGATGGAGGTCAGGGAGGGGGCCCTTTGAGAGGCCTCTCTGAGGACACTGCATCTGACCTGAGAGCCAAATGATGAGGGCTGGGCATGTGAAGACCAGGGCAGGGTAAGAGGGGTCCAAGCAGGAGGACTAATCAGTGCAAAGATTCTAAGACTGGAATGAGCTGAGTCCAGGGTGTCTGAGCTTCCTGACCAAGGGTGGTCCCAAGGGAAAATGAATAGGCAGAGACCGAATCACACAGGGCCTTGCAGGCTGCAGTGGGGGCTGTGTCTTTTACCCCTGGTGCAGCGGGAACCACTGAAAGGTTTTAAAACAGTGGGCTGACCTGACCTGATTCCGGTTTAGATGGGTCCCTCTTGCTGCTCTGTGGAGGACACGTTGGAGGTGGGCCAGAATGACAGGATAAATTAGAAGATTAATGTGGTCCAAGTGAGAGAGGATGGTGACATGGACCAGGCAGTAGTAGTGGAGGTGGTAAGAAGGGGTTGGATTCGGGATACATTTTGGAGGTAGAGCCAAAGAGACTTAGGGATAGATGGGCTCTTTGGTGTGAGAGGAAGGGAGGAATCAAGAATGTCTCTTAAGCTTTTGGCTTGAGCATCTGGATGGGTGGATGGTGGGGCATTTCTGAGTTGGGAGAGGCTCCAAGCGGGGAATGTATTGGCATATTTGGAGTGAGAAGAGGGAATGTATTTTTCTGTTTGGGTTCAAGGTGCCCAATAGATATCCAAGTGGAGGTGGCAGGTTGGCAGTGGGATGTGTATTTTCAGTGGGGTTTGGAGGAAAGGGCTGGGCTGGAGGTAAATGTGAAGAATCTTCATCCACTAGAAGGTGTTGGAAGTCGTATGACCAGATATGATCATCTCAGTAGAGTGTAGACACAGAAGAGAAGAGGGTTAAGGATCAAGCCTTAGGCAATCTGACAATGAGAGGCCTGGGAGCTGGCAAAGGAGGCTGGAAAGGAACAACCCATGCTTTTGGGGGTAAACTGACTAGCTCATACATTAGAGCTAGTCAACATGGCTGTGTGCTACTCCCTGGAGGGTTCTAGATGATGGAGGCTTCAGGAAGGAGACAGGGCAACTGTATGGATGGCCATGAGGAGAGTGGACAAGATGAGGACTGAAACTTGGCTTTGAGAAGATGTTGGGTGGTCAGAGGTGATCCTGAACAATGCCTGTTTCATGGAAAAGTAGGAGTAAATGCCCAACATGAAGAGAGGTGGGGATGAGGTAGTAGAGATGGTACTGACTAGTAAATATTTTGCTATAAACCAGTGTGCAGGGTCATAGAGGAAGCCAACATGGTGTCAAAGGATATTTATTTGTTAAGATGTTAAATAGGGAGCCATGTTTTTCAGTGAGATAATCCAGACAGTGAGAAAATGCAGGTCAGCTGGTAGCATAGGGATTGAGGAAGAGATAGGTCTCTGATTTCATTGACTTCTCTGTGAAGTGTGTATCAAAGCTGTTGTCTGGTGAGGAGGACCAGGCAGGGAAAATGATTATTTGAGGAATGATGGAAAATGTTGAAAAGTGAATTAGGAAAGTATAGGAACACTACCTGGAAAGGTTCAAAGGTCTGCCCAGTTATTAGAACTAGTCTACCTGTGTGTTATTCCCTAGAGGGCTCTAGATGCCAGTCAGCTGATGGATGCAGGTGCCAAGCAGATGGATGATTGGGTTTAACCAGGGTTGGGGATTTCCAGGTGAGCATGAAGGAAGGAGATAAGTCCAAGGACAACAAGAGTACTTGGAAGAGGATGGTTTTTGGGTTGGTCTATGAACTCTGGGCTGAGTAATAGAAGAAAATAAGAACACTGTTTCATCAACAGTGAACAAGATGAATGGATTGGGGCTCTCAATCAGGTGGAAGAATATTTGGCATAGGAGTAGAGAGTGAGATAGGAGATGACAATCATGGGGCTGCTTGAAATAAAGCTTTCAGAGGTGAGGTGTTATGGATGATGATGAGGTCTAGATTGTGGCCTTGTGAGGGGATGTTGAAGAGAAGGATGAGGTCCTTGGTGCTAAGAGGGACAATGGACTAAGGGGCCTGGGTGTTGAACAGGTAATCTGCCAGGATATGAAATTGTCAGGAATGATGGCAGGGATAGTTGTGGAGAGAGACAGGGAGCCAAGTGCCTAGGTCATCAACTGATGATTAATCTTTAATTCTTGGAATTTCAAAGTTATATAATGAAAGGGTTTTAAAGCAATTTGTAAGACTCTACTCTTTTTCAAAGGCAGCATTTTGAGGCAGCTTAAATAGAAGAAAGAAGCCCTACCTTTTGGAAACGGGGGTGGGGAAACTAAGCCCCTTGCTCTCACCTCCGCCCTGAGCAGCCTTTGAGAGGGCTCCAAGGAACCTTCCATGGCACACAGTGAGGAGAGAAGTGCTGATCTGGTCCAATGCCCCTGATTTGACATTTGAGGAGCAGGAATGTTACTTATCCCAGGTGACCCTGTTAGGAACAGAGCTGGGAATGGAAACCGATGTCCTGTCTCCCCCTGGACCTGAGATCCATAACTACTTCAAACCTGCTTTCCCATCTTGTGTTGTTTTTCCCTAAGATTCCTAACACTCTACTTTGTGTTGTAAACATAGGACTGACCAAGACATTAGCAAGAAGCTCCTCTCTGACTGTCCCTAGGGGAGGTCCATTTCACCCTTTTGGGCTTTTCCAGAACCACAGGACAGCACTGTCTTGTCAGAACAGCAGGTGAGGCTCTGGTGAAAGGCACACTGGCCTGGCCAATAGACATACCTAGTGATTGTGTCTGCCCTTGTTGGGCCAGATCAGGGTACAGAGATCAATTGTAACCTGAGACTGGTCCCTGACTGGGGTTCTAGAGCCTGGCTTGATGGGGATAAGGCAGGATTGACCTACAAGCTGGAAGTTAGTGTCTGGAGGTGAGGCCAGCATCCAGGCAAATGGACTGTCCAAGCAAGACATCAGTCTAGTTGAGAGGCAGAAGCCGGCTGCAAGGCAGTGGGGCAGAAACCAGACTCCAAGAGATGGAGGTGCAGGAGGAAGTTTGAGACAGAGCTGGGGCTTCTGGAGGTTCTGGAGCACTCAGGAAGCTATTTATGGGTCCCATTTGGCCTCATCCATTGTAGTGTGGGTGCTAGACAGACTCTGTATGGGCGAGCATGTCCAGGCCAGTAGGTTAAGCCCTGAAATGGAAGATGTGAAGGCAGAGGGCAGTACTCAAAGCCAGCTGGTCATCCTGTCTGCCCACACACAGTGGAATGCCACCTAGCCTGGAATATAGAAAACAGTGTCTCTGCCCTTGGGAAGCAGCTGGTAAGCATTAGACAAGTGCCATTTCCTCAGCCAAATGAGTCAGGGTTCAAGTCAGGACTCCAAGTACAGAGCAATGCCTGGCAGGAAACTGGAGTGGCATGCAGGGAAACTGAGGCAGAAGTTCAAGGTGGGCTGGCAAGGGCAGGGGGCATCTATAGAGGGACACACTTCCCATCCCTGATACCCAGCCTTGGCTCGGGTCTCAGTGCATAGAGGACTCCAGGATGTTGTTTCTCTCTGCTTTGAATGTCCTTTCTGAGATGTCACCAGGGTTTGGCTCTTTCATATGTCATAGTCTCCTTGCTCCCCTCTTCCTGACCACCCTGTCCAAATGAGCTCCTGTGCCTCAGTCCTCATTCCCCCTCATGCCTGTAACCTGCTTGATGCTTCACTGAAGCACTTAGCACTACCCAGCATCCTACATATGTTTTCTTGTTAGTGTCCACCAACCACACTACTGCTAGAATGGAAGCTCCCCCAGGGTAGGGAATTTCTTTTTCCTTCTGCTGGGCAGCGAATTGGGAGGGGTGTTCCTGTGACCCCCTCCTCTCCTCCTCTAAATGAGTCTGGGCTTCGGAACTGGTTCTGGTTATGACTGAGAGGCTGGCCTCCAGTGCCCTCCTTGGGGGCCTGTTGCCTCTGCCCTGGCCCCCAGCAGAGGAGGTGCCCCTGGCTGCCATGCAGTGATGCCCACCTCTCCCTGAGAACAGGGCTGTTGCAGTCCTGAGGGCAGGTGAGTAGTGCTGGGTCCTGTAAACCCCAGGCTGGTTGTATCAAGGCTGAGAAGCCTCAGTAAGTGGCTCTAAAGATAATCAATTGTTTTCATTCTGAGTGAAACAACCGGCTCCAAGGAACCTCTATTTAAAAACTGCACACATACGCCAGATCCATCTCTTGTTAAATTGTTGCACATGTGGATCTGATTTAACCTGGCAGGTTCGATGTGCTTCCAGCTCAGTGCCAGAGAGGGGGCTGAGAGAGGAGCTGGGCCAGGACAGGGGAGCAGGGGGAGCTGTGGGGCGGGGACAGCCGAGCAGGAAGGAGAGCAGGTTCCAGGACAGGCAAGAGGAAGGGACTGCACCTTCCCGCCCTTCACGCTTCACTCACCCTTGGGACTCAGGGGAGGGCTCTTTCATGTAGGAAATCCTGCCCAACTAGTCCCATCACCTTAAGTCATCCTCCCCGTTCCTCCCAATTCCAGAGGATTGGTGTCTTGGCTCAAAGGTACCTTAGACCACAGGGTCCCTTTCCTTGATTTTCCAGAGAGGGAAACACACTCAGAGAGGGTAAGCTGCCTACCTACCCACAGTCACACAGCAAAATAGAGTGAGGGAAACAGACACTCAGAGAGGGTAAGCTGCCTACCTACCCACAGTCACACGGCAAAATAGAGTGAGGGAAACAGACACTCAGAGAGGGTAAGCTGCCTACCTACCCACAGTCACACGGCAAAATAGAGTGAGGGAAACAGACACTCAGAGAGGGTAAGCTGCCTACCTACCCACAGTCACACGGCAAAATAGAGTGAGGGAAACAGACACTCAGAGAGGGTAAGCTGCCTACCTACCCACAGTCACACGGCAAAATAGAGTGAGGGAAACAGACACTCAGAGAGGGTAAGCTGCCTACCTACCCACAGTCACACGGCAAAATAGAGTGAGGGAAACACACTCAGAGAGGGTAAGCTGCCTACCTACCCACAGTCACACAGCAAAATGGAGAGAGGGAAACACACTCAGAGAGGGTAAGCTGCCTACCTACCCACAGTCACACGGCAAAATAGAGTGAGGGAAACACACTCAGAGAGGGTAAACTGCCTACCTACCCACAGTCACATGGCAAAATAGAGTGAGGGAAACACACTCAGAGAGGGTAAGCTGCCTACCTACCCACAGTCACACAGCAAAATGGAGTGGGGCCAGAGCCGGGATGCTAGGAGCCCTCCGGCTACTCTTTCTTTGGCACTTCTAGGGAGGAAATCTTGTGTCTTCCACAAGATGATGGCCTTGACAAGGGCAAGAGCCACACCTTTCTCTTTCCTTGCCCTCCAGGTGCACTCTAAGATGGGCACCCAGGGAATATTGTTAAATTCGTGGGGTCCCAAGGAAAGAGGAAAGACATTGAGGTGGGGAGAATGAAGCAGCTTGAGCAGACCAGGCCCCAGAGAACAGGTGAGCATCCGTGGTGACGGTATGTCACAGCCTCTTCTGCTCTAGATCCTGCAGTGGCTCCCAGGTTCACTCAGAGTAAAAGCCAAAGCTCTCTCAATGACCTGCAAGACCCTACGTGACCGCCATCTCCACCGCCATGGCTTCCCTATCCTCTTTGTCTTCCTCCTCCCCCTCACCCCTCTATGGCCACAGTGGCCTCCTGGCTGTCCCTCCTGCACACCATGCACATACCCCTCACCTTACAGGTGAGGCCCATATATCCGGACGAGACAAGGATGTGAGGCATCACTCAAAGCTTGAAGAGAAGTCAGCCAGATCGAAGCCAGGGAAGCCGGGAAGTCAGGGAGGGAACAGAGGGCCAGAAAGTCAAGGAATCTCCCCTGCCCCAGGCAGGTTGGCAGTAGCAGGAGCTTAATGCCCATTCTCTGAGCCCAGGAGCAAGTCTCTGGTGGCAGGCTTCTCTGATGTTCCAGTCCTGACAGGGCTAATGGGTGCTATGAGCAAACCCAGGCCTGGCTGTGAGGGGCAGCTGCTAAGAGTGGGCCATATGCTGTGGCCTGTGCCAGCCATGGTGAGCTCTAGAGGAGAGCAGGGAATCGGCAGCTCTGAGAGTGTCGGCAGGGCTGAAGAGGGGCAAAGAGGAAAGAATTTTCATGTGAGAGTCTTGAGAGTGCCTTGAAAATCTTTTCCCCTGGGGGTCCTTCTGCAGGATAGCCACAGGTGAGCTCTGGGGGCCACAGGGCTCTGAGGGTGGCTGCATGGTGAGCCCTGAGCCTGAGCTTCAGAATGGCAGCCCTTCTTCTCTCCATCAGGCAGCTGCAGCCTCGCTGCTCCTCCTCCATCTCTCCACACTGGTGGTGGCCTGAGGCATGGACACGGCCATAAATAATAGTAATAACCAGAGAGTCTGTTCCAAGCAAGATGATTTTATGAAATTACATTTTTGAAAAGGTTAATTCTTCCATCTCCCCACTTGTACTCCAATCTGGAGAGGCAAACGTGGATTAGTTGGGCCCATTTCCTCCCTGGCCTCCACAGAACCCTGACGAGATGTGCTTCCACGGGGTCTGACTTCTCTCCTGGGCTTGCTGCAGAGCAGTAGGTGCTGGGCCCTTCTTCCCCCTGGAGCTGACTGATCTCTGGGTGCTGGGCTCCGGGCTCCAGGCAAGCGGCGGCCCTCCCTCTGCTGCAGGCAGAGAGGCATAGAGGGAAGGAGCAGAAAGGCCAGAGAGGTCAAGGGGAAGTGAACTTGGGGAGCAGCAGCTGGGGCTGAGGTGGTGCAAGTGGGGAGATGAGCTGGGGGCACCCGGGCATGCCTACGGAGTGCAGCAGCGGGTAAGTCACAGGAGGGAATGAGTAGATGGAGACAGAAGGACAGAGATGGGAGGGAGGACAGGTGGGTCAGCCCTCTCTTTTGTCTCTACTCTCCACCTTTCTGTCATTATTTTTCCCTAAGTAAGTGGGAGAAGACAGACCCTGAGGGAAGGTGAGAAGGGTGGGTAAGGACAGTTCCCTTGGAGTTCTAATTGTGTCCTTCTGCCCTCCTCCCAGGCCTCCTCGTCAGCACCCAGGAAGCCCTGCCTCATCCCTCAACCCCTTCCCAGGCTGGGCTGCTGCCCTCCTGCCCCACTTTTCCTCCTTCTCACCCATCTCCTCCCCTGTGTGTCCCAGACGCTGCCACCTCCTCCAGGCACAATCTCCCTTCACCGGGCCAAGCTGAGGTGGGTTGAGGAGAGCCTGGAGACCGGGTGTTAGGAGGTCTGCAGGTGCCTCTGCCTCTTCTTAACCGCACACCTCAGATGGGCACTGCCCCACTTGGGTCCTCAGTTTCGCCATCTGTGGAGTGAAGAGGTCCAATGAGCTTATTCCAAGTCCCTTCCAGCTCTGAAGTGTGATGATTGTTGAATTGGTGCTTAGAAGAACAGGGTGCTCTATTGTTCTGTTGTTCGTGTTTTTGTTTTCTGGTGGGAGGTCTTTATTGGTTTTCAAATACACTAAAGCAACAGCAGGGATGCAGAGAAGGCAGTGAGATGGAGGCAGGCAGGGTGGGGTGTGCCTGCTTTTTCCTGGTGTGCTGTGAGGTGTATGTGTGCCTATGGTATAGACAGGTGTGAGAGAGGTGTTTGGTAAATATCTGTAGAAGGAATGGACTTCACAGCAGGCTATGTGCTTATTGCTATGTGAAGTCTTTACGCCAACACCTTGAAAGCAAAATAAAATTCAACATTATCGGTTCAACTCTCCACCAACAAGTACTTTTTTTTTGACTGAGTCAGTTCCCTTCCTTTGGTTTGCTCCTAACTTTTTACACTTCCTAGAATGTTCCCTAATTCTAATCATCCTCTAACCCTATTGCCCTGAAACCCTGAGGGATAGGGAAATGCACCTGCCCTCAAGGAGGCAGAGGAGGCAGAAATTCCTTCATACCAGACCTGAGGTCTGGAACTACCCCTAAAACACAGTGGGTATAGGGAGGAAGCCTTAAGTCCTTCTAAAGGTTGTAGGGATCATGGAGGGCTTCCTGGAGGAGATGTTGAAGCTGAGCCTTGAAAGATGGGAATAATTACACTCTATGGGCCACAGAAGGCTTGATAAATGGCTTGGTCAAGGGACAGAATGGCAGGCAGCTGCCT
Source organism: Homo sapiens (assembly GCF_000001405.40). Lineage (NCBI taxonomy): Eukaryota > Metazoa > Chordata > Mammalia > Primates > Hominidae > Homo > Homo sapiens. The sequence continues at coordinate 40,488,560 of NC_000006.12, read as the reverse complement.
AAGGTGTGGTGGGGACAGGTGGAGAGTTGGTGTGTTGTATACCTGGGACTCAGGTTCTCAGAAGCAAGAGGTCCAGGAAGGCTTCCTGCAGGAGGGAGGCTTGGAGGATAGGTGGGTTGTTTCAGCAGAGGACAGGATCACTTCTCATGGGGGTGCTGGTGCCAGGAAGGAGCAAGGCAGAGGGAATGGAAGATGGTGGGGATGGCGGTGGGGGTTGGGGGGCCAGGCAGGTGGCCAGCAGAGTGGGAGAAGAAAGGTCTGGTCTGGAAGGAAGATTCAGGGCTCCTTGGAACCCCTTCCTTGCAGATTCTGGGCAGGGCCAAGCCACCCATTCCCTGGTGTAAATTCCTCCTGACAGGTGCTCTCCTTGTTTATTTCTGTTCACAGAGTGGGGAAGACCTGTTTCCCTCCCAAGAGCCTATTTATTCTACTTTCTCATTTTCCAATCCAGTGACTTTATGGCCTTTTTTGGTTGGCTTTCGTCTTCCCAACAAAAGAAAATATTCCCTCTCCTTTTCGACCCGTGGCTAGGGAAGAACTGGGGGCTGCTGCTGTGACTGGGGAGCCTGGGGACTGCTATGCTGAGCCCTTACCCTGCCCACCAGCCAGAGGAGTCTGGGGCTTCCACCCCACACCAGGCTCAAGGCTGAGATTGGGAAAGGGGGTTAGGAGGGTTGGGTGATTCTGACTGCTCAGGGGATGCAGAGAAAAAGTAGGATTTGGATGAAAGGCACAGGATACCTCCAGCAGACAGCTGGGAAGGGTGGGCAGCGGCACTCCATGTGGAAATACACAGTGGGCCTGGTAGCTTCCTTTGGTTTCATCCTGACATGTATCTTTTTACACTTCCAAATCCTAGCCATCCCATCCTTGGATTCACTGATGAAACCCATTGACTTTCCCCCATCAGTTTCACAGTTCTTTGGGCTTCCAGCCATCCCTTCTGGTCATCCTTCCAAAAGCCAGAGGCCATGCACCTTTCACAGCTATCTGCCTACCTCCCTTTCCCATCTGCCGACTTTTTCGGGATGTGTGCATTTTGCAGAGATGCAAGGATAGGCTCCATGGAGTTGCCATTTAGTGAGATGAGGAAGGCTGCGGGAGGAACAGGTGTAAGGGAAGAAGCAAGAACTCATTGACGCCCTGCCAGATCTGGAGCACCTGTGAGGCACCCCAGTGGTGATGTCAGTGAGAGTCAAATGGTGAGTCTGGAGCTCAGGTGAAGCCAGGGCTGAGGGCATGAACTTGGGGCTCATTGGCATAAATGATCTACTCACCATAGAACTGGATGACCTCCCCAAGGGAAAGAGAATAGAGAAGGCCAAGAAGGGCCAGAAGCAATTCAACTTTTGCTGAAAGACCAGCAAAAGAGACTGAGACAGGCCTGAGAGGAAGGGGACCCAGAATTAATCCCTGGCATGGCTGGCCCCTGGTGGTCTTCAGACCACTTTACACATTGGTTCATGTCCTCAGGGAACAGACTAGAAAGAACACAGATTGAATCAGGATCCCAACGCCATCCCCTCCCAGGTATGTGACACTGGGCAATTTACTCTGCCCCTCTGAACCACATTTCCTCACTCTGCATCCAGAAGATAAAACCTGTGAACACCTAGTAGCCACACCATAAATGTCAGTTCCCCTTCCCTCCCTACTCTTCCTAAAATAAAACCACTGTGGCATGCATCATCTCAGAAGGAAGTCATACAGCACTTGAGATATGTCTTTAAATACATTATCTTACACTTGCCCACACCAAATCTCATCTGTCACTTCTCTGCCCACTCGTACACACCCTTGTGGGATTCTGTAGCGTATCCCCATTGGCTTGACATTTCATTCCCTCAAAAAACTTAGTGCCATTTGCACATCCCCAGCTTTCACTGCGTAAATCCCTTTTCCAGATGATTTATTAACATTTCAAATGAGGCGGCCTCATCCTAACCATGGGACACTTCTGTTGCTCATTCTCCACCCAGAGAAGTGCCCAGCAAGTTCTCTGACCCTCTACCCATTCCTTACCCAGGCACAGGTCCGCTGAGATGCCCTCCTGCCATCCCCCCAAGCCCATCATAACCCTGAAAGAATCTGCCATAAAGCCCCACTAACTGCCGAATTCCCCAAGGAATCTCTGTACTCCAGGGCTCAGGGGTCCCGCCTTTTGTTACAGATGCATCCAGCTCTTATTGCACAGTCAGGAATGGAAACTCATTAGCCCAGGGGTCTTGAGTTCCTTCTAAGATTACTCATTGGGTGGCTGTTGTATTCCCACTTGATTCTGCTCATCCTCTGTGGACGGCACACTATCTCCCCTCAGACCTCACAATTTCAGTTCATACCAGCCCCACTCCCACTGCCCACTGCCCACACCTGCATCTTTGACTTGAGGGCCTTCTAGACTTACATATTCTTCAAAGGAAAGTACATAGGCCAGAAGGGCCAAAAAATGTATGCCCCTGGAGCAGCCCTCAAACAATGACTGATGGGTACTCTCCTTTCAGCACCCTCGCCCCGCAGGAGGGAGGGGTAGCACTGATGTGAATGTCTCTGCCACCTCTGAGTTCTCCAGTGGGGGCTGAGTTCCCCAGGGGGGCTGAGCTCCAGCTGTCCCTGTTGTAACTAGCTTGATAACACATTTATTAGCTGAGTTCTTTTTCCCTTTTCAGTTCCCCTACTCCCCTCCCAGGTTTTCAAAGTCCACCTCCCAAATAAACTGTGTGCCCTTGAATCTTTGTCTCAGGATCTCCTTCTGGGGGCACTTAAATCAAGACCCGTGGCTGGTCAGCCCATGATAACCAAGTGACCTTGAGCTACAGCTTTCCTTATTTGCCCTGAGTTCTTCCAGGGCTTAAAGTCCAGACGTTGGGTGTACTCTACCTTAATAGTTCTCTCCAGCTCTAAGGAGCAGCCTGGCCTGTTCAAGACCTCGGGGGCACTGAGCCAGAGAATTCTTCTCTATGAGAGGGCATTTCAGAGCCTTGCTGTCGATGTTGGAGGAGTTTATCTTGTCACTAGCTGCATTGTCTGCTGATTTATCTCTGTCCAGGGGAGTGGGGCCCAGCTGCAGACAGCAAACATATTGAGTAAATTTCTAATGAACTGATTACTCAGCTTAGCATTTTAACTGCCACATTAAGCATCCTCTCACCCCCATAAACATGTTGAACTACTGAAGGGATTATGGCTTCCAGGCTGGCCACTCTGTCACTGGGAAAAATTAATCTCCAGATTTAATCAAAGTCAAAACCACAAACTGCAGTAGGGAAGGGGCTTTTTCTCTCCACGATGCCCGGGAGAAGGGGGAAGTTCATAGATTTCCACACTGACTTGGGAGCTACTTTGAGATGTCATCTTGTCCATCCTTCTATGTCTGGGTGTGCACAGACCCACTTGGCTGATAGTTGAACATTTTATACACATGACCTCCCTGAAAAACATCCCTTTTGTAGCTAGAATAATAAACCAAAGAGGAAGTAGGTTAATGATCTTTCTTTCCTACACAAGGTTGGCGTGTGATGACAAACATGAATGCAGAATATTGTGAGTGCCTCAAATCCTTTTTTGGGGTCTCTTACAGTAGTCAAGGCTAGTATTTGACTCTATATTTGAACTCTCATTGCTTCTTCTCAAAACTCTCTGATCTCTCTTGAACCCCATCAGCCTCTGGCTGATCAGGCTGAGGAGCAAGTATGGATGGCAGAGCCCACCTGGGCAACTCTCACCTGGACATACTCTTCAATGTATGAGGGCTAGAGGGGCCTACAAGGACTGCATTCCTCTGAGAGAAGGATCAAATATTGCATTTCGTGGCTCTGAGCTCATGGACTTAGCTTGGACATGCTCCTGTACAGGCCTGGATGATGGGTGGGCAGCAGCTGAGAACAATGGTCTGATATCTAGTTCCTGAGGAATAGATCCCAGGGGTGGGAGTGGAGGAGCATGTGTGGCTCCAGAGAGCCAAGACCCCTGCCCCTCCAAGTATACTCTTAGCGGGATCAGAGTCCAGGGAGCACAGAAGTGCAGTATCTAGGGCCCATCAGACTCCCTGAATCAGGATCTGCTCTTCTCTGGGGTCCCCTGGGTGATTTGTGTGCACATTATGGTGAGAGAGGCACCGGCCTAGGCCTCTGAAGAAGCTGCCAGGAGGGACTGCTTTGGGGCTCAGCGGGTGGGGGCAGGATCCATTGGGGAGTCCTTGCTCCTTAGTTTGGGCCTGCATTAGACAGCTGAAAATTAGAGACTAGCCGCTGATCACACAGCTTGGCAGAGGCCTCCGAAATGAGAGTGCTCAGCTGACCCTGTCTCCTGGATCGGCACCACACTCCATCCGTGTCAGGGCCCGCTGTCTGCTTTCTCATAAATCCTTCCTCCTGGAATGAAACTATTTCCTTTATGATGAGGAGGCAGTTGGTACTGTCTCACTGCTAAGCAGAGGTGACAAGAAGGGCATAGCTAGCTCCTGGCCCTCTGGAGCTGGCATGGGTACACAGAAAGCCCCTCAAGATCCCCTTGGTAAAGGTTTTGCCAAAGGAGACAGCAAATTCTGCCTACTGTGTATGCTAAGACAGCCCGCACTCCTGGCAGGGAGAGGGGACAGAGGCGGCTATTCTCTCTGAGCCAGGAATGCTGACAGGCTCAAGAGGGAGGATGATGTGGTGGGCAGGAGACTGTGTGTGACCTTGAACTTGGAACCAAGGATGCTTTCAGGGATTCAGATGCTCCTCAGGGGGATTTGGGATATAATGTCAGAACCTGTCTCAAAGCCTAACTGAGACCTGAGGGTAAAGGGAGGGAAGGAAGACCTGCTTCCGTCTGGAAGCTGCCAGGTAATCTTCCTTCCCCCTTCTCATGCCCACATCATGGAATTGCTGCTCCTCATTTCCTGCCACTTCTGAGCCTTTGTTTCCCTAGAGATAAAATGGGGACAGCAAGAGTAAGTTCTGCATAGGTGTGAAGTTAAAATTAGATGGGCTGATTTGTGAAAAACTCCTGAAATAGAGACTGGCACACAATAAGTGCTCAATAAATGGATCCGTTGCCATTGTTGTTCTTGTAGCCTCATTGGCTTCCCATCAGAGGTCAAGGCTGTCTCTTCTGCAGATCAAGCACCTCCCACCTCACCTTCCCCAAGAAGTGCTGTGACCCCAGGAAGCACGGGTGAACCCCAAGGTGGAAGCCATTAGGGTGCCACCAACTCTGCCAGCGCAATAGTGGGAAAGTCCAGGAAGGAGACAGAGCAGGGAGGGCAAAGAAACCCAGGTTCAAGGGGAGAGAAGATGGTAGAAGGGAGGATGGAAATGAAAAGCAGAGAGATGGGAAATGGCATCACTCTAACATCTACAGCGTAGCTGGTATTGACACACGTTTTCTATTTTATGCCCCACAACAACCCTTAAAGTAAGTGTTAGGCACCCATTTTGTGGATGAGGAAAGTGAGGTCTGAGAGGTGAAATAACTTGCCAGAGTCAGGCAGCGAGTAAGTGGCTGATGAGTTGTCACAGACTCTTTCTTCTCAACCACCCTGGTGCCTTCTGGGCTTTGGCGGAGGAAGTGAGAGTTCCAAGAACGGGGAGAGGCCAAGGGAACAGAGGGACAGTGGCTGCAGCAGGGACAGGGAGCTGGCAGTGGCGTGGGCACAGCCCCTTAGGCGCCCTAGTCATGTCCGGGAGTCCTTGGCAGGCCTGCACCACCCGGGAGCCCATTACTGTCACTTATCTGCCTGTACTCTGAGTTCCTCTGAAGTCCTCCTCCACTCCAGCCTGAGCCATCCCAAAGAAAGCTGGCCTGGCCAGGAGGGGGAGGCAGGGCCTGGGGTGGAGCTGAGATGGGCAGGGCGAGGGCGGAGGGGTGTGCAGAAGGAGGGCGCAGTGGGGGAAGCTGCTGAGGCTGCTGGAGGGAGCTAAGCGCTGACTTCAGAGGAGCTGGCAGATGTTGCCATGGCAACCACAGACTAGGGACATCTTTGAAAAAGAAAAAAGAAAAAGAAATTTAAAAAAGTTTGGAGGTTTTATTTGCTGTCTTTGTACCCCTTGCCAGAAGGAAAAGTAGAGATCTTGGGGAGTGCTGGAGATGGCTGGGCAGGCAGGTGGGGGTGTGTCAGGGACAGGATTCCCCCAAGGGGAGGATGTGGTTCCACCCCTGAGGATGGTGGAGGCTCCTCCACGTGGTCCCCAGGGGCCTCCAGAACGTAGCATCTTCTCCTGACTCTGGTCCATCCATCTGTGTTCCAGGACCTCTTTTGAGAACCTGGGACCTCTATGGGACTTGTCATCCGGGTCTGGTTCTATTCACGTCCTTCCAAGTGACCAGCAGAGAAACCCTCTTTAGACTTGGGCCCACTGGGAGGAGTGAGTTTCAGAAGCCAAGGTTTCCCATGTTCCATCCTCCCCACCCCTCTCTGACAGTAGCTCCTTTTCTACATGGCAACTGACAATAACACAAAGGGCAAAGGGATACAAGGGCCAGCCCCCATGTCACACTGCCTGGCTGCAGAACCCAGCATCCCTTCTAGCTGCTTGGGCAAGCTAGGTAACTGGTAACTGCTCTGTGCCTCACTTGCCCCCTTGTGAAATGAGGACAATGGCTAGATCCAGCTTACTGTGTTGCTGGAAGGATTAGACGAGTGAACATATGTAAAGCACTTAGAACAGCATCATTGCATGGTCTGGCCTGGTGCTATAGCATTTCAGCAATCTTCAACTTTAGGGCTGTGAAACTGAGGCTTTGGATGACAGGGTTGTGGGACTGAGTCTTCACCCTTCATCTCCTGCCCCCGGGCACAGGAACCTCTCAGATCTGAACACTGCCCTTCTGCTAGCCTAACCTCACCCAGGGAGCATTTGGCACAGTCACTGGGCAACTGGAAGGGACAGGCGAGCCCTATCCTTAGGTCTGCCTTCGTGGACTATTCCCTGGTCTTACATGTACACCAGAATCCTGGGGTCTCAGTTTCTCAAAGGTGCCTTCCATACCCAACAAGAAAAATAAGCAAATTCAAAGCAAACTGATTCTGATCCCCGAGATAGGACTTATCTGTATTGATGAAATTCTGAACCAGGGACTGCTTTTCAGTAAATGGTTTTCTTTTTTCTTTTCTTTCTCTCTTTTTTTTTTTTTTTTTTGAGACAATCTTTTTCTGTTGCCCAGGCTGGAGTGCAGTGGCACAATCTCAGCTCACTGCTTACTGCAACTTCTGCCTCCTGGGTTCAAGTGATTCTCCTGCCTCAGCCTCCTGAGTAGCTGAGATTACAGGCATGTGCCACCATGCCTGGCCAATTTTGTATTTTTTGTAGAGATGGAGTTTTACTGTGTTGGCCAGGCTGTTCTCAAATTCCTGACCTCAGGTGATCCTCCTGCCTCCACCTCCCAAAGTGCTGGGATTATAGACGTGAGACACTGCACTGGGCCCAATAAATGCTTTTCTTCCTTCAAAACTAAAGCCCCCAGAAGATTTACATTCCAGAACAGACCCAGATGCTTGTCAGGGGCCCATCAGCAATTGGTGACTCCCTCAAATTAGCATGGCACTGGTGATTAATATATAAGCATTCTAGAGAGATTCTCTGTGGATGTTTAGCCCAGATTTTTCTAAGCCTTCCCTCCAGATGTATAGGTGACATTATTTTAGGCTCCATCTTAGCTATTATGAATTTCAGAATCATTAGGTTTTGCAGTTAAGTGCCCAGTCAGCAGTCTGATATTCCTTTAAGTCACAAATAATAGCTACCATTTAATGAGCGCTTGTATTCCACCTGGCCCCATATGCGACATGGTGACATGTAATATTGATAAGTCCTAATCACAACCCTCCCTGCAGGCTAGGGATTTATTCTTATTTCCAGGGGAGGCATGTGGGGCCCAGAGAAATAAGAGACTCATTTAAAGCCACACAGCAAGCAGGGCAAGGAGTCAGGATTCAAATCTAAGACTGCCCAGCTCCAAAGCATAATCCCTGATGTACATGGTGGTTAAGAGTCTGAACTCCATTGGGTGTGGTGGCTCATACCTGTAATCCCAGCACTTTGGGAGGCCGAAGCAGGAGGATTCATTGAACCCAGGAGGTCGTGACCAGCCTGGGCAACATAGTAAGACCCCCATCTCTACAAAAATTTAAAAAATAACCGGTGTTCTGGCACATGCTTTTAGTCCCAGCTGCTTCAGAGGCTGAGGTGGGAGGATCATCTGAGCCCAGGGAGGTTGAGGCTGCAGTGAGCCATGATTGTGCCACTGCCCTGCAGTCTGGGTGAAAGAGCAAAACCTCATCTCAAAAAAGAAAGGAAAGAAAAAAGAAAAAAAGCCTGAACTGAACTCCTGGCCAGACAAGTGGAACCAAATCCCAGCTTCATCAATATCTAGCCATGTAAATGGAGCCATCTGGCCTCCATTTCCTCATCTGAGAAACAGGGATAATAATACCCAGTGCTGTATAAAGAGTAAATAAGTTAATATATGCAAAGTTCTTAGAAGAAAGCCTGGTATACAACAAGCATTAAATCAGTGTTCACTTTTATCCTTCCTACTAGGCCATGAGGATTTCGTATAAAGACGTGAAAAGGGGAAATAGATTCGTGTCTGCATTCAAACATCAATTCTCAGGAATCCTTGACATTTTCCTAGAAGTAGGCCTTAGAAAAAAATAACAGGCTTTAAGCCAAAATTATTTTTTCCAAACTTATTTCACAGCAGCACAGATTCTTAGGGCTGGCAGGGCCTTGCGTGCTGGAGAGAAGGAGGAACGTGGCCCAGGCTCCATCCTGGCATGGTCTTCAAACCCCCAAATGGAGCCCATGCCTTGTAGGTGGGCTCTGTGGTGACGACAGGGGAGCCAGCGGCCCTGAGCCCCAAGCCAGTCCTGCCACGAACTTGGCTGGATTCCTGCTGAGTCTCAGCTTGCTTATCTAGAAATTGAGGATCTTCCTTCACGTTGTTTTAGCAAAACCCACTCAGGATTATGCTTCTCCCAGGAAAGGGGACCACAGCAGGAAAGAGACGGGAGGGAGGCTCCTGGAAATTTTAGAAAGTGAGACCCAGAAGGGATCTTAGAAAGTTACTTAGTGGTAACTTAGCAGAAGTAGCTTAGCTGCTCCCCATTTTACTGATAAGGAAACTGAGGCCCCAGTGAGAGAAAGCGACTTGTCTAGTGTCAGAGCTGGCACTAAAACCCTTGTGCCTTGTCTTGTAGGGCCAGTGCCCATGGCACTGCAGCCACTGTCAGCTCAGGAGTGGGAAGCCCTCTTCTGAGTGGTGGTTGCTATGACTAGGCTGGAGGACAGGGAGTCTCCCCAAGTGTGCTTTGGCAAGAGGTTGGGAGAGACATCGCTTCTATTAATTGTGATGAAGATGATGGTGATAGCTGTAACTTATTGAGTGCTGGGTACCAAGCATTCTAAGAGCTTAATATTCACTTAACCTCCTGCGGTAGGAACCATTATCATCTCCCTTTGCAATGAGAAAACTGAGGCACAAGGAAGTGAAGCAAATGCCTAAGGCTTTCTATCTGGTTATGTGTGGGAACTTGGTTTTAAGCCAGACAAAATTTCCGAACCTGTGCCTCAACTATTTGCCTATACCAACTCCTCAGAGTATAATTTTGTACATTTCCAGTCCCTAGAAGCCCAGAGAAGGGAGTGGTGCTAGATTCAATTCAGTTTAACTTCTTTAGTTTATTTGTTGAAACCTACCATGTGATCAGCTGGATAGCCAAAACCACTAGCTGGTTCCAAATTAAATGTATCAATAGAAAATGTATTTCAGAATGTGGCCTCACACACTACACATATGTGCATGTGTGCATACACACACATACACACATGCACATATTGGAAAGGACTGAGAGCATGGTCAGACAGGAAGGAAACCAAATTCAGGATGCCAGAGTACCTAGCTCAAGCCCTGGCTCAGCTACTGACCAACCCTGGGGTACTCAGCAGGTTAATTCACCTGCTCTGTGAGGGGTGGGCTGTCTATACCATTCACCCTTGGATCTCCAGTTGCTCTCACTCCATCAGTGAATGGATTATTTCCTCACTGCTGCTTTCCAGCTGTGTGACTGTGGGCAAGTTGCTCAACCTCACTGTTCCTCAGTTTCCCCCATGTGTATAATAAGGATACTAATTGTACTTACGGGGCTGTTGCAAGGATTAAATGAATGTATAAGGGGCTTAGAGCTTGGCACAGAGTAAACATATACAAATATTAACCATGGTGGTGGTGATAATGGTGGCAATTAATATTATTAGCACTTTTTGTCTATTTGTAATTTGTAAAATGGGCCAATAATAGCATTGGTCTCCTAGGGTTATTCTGAGGACCAAATAAGATGATAGCACAGAGTATGGGCTCAGACCCCAACTCAGGGGTGGAGACAGGAAGAGAAAGCATGTACAGGGCAGCAGGGCACACAGCCATTCCATCTGAGAGGAAGAGGATGGCAGCAGGGGTGCGTCCTGGCATAGCAGGGGACAGGACATTACATCCCCTGGTGCCGGCTTATCCCTGTGGCTTCCCGCCCTGATGCTGCCACTTTGCACATGTGATCCAATCAACTGTCTCTTTAATTATGACACGGAGGAGAAGCCACAAACAGGTTTACCATATTCACGGTTTGCTGCGTCTGTGTTACATCCGGTGTGCATGTAAACAACATCTTGTGGCATTGTCTGATAAATTAAACATCTCTCCTTCCCGAGCTTGGAGAGGAGCGTCGGGTCTCTAAAGAGGGGCACGGATGACTCACCACCATGGCGCTAAAGAGCTTTGCCTGCAGCTCTTTCAGCAAAACACTCTGGAAGGAGCAGGGAGGGGAGAACGCGCTTCCAGCTGGGGTCTCTTTCCTAGGAGGAGACAAGTGGGACAGGATGTGCCCAAAGCTGGCTGCTTAGCTGAGGCCACCAGGGAATTGTTACTGAGGGAAATGGAGCTAACTCTCGCCCATTCCTGCAGCGCCTGCTGGGAAAGCAGGTGATGTGCTGGGAAAACATGCACTCAGCGCCATTCTGGAGCCTCATTTGACCCCTGCCCCAGCCCACCAACAAATCTTTATTGAAAGAACCTGATTTATAACTCACTGTGGCCATCCACTGGCTGTGTGACCTTGTGAAAGACACCTAACCTCTCTGGGTTTTGGTTTTCTCATGGGACCACAGACAACGTAGATAACCTTGTTGAAAGCAGGCAGCCAGGTGTCACCATCCCTTGAGATCCCCATCAGCTCTAGGAGCCATGACCTCTTCCCAGCCAGCCTTCGAGGAGAGCCCTTGACTCAGGAGATGAGCCAAAACTAAGACATCATGAGAACAAAAGGCAGACACTTCTAATTAGAAAACCACCACCAACATGAGTTACTTCCACCCCTCTGATCATCAGACTCACCTGAAGAGCCTTTTAAAAAATATCCAAAATACTCTGGGTCCCATTCCCAGAAATCCCGATGTAATTGATCTGCTGGAAGCCAGGCACTGAATTTTGTAAAACTCCTTGTAAGTCTAATATGTGGTTGGGATTGGAGACTGCTGACCTAGATAATCCATTTCCTGATCATCAAGAGTCGAAGGTGAGTTTAATTAAAGGAGAAGGTGGGAAGAGACTCTGGGGAACTAGATGCCTAAGCTACTTTGTAGCAGGCCTGAGATATTCCTTGGAGTCCAGCCCAGGCAGGCTGGAAATAGGATGCCACTCCTGATTCTACTTGCCAGTGAGTGTGAGCCGGACTGGGGCAGAAGATGTCCATTGGGCCACCAACATCCGAGGCCTGTTCTGGGCTGTGGGTCACGCCTGCTCTCAGGATTGCCCCAGTGTGGTGGCGAAACAGCCAAGTAAAGTGACGATGAGAGGAAGGCATTGTATCCTCTTCCCATGGAGCCTATGCTGGGAATTAAGGGGAGCAGGCAAGTGGAGAGATTAACTCTGTCTGGAAAGTTATAAAGGAGGGCTTCTAGAGACCAAGAGTGTTGAGCTTTGAAGGGTGTATACAAGTTTGCCAGGTGGAAAGCAGGGAATGGGAAACAGCAAGTTTGACCTAGGGGCTACCCCTGCTAACTCAGCACCTATGGGGTTCCCCGTGTACCCAGCTCTGCACCAGGCATTGCTGGAAGTATGGATGGGTGGTGATGCATACACACAAGAGAATGTGGGCCCTGCCTTTCTTACAGTGAGGTTGGGGAGACACAGGTTCAAAGGGAATTCAAGACGGTTTCATACAAAGAGAATTTCTAGTGGCAGCTCCTAATACATCTGTGTTATCAAAGAAAGTTTCTTGGAGGAGATAAGTCTGGAGAAACGTAGCGGCAGACAGAAGGCAGACACCAGCCCAGATAACTTCAATAAATGTGGGGAGGGGGAAAAGGCCTTCATACTTTATAATCCAGGTTCTGGCATGGCCCTGAGTGTGGATGGGGCATGGAAGGCCCAGTCTGACTAAGGTACAGGGTTGTGGCATGGGCTGAACGGAATCAGGCCAGGCTGGAGCCCAGTAGGAAGGGGCTTCCTAGGCCACGCTGGGCCCATCAGACACAATCTAGCCTGGACTACATTCATCCTTATACCAATGCAACCATAACATATAGCTTTTAATATATATTTTAAGGAGGAAAGAAACTAAAGGAAAGTCACACCACCACTCTAGGGCAAAACACTTGGGTGGGATTCTAAATCCTTGGATGCTCTTTCAGGTCCTACCTTTAATTAGCTGTGCATCCTTGGCCAATTCACCCATCCTCTCTGAAGCTCAGTTTGCTCTTCTGTAACCTGGGAAGGGTAGACCCATCTCACAGGCAGCACATCCCAGGAGCATTGTCAGCCTGGACTACATCAAGCATGGTGCCCCCTGGAATTGTACAAGGTGGAATGGCCAAGAGTGAGAAGTCGACAGAGTAGGAAATGTGAAATTGCTTTAAAAGCAGCTGTGAGAAGAGCTTAGTTTTAGGGGAAGGGATGAGGGCTCCCTTCCTCAGCCTCATCATCCCCATTCCATGTACATCATAACATATCTTTCCACTGAAACAAAAACAACTTCTCAGTTTCCAGTGCTGATGGCACAACCTATAGAAGCTGTCTGTGCACCCCTTGAGCACACATCTCATGACACCCCACCAGCCCCTGAGGCCTGGGACCTCGTTTTGCCCTCCCCACACCTTCCTCGCCTGCACACACACAGCTTAGCATCATACAGACGGTGCTTGTCTCTAGTACGGAGTGGAATCCCTCCCAAGCCATCCCCCAAGTCCCTCCTTTTCCATTTTTCCTCCAGGGGCCCTACTGGGCTCACATCCTTGTCTCTCTTCCCTGCGATGCTCTCAAGGTCTGGCTGCCATCTCCAAGCAGAACCGCTGCATCAATTGTCCTTTGTTGTACTTCAGTTGGTCAAACACATAGGCTCAGTGCTGGTGCCCAGGCTGCAGCTGGCTTGCTATGGAGCAAGGGTCCTCTGCCCCATCTCAGAGACTTTGGGGCCATACTGACCCCTGGAGGCTCCTCCTGCACATATGGGGTGCACTGTGGCTGTTTACTCATGAAGCCCTAGTCTCCGACAACCATAAGAGTGAGTGTGGCTGGGGCTGTCTCTTCAGGACCACCCTTGGGATGGTTGAGGTCATTGTCCTTGAAGACCCAGAAAAGCACAGGGTTTTCTAGCATCATTTTCTTGTTTTAAGAAACAGAAGCTGGAACCAAAAGAGTGTTTGTGATGGAATAGCAAACTCCAAATGATAATTTCACTTGGAACCTTAGAATATGACCTTATTTGGAATAAGGATCTCAAAATGAAATCATTATGGGCTGGGTGCAGTGACTCACAACTGTAATCCCAGCACTTTGGGAGGCCAAGGTGGGAGGATCACTTGGGGTCAGGAGTTCAAGACCAGCCTGGCCAACATGATGAAACCCCATCTCTACTAAAAATACAAAAATTAGCCAGGTGTGGTGGCATACCCCTCTAATCCCAGCTACTTGGGAGGCTGAGGTAGGAGAATTGCTTGAACCCAGGAGGCAGAGGTTGCAGTGAGCCCAGATCGTGCCACCGCACTCCAGCCTGGGTGACAGAGTGAGACTGCATCTCAAAAAAACAAAACAAAACAAAACAAAAAATAAATGGATTAAAGTAGGCCCTAAATCCAATGCTAGTGTGCTTATAACAGACAAAAAAGGAGAAGAGACAGGCACAGAAAAGACAGCCATGTAAAGACAGAGGCAGAGACTGAAGTGATCCAGCTACAGCCAAGGAGCACCTAGGATTTAAAGGAGCCACTAGAAGCTGGAAGAGGCAAGGAAGCAATCTTCTCTAGAGCCTCCTGAAAGAATATGGGCCTGCTGACACCTTCATTTCAGAATTCTGGCCTCCAGACTATGAGAGGGTAAATCTCTGTTGTTTTAATCCACTCAGTGCATGGCTATTTGTTATGGAAGCACCAGGAAACAAATACACAAGGCTCTCGACTTACCTGAGAAGGTGCCCAGGTTTCCCCCACTATACCTATTAGACCCTGTGGGCCTGCCTGAAAGCCCCACATCTAAAAAAACAACGACCCTAAGACCATTTTGCATGACTGTGTTCCTGCTGTGTGCCAGGAACACCTGGGTGTTTGCATTCCGGTGAGTGAGGAGGCATGTGTGCGAGGCAGTGTGTAATAGTGGTTAAGGGCATGGTGGGTCCAGGCGGCCAGTTTTTAGTTATGTATCCCTGGGTAGGTGATGTAACTACTCTGCCTCAGTTTCCTCACTGGTAATATAGGGATGATATGTTCTCACTCATAAGTGGGAGCTGAACAATGAGAACACATGGATACAGGGACAGGAACATCATACGCCGAGGCTTGTTGGGGGTTGTGGGGCAAGGGGAGGGAGAGCATTAGGACAAATACCTAATGCATGTGGGGCTTAAATTCTAGATGATGGGTTGATAGATGCAGCAAACCACCATGGCACATGTATACCTATGTAACAAACCTGCACGTTCTGCACATATATCCCAGAACTTAAATAAAAAACAAAACAGGGATGATAATAGTAATGCCCACCTTCTGGGGTGTTGTGAGGGTTTAATGAATTAGTATCTATAGCACCCTGGGAACCATGCCTTGTCCTCTGGAAGAGTTGGCCATGACCATTTCCCCCAATGACTGGGAGTGGAAACGGAGGCCTGGGGGGCTATGTCACATCCCCAACATGGCTAGAAGATGGCTGGGCTGGAGTTTAAACCTAGGTTTTCTTGACTTTGAAGCAGAGGCACTTTCTAGTCTGACACACGCTGTCTCCTTTTCGGGAGCTTCCTGGAGACATGACATTTAAGCTGGGAGGAGGCAGGATGCTACCTGAGACGCTTCACAAGCAGTCTGGCTGAGGCGTGGCAACTGGGAGCTGCTTGTCAGTTTATAACCACCCCTCCTGGCTGCCATCCAGTAGAGTGGGGCCCTGGAGTTTGGCTGGGGCCCAGAAGATCACCTATCTTGGGGAGCAAGAAGGTAAGAGGAGGGATCTGGAGGCGTGGGAGAAGAGATGTGAGCTGGATCCCGAGAGGCAGGGATGAGGCAGGTGTGTATTTTGTGTCCCCTGTTCCAGCATCTCGCCCAATGAGACCCATTTCCGAAACAGCCAGAGAAACAGGTGGTTCAGGAGCTCCTGACGGATGCAGCCCCGAGTGAATGAAGGGTGTGAATGCCAGGGTGGGAGAGACAGAGATGGGAGGTTCCAAGCCAAGGAGAAACACACTCACTGAAAGTTCAGAGCCAATACAATGCAGTTTAGGGAATGACATGGTGCCTACATGTCAGCCTGCCAAGGTGCCTGAAAGGTGAGGCAGCAGGTGCAGGCAGGAGAGAGGCCTGGGGAGAAAGGGTATCAGCATGTCAAATGCTGCTCAGAGTCAGGTCACATCCAGGGCTCCCGTAGGATCTCCCTGGAAGCATAGGATGCAGCTTCTGAAGTGGCTTGAGCCACACCAGCATCAGGAGGAGGGAAGTGCACAAATCCAGCTCGGCTTACACGGGGTGAATCTGAATGCTAGCAGGTGGCGAGGGTTACCCCACAGGCCCCCCAAGGTCATTTGGCAGGATGCCCGGGAAGGCTTATTAGGCTGAAAATGCCCAAAGCAGCTTCTCTGCTCTCTGCACTCCTAAATCCTCCCACTTCTTCTGAGTTGCTGCTGTGGCCAACAGCAGAGGGTCTTCAGATGCCAACTCAGCCTACAGAAAAGTGAGAAGTTCAGGCAAGCAGTGAAAAGTGTTGCGAGAATAAATCTGCAGACTCCTGGTTTTTTCAAAGCCCCACCTGCTGTGGGTTTTGATGGAATCGACCAATTGTCTTGACCTGGAAACACCTATCCAGCTCTGGGGAGGAAGCCAAATAAGAGAAACTGAAGGGGCTGGAGGGAAGGTGGAGGGAAGATGAGGAGCAGAGACAGAGGGAGGGGACAGTGCAGGGGTTGACCGGGGAAGAATTCAAGTTTCCTATAAGTACAACCTGATTGTCTTTATTTCCGTGCATGTGCACACACACACCGGGGAGCTCATGTTTAGGACCCTGCAAGTGGGGCTGGGGCATCTATTTGTTATTGGGTAATGCAAGTCACTGGGTCCCTGTGACTGGGCCCTCCAGCATTTGGGATACCTGGGGCATGAGGTTCACTAAATAGGTGTGAATAAATAGGCCCTCGCTGCTTCTGGGCACTCAGGCACCCTCTCAAGGGGCTTGCTTTGCAGTGTTGGGGTCCCCTGCTTACCCTCTTCCTTCAGGGAACTATATATCTGGTTGTGGGTATGTGGCAAGTCATCCCAGAGAAGGCACCTCTCTTAGTGTAATACAAAGTGAAATCCTTCCTGGCTGGTCTGGAGGATGGATACTGGTCTGAGTGGCCTTTCTGGTTGTGCAATCAGAATGAACAGGTACTTGCAGTATTAACTCATTCCATCCTCACTGCAACGCTTTGAAGGCAGCACTGCCATTGTCATCCTTCTAATATAGTATTGGAGTTGGGGGTGGCTGCAGTGAGCCACCCCAGGTAGCTCCACTCCTCAAAAGCAGAGCAGGAATTTGAACCGGGCCAGCTGGCTCTAGGGCTGAACGCTCAACAGCATGCCACACCACCTCTCCCAGGGCAGTTCAGTGTGTACTGGGGAGAGATTTCAGCAGTCGGTGTGACACTTTGCAGAGCTCCCCATGGCATGACAATATGACAGCATCCCTGAACCGTGGCAGCCTAGCCTTTGCTTGAACACATGCAGTGACAGCCTACTCATTACTTTGCCAGGAGACTAGAGCCATCCATCTTCCCATGGTTTGGATTTTGGGAAAAGTCATTTGGAAGTTGAGCCCTAAAGTTGCCTTCCTGTACCTTCTACCCTGGCTTCAGTTCTGGAGCCGGTAAGAAGAGCCCCATCCCCTTTCCCAGACACTCTCAGATATCTGCACATCAGCCTCATCCGTACCCCTGCCAGCAGCCTTGGATTGAACAAGCTTGTGGGCCCCTGGCCCCCTCAGCCCTTTTTCTTTCTCAGCCACTGCCCCCCACGCCCCTCACCTATCAGGCCCAGACCAGCTGGACACACCCCGATGTACCAACATCCTTCTCAGCCTGCTGTCCCCAAGGTTGGGTGTGACCCTGCCACTCCTGGTCCTTGCAATCCTCCGTAGGATGAGGGATTAACTCAGGGATCTCTGACATTCCAGGCATCTGTGGTGCAACCACCCACCCTATGTCCTGACCCTGTCTCTTATGCTCCATCCCCACCCCTGGTGTTCCCCTGGAGGTGGGTCCAGGCCCAGCAGGTGCCTGTGTTGGATGTGAATAGTGAGGACAGCAGCAGGCAATGCAGGAGCTGAGGCAAGGGGAAGCCAGGTGGGCTGAACCTGGGGCCTGGGGTGAGAGGGGCTCACCACTGGCTGCTCTGCCTTCCCAGCTCCTCTTTCCATCGGGGAATTCCTCTGAGAGCAGGTAGAACACAGCCTATTTTTTTTTTTTTTGAGACAGAGTCTTGCTCTGTCACCAGGCTGGAGTGCAGGGACACGATCTCAGCTCACTGCAACCTCCACCTCCTGGGTTCAAGCGATTCTCCTGCCTCAGCCTCCCAAGTAGCTGGGACTACAGGTGCATGCCACCATGCCCAGCTGATTTTTATATTTTTAGTTAAGAAGGGGTTTCACCATGTTGACCAGGATGGTCTTGATCTCCTGACCTCGTGATCTGCTCGCTTTGGCCTCCCAAAGTGCTGGGATTACAGGCGTGAGCCACTGCGCCCAGCCACACAGCGTCTTAAATTGTTAATTAAATGGAAAACACTTGGCTCCATTTCTCTGTGGGTTCTATTACCTGAGCAGGTGTGGAAGGAGTGGGCATTGTGTTTTCTCAGATGCACCCAGCCCATGACTGCCTGTTTCCCCAGCCCACATGCCTTGGGGAGCCATGTTGGCTTGGCAAGTGGGGTTCTGCAGGCAGGATGGGGAGATGTGTGGCAGGTGAAAAGCAGACCCAGACATGTGCTTTAGGTGCCAAGGGGCCCATGATCACCCAATGTGATGCTCTAGAAAGACAAATCCACCAGTGGGAATTCAAAAGGAAGGGACTGGCTCCGGGTTACAAGTCTGTCCCTCTGCTCCTAAGTGGACACTGTGGTTGGTGAGGACCCAGCTGTGGGTAGATGACTAACTCCCAGCATTAACTACAGAGATGAGTAAAGTGATGGTTTACAGGGTGTGTGCAGGGTAGAGGGATGTCCTGGTGCAGCTCTTGGGGGGACAAGGCAGGAGCAGCACCATTTTTAAGGCTATTAGGGTAAGGGAGGGAGGGACACAGAGCTGTAGTTCATGAGAGAGGCCAGTCAGTGAGAACTGGAACCCCGAAAGGCCCCTGCCAGGGCCTCTATGAAGCAGGTGGGTTTGTGGGACTGCAGCAGATATGCCCTGACCTGGTTCTCTGTCCATCCTCCAATCTCCTATGAGTGCCTTCCAGTGACCAAACCCAAGAGCCAGAGGGAAGGAGAGCCTGAGAAATGCAATGGAGATGATGGTTGGATATACTAAGCTCATTATGGGATGACTCTCCAGAATCAGACATGGGGTGGAGGCTGCCTTGCATACTGTCCCACCCATCTAACCCTGAGCCCTGCTCGTGGCCTTTCTCAGTGGACTAACAGGCCCTACTAGCCCAGGATAGGAGGTTTCCTGTCCAAAGATGATGGTTGGATCGCTTTCTGGGACATCTGCAACAAATGACCACAAACCGGATGGCTGGATGGCTTAAGCCAACAGAAATATGTCCTCTTATAGTCCTGAGGGCCTGAAGTCTGAAACCAAGGTGCTGGAGTCACACTGCCTCTGAAGGCTGTAGGGGAGAAGCCTTCCTTGCCTCTTCTAGTTTCTGATGACTCCGGGTGTTCCTTGGCTTGTGGCTGCCTCATTCCAACCCCTGCCTCGGTCATCACATGGCCTTTTCCCCTCTCTGTGTGTCTTCCCCTCCTGTGCCTCTTATAAGGGCATTTGTCATGGGATTTAGGGCCCACCCGGGTAATCCAGGACAATCACATCACCTTAACTAAATTACATCTGGAAATACCCTTTTTTTAGATAAGGACACATTCACAGGTTCAGGGATTAGGACGTGGATATACCTTTTGGGGGGCCTCCATTCAACCCACTACAATGGTTATCTCAGATGAGCTCCTGTCCCTCCTCCTGTCCCCTGCATGCCACTCACTGCACTTCAAAATTGACCGGGAGGATACATAGGGCCGACATGATTCCCATTTTACAAATGAAGCCAGAAAGGAGAAGAGACATGCATGAGGAGATGGGGTAAGGGGCAGAGGTGGAACAGGAGCTCAGCTGCCTGTCATTCTCCTGCCACGTCCTCCCACCACCTCACAGGCATGGATAAGCCCCCATGCTCCTTCAGCACCTCTATAACTGCCCATTCATATTGTTTTCACTGGGTACTGTTTTTCCTCTTTGAACTTCAGGCCCCCAGATCTGGTTTAATCTCACTACTCTTTGCGCTTCACATAACCCACTTTTATTACAGTTTTCTTTAGTAATGGAATAAGTGCACACAATCCCACCACCCAAAACAAAAGCTTGGCTGTGACCTACATCTGAGCCCAGTTCCGCCCATTCAAACACCCCTTCTTCCCCAAAGGAATGATTGCTCTCACTGATTCCTTTGCTTTCCATTCTGTGTGGTTTTAATACATCCCTTTCTTATCATGTTTTTACTGGGGCCGCACCCCATGCTGGACACAGATCGCAGAGATGGTCAAGGCAAGTTCTGACAGCTAATGAGGCCTGGATCATCTAGTGAGAGCATTACCGGGACCTCCCAGTGCTTGTGGGTGGGGAAGAAGGCAGTGAGGGCCAAGGACTTGTTCACCAATTGCTTCTGACACTAGCCTGGGAATTCCTGGAGTTCAGAGCCCAGGTTCAGAAAGGTTCACCTCTGAGTCCCCACAGCCCACCCCAGAGCAGGTGCCCAATAACCAAGTATGGAATTAATGACAGAAGAGTTTTGGGAACCCCCGTCCTGGGTGAATAGGGCCTGTTCATCCACTTAGGAAGGTCATGAGCAGGGACTGGAGCTGGATGAGTATGTCCTGTCAGATATGGAAATTCCTGAAGCAGAGGCTGTCTACCCTCATTAGACTGGAGACTGCCTATGACAAGGACTAGGTCTCTTCCATCATACTAGGAGACACAGGAAGTCATATTTGGCTCCTCTGTCTGATTGGAGCACCCTAAGGCTCAGATTTCTTTCATCTAATAGGTCATTCTGAAATTAGAGGCTGTTTCTCTCCGTTGAGTAAGAGTCCCCTGAAGACAGGCTATATCTCCTCCATCAGATTGGGAAATAATGAGGCCAGACTCAGAACCTCCCATGGCCGAGGCTAGGTCTCTGTCAAAGAGAGAACAGCTGGTTTCCTGTCTCCTGCCATGGAGATGTCCTTGATCAATGCCCAGGCTCTCTGGAACTTCCTTGTTTTTTCTTCTTACCATTCAGGTTGCAGATAGCTCACCTGTAAAGCCCTGTTGTATTGCTACTCTGGACTTTGCCAAGAGTCACTAACTGTGTCCCTCAGACACTGTCTCCATGTCTGTGCCACTGAGATGTGAGCATGGCTGAGCTGTGGAGGGAGCGCAATTGGAGGAGGGGATGTCACCTCCTCTGATTTAGGTCTTGGCTCTAGCTCAGAGCCTGCTGCAGTATCTGCAGGCTGAGTCCAGCCTCCAAGGACACAGGCAGCTGGGCCTGCCCCAGACAGGATCTGGAGAAAGCTCTCCCCTCAGTTCATCAAGTGATAGAAAGAACAGTAGGGACCTAGGAAGGAGGACTAATGGGAGGGGGAAAGGGCCTCATTTTTGAAACACACACACACACATCATCATCATCATCATCATCATCATCATCATCATCATCATCTCATTCAACTTTCCAAATACTGAGATAAGTGTATTACTTTGCTAGGTCTACCAAAACAAAAACAGGTGGTTTAAACAATACAAATTTATTTTCTCACCATTCTAGAGGTTATGAGCCCAGATCCAGGGGTCGGCAGGGTTGGCTTCTTTTGAGGCCTCTCTACTTGACTTGTAGGTGGCCGTCTTCTCCCTCTGTCTTCCCATGATTTTTCCTCTGTGTGTGTCCATGTCCATACTTTTACTTCTTTTAAGAATACCAGGCACATGGGATTACGGCCCCATATATATGACTTCATTTTACCTTAATTATTTCTTCAAGACTCTTACCTCCAAATACAGTTATATTTCTCAGGCACTTGGGCTTAGGATTTCAACATACTTATGAATTTTGGCCATATTCATCCTATAACAATAAGTAAAGCACACGTTGTCCTCATTTTACGGCTAAAAAATTAAGGCAGGGACAGAAGTGACTTGCCTGGGGTGACTTGCATAGGGATGAAGAAGTGGAAGTGGATTGGAGCACCATCTACCTCTAAATCTCATGCTAGGTCCAGCCCAGGATGCTGTATCTTTGTCCTCTGGCGGGAACAATTCTGGTAGACTCTTGAGTGGGGGCCTCTCCTTTCTGCCTGTATCATCTCATGATGGAAACCCCTGCTTATACTAGACATTACTGGATGCTAATGGCTGTCTTTCAGGTGGGTGTCCTTGCTCTACCTATAACATCAGGGGATCTTTAAAAATGGGACTGAGACTCTTCCCTCCAGTGAAGGGCTCCCTGGGACCAAGCTTCATTTCCCCATCTGGAACCTCCCCTAAAATTGCAGAAAGATGGCCTGGCAACATCTGGGTGACCTTTGCTTAACGCATTTATAGGTTCTCCTGCTTTTCCCTCCCTTTATCCTTGCTGCCTGCTCCTTGGGGTGATCTGGTCATCTTGCCTTAAGGTCATAAAGTATCCAAATGTCAGGTGGGAATGGACCTGCAAAGGTCATCCTATTTATTACATCTCCTGGACTCTCTTGCAGATAATTATCCCATGATCTCAGACCCCAAAGAAGTGCTCGGTGGCTAATGAAAGAGAGAGTCAGTAGCTGAGAGCCTCAAGTCTTCCCTTGCTGTACCACTTTCTCTTTCTTGCCATATTCTAAGTAAACCCCTGGTAGACTGTAGGGCCTTAAGAGGATTGCCTTCTGTCACCACTACTGCCTTGTTCTACCAGTTACCGTCTCCACCCCCACAACCTTTTCTTTTCCAGGTTAAAGCCTCCCTTCCCCTCCAGGAACTTACCTGAGGGCAGCAGTGGCAAGTTAGAGGTCACTGCTGTTCTTCTCTGGGTGGACAGTGTAAGCCCACTGCTGCTCAACCTCTGTTCCATCCCATCCCACCCTCCTCACTCCTGGTATTGTGGGGTATCTCTCCAGTCCCCAAATTCCCAGAAATTTGATCCTCTTGGGAACATCCTATGTTGTTCAAGGATCCTGAAGCTGTCAGGTATCAGATCTGAGTCAAATCCTACATGGGTCAGGAGAGCCCAGGTTTTTGTGGTCAAATATCTCCCTGTTTTCTCCAATTAATTAATATCTTATGTTGGATTTTCCCAGAAGTAAACCAAGTCAGGATCTGAGAGTAAGAAGTTTATCTGGGGGTGACTTCAAGAGGCATTGATAGAGAAGTAAGGAAGTGAGAGCAGGAAGGGCAAGAAGCCAATATGGGGCTGCTCATAAGCAAGTCACTGATTTGAACACCTGAGACTCATGTTTCCTGGAGACTTCCAGGAGTGCATTAGTTTCCTGTTGCTTCTGTAACAAGTTATCACAAAATTGATAGCTTAAAATAACAAATATATGATCCGACGGTTCTGTAGTTCAGAAGTTCAAAATGGGTCTCATTAAACTAAAATCAAGGTACTGGCAGAGCTACATTCCTTTCAGGGGGCTCTAGGGTAGAATATGTTTCCTTGCTCTTTCTAGCTTCTAGAGGCTGCCCACACTCCTTAGCTTATGACCCCATCCCTCAAAGCCAGAAACAGTGGGTCTAGTTCTTCTCACATTGCATCACTCTGACCTTGTCACCTCCTTCCCTCTTTCATATTTAAGGACCCTATTGATTATATTGGATGCTCCCAGGATAATCCAGCATAATATTTACTTTACAGTCTGCTGATTAGCAACTTTAATTATATCTGCAACCTTAATTCCTTATTGTCATGTAACCTCACATATTCATAGGCTCTAGGGATGAAGATGTGGACATCTATAAAGGGCCATTATTCTGCCTACCACAAGAGATTGTGTAGATTACACCTGAGAGTCATCCTACCCAAAGGGTGAGAAGGCTGGGGTACTTATTCACCAGCTCCCATCCGAGATTGGTTTGGAGTAGGGGTTGAATAACTCTTCTGCATTTTTGACCTGTCTTCCATAGCCCACTGACTCTTGTGGCCACGGAAGGCAGAGTCACATGTGCTTGGGGCAGGAAGCCCTCAGAATGCATGGGAATGGTGGACATTGAGGGGTGTGAGTGAGACACCCAACAGAGTCTGCTTGTCTTAGTCCTTTTATGCTGCCATCACAGAATACCTGAGAGTGGATAATTTATAAGGAACAGAGATTTATCTCTTACAGTTCTGGAAGCTGAGAAGCCCAAGGTCAAGGGGCTTGCATCTGACAAGGGTCTTCTTGCTGCATCATCCCATGGCTGAAGTGGGGAGGGGAGTGGACAACTAATTCTTTTATCAGGAACCTACTCCACCATAACAGCATTAATTCATCATAACCTAATCACCTTAAAGGTCCCAACTCTCAACATTGTTGCATTGATGATTAAGTTTCCAACACATGAACTTTAAGGCATACATTCAAACCATAGCACTGCTATAATTAATTAATCTATTGATTCATCAGAAATATGAATGGTTAGGCCATGTTTTGCACCAGATCCTAGTGAGAAAATAATGAAAAACACACCAGTCCTTGCTTTGGAGGGTTTCACAGTCTAAAGGAAAGAATAGACCCATATGAAATCATTATAATGCAGTGTGGTAAATGTAGTGATAGAGACCTGAGCTGGGAATTGGTGGAACACAGTCTAGAATGGGGCTAAGAGACAGAACAGAAAGGACTTCCTGCAGAGTAAAGTCCGAGTTAACACTGAAGGACATTAGGAGTTGGCCAGGTAAAGGCAGGTCATTGTTCAAGGTGGAAAGGAGGCATGAGCAAATACACATGGATAAGAAATGGTGTGATGGCATGAGCCCAGGAGTTCAAGACCAGCCTGGGCAACATGTTGAAGCCCTGTTTCTACAAAAAATACAAAAATTTAGCTGGGCACGGTGGTGCATGCCTGTAGTCTCAGCTACTTGTGAAGCTGAGGTGGGAGGATCACTTCAGCCCAAGAGGTTGAGGCTGCAGTGAGCCGTGATCGTGCCACTGCACTCCAGCCTGGGTGACAGAGTGAGACCCTGCCTCAAAAAAAAAAAAAAAAAAAAAAAATAGAAAGAAAGAAATAGTATGATGTATGCAGGGAAATGCAGGGAACATGGAGTGGAGTAAGTATCACTGCTCACTTAAAACTCTGGGCAGAGAAGGGTAGAGATTCCGCTAAAGAGCTGGGCAGGAATGTGGTTGTGGGACACTAGCACCCATTGGAAGATGTTCAAACACCACCTTGGAGCAAATGGGAAAAGTTTTTGAGCCAGGAAAGAATGTAGCCAGAGTAGTATCATTGTTAGGTCCCTCTGTCCACAGAGTGGAAAAAGGATATGAAATACTGAAACTAGGAGCAGGGGAGATTAGTCAGGAGCTATTGCAGCAGTCCAGGGGAGAGATAAAGAGCCTCCAAATTAGCATTCTGGTTGCAGAGGTAGAGAGATATCCAAGGGCAGCTCTGTTTGTAGACAAAATACTATTATATAACTTAGGACAAAGTATGACTTTGAGTGACAGAAAATCCAAACTGTACAATAGAAGTTTATTTTCCTCTTATATAAACTCTAACTAGGTGGTCCAAGCTCCTTGCACCTTATTACCCTGCATGTCTTTCACTCCCAAATCCACCTTATGGTTCAAGATGACCACTGCAGCTCCATCTGTCACATTCACATTCCAGCCAGCAGGAAGGAGATGAGGGAAGAGCTCAACCCTTCCTTTAAGGACACTTCCTAGAAGTTGTCTATACCTTTACCACTTACACTTCATTGGCCAGAACTTGGCCACATGGCTACACCTAGTTGCAAGGGAGGCTGGGAAATAATGTCTTTTTTCTGGAAGCCATCTCCCCAACCACAATTCTATTACTAGGCAAGGGTACATTGGGCCCTGGAAGCAACTGGTCTTTATAAGGTAACAGTGGACATGTGCACTGTGGCCAGACTGACCTGGCTTCCACTCTTTGTTACCTTGGGTACCTCCTGTGAGCCTTGGTGCCTTCATCTGTAAATGGAGATGTAGGATTATTGTGAAGATTTGACAAGATGATAGACAAAAAATGTTTTTATAAACTGTAAAGTGCTGTCACTTGTGAGATATCATCACTGTGGTTGTATTCATCGTGGCCCCATTGATGAACCAAGATTGCTTTACAAGGACTGAATAAGAGATACAGATTTAGATGCCTCTATGTCAGTAAAAATTCTTGGAATGAGGGAGCGAAAGAGTGAGGTAGGAGAAGGCCTTCTCCTAGACAGAGAGGACTTAGGGAAGGGAGGCTATGAATCACATACTGAGGGGAGCTGCAGGGGTTTCCCAGAATGGAGTCCATGTGCTTCTGGAGGAGGCATCTTCAGCCAAAGCCAAGAGGGTACCTGGAATCCTGCAAGAGAGTATGGAGGGACTTGTGTAGCTTCATTTGTAATCCACACATTCCTACCAGCCACTATCCCAGGGCTTTTCTCCATCATCCTGAGCTCACCCATGCTTCTGCCATTGGACCAAGCCAGGGTTAAGAACGGGAGCGCAAGGCAACAATTCCCAGACTTAATACTTCGCCTCTGTTTTTCTTTTCATTGGCAAATGAAATCATTTATTGGTTTTAGCTGAGGTGGCCTCAGTTCTTGCAGTAATTACTGCTCTGTCAGTAAATGGAGAGGTTTTGATTTCACAAAGGTATGTGTAAATTGCACGTTTTGCATTTGCTCAAACTTAATCAATACTGTAACAGAATTAAGAGGTCCAGCAAGACTTGTGATCTTACCTAAGCTAATAAAAAATGAGCCTGCATAACTACAAATGGGACCTCAGCTAATGTATTTGTAGATAGCCTATGACCACATTTTTCTGTATTGTATCAAATTGTCTCTAGTCTATTCAGGTAGTGACTAATAGAGTGTGAGGTTTTGCGGGGAGGGTGCAGTCTCTCATTGCTGCTACTAAAGGTTTTGTGTCATCTTCTTTCATGTCATCCAAATTACATTAAATTTCAATCCCAGACCTGGTAATCTCCCTCGCCTCTCCTACTTTATTTTTTCTCCTTAGCACTTACCACCTTCTGATATCATGTTTACTTTATTTATCTCGTGTATTCTGTCTCCCCAAACTATAATATAGGCTCTGTTGAAGGGAGGGTTTTTTTTTTTTGTCGGGGGGAGGGGGGTGGCTGGGGATTTGATCTATCTTGTTTACTGCTGTATTTTCGGGGCTGCAACTGTGCCTGGCTCAAAAAATTATTTGCTATGCGAAGGAATGAAATCATTTGGTATAATTGTTGGACATGCAGTGTGTATAATTTCTTTTTTTTAGTTTTTATTTTATTTTTTTAGAGTCAGGGTCTCACTCTATCACCCAGGCTGGAGTGCAATGGTGTGATCATGGCTCACTGCAGCCTTGAACTCCTTGGCTCAAGCAATCCTCCCACTTCAGCCTCCATAGTAGCTGGGACTGCAGGTGTGACTACCATGCCCGACTAATGTTTTTTATTTTTTTGTAGAGACTAATCCTTGCTATGTTGACCAGGTTGGTCTTGAACTCCTGGCCTCAAGCCATCTTCCCACCTCAGCCTCCCAAATTGCTGGAATTACAGGCATGAACCACTGCGCCCAGCCCAGTGTGTAAAATTTCTAATGTCACTTTTCAGCTCAAAATGCTGTTTCCAGATGCTTGGTATATAGTGTATGCTTCCTGATTGCCTGGCTGGTTGATTAAATAAATGAATGAATCAAATGTTACATTACAATGATGGAAAATAATGTCATTGTTTCATTCAATAGCCTACCCTCTCCCCTAGTTGTTCCGTAGACTCAGCTGGCCAGAAGGAAGAGGCATAGGGAACAAGCATATATTCTCTGCGCTTATCTCTCCAGCACTTGGCCAACTTTTTAAAATAACATTTAATGACCATTGCATAAAGATGTCACTGCATCAGTGCTGTCCTCAAGCAGCTGGGAGACTATGAAGTCTCCTCATCTTTCTGTGGTGATCTATCCCAGGGGCTATGGAGGGGGCTTTCTGGGCCAGCTCACCTACTTCATTTATAACCCAGCTCCCTGGATAGGGTATTCTGTTAAATACACCCTCTCCCTTGTAGGCCTCTCCTATGGTAATGCTCTTGCTACATAAGCCAGACAATTAGAGGTAATTGGGATAATTGGCATTTATTATGGCAATTTGCATTTCTACAGCAGGCAGCACAGAACTTAGTACACGGCTTGGGAATGTGCTTTGGGATCTGGGCTGAATCCAGCTCTCCATTCTAATGCTCATTTCAGAGGCCATAGAATTTGCCCCTCCTATGCTCATGGTAGGTCCATAGAACAAGATTATATGAGAGCCTCACCAACCAATCAGAAAGGAGCATGCAAATCCGGGTCTGGGAATTAAAGAAGCATCTCTTCCATCTGCAGGGGACTGGGGAAGAGTCTACAGCCTGGAAGAAGTCCTGGGTCTGTGGCCAGAACCCTGGTGACTGATTTTTCACTGCATTAACCAGATGTTTGACTTAATTGACAGAGTAGTTTCACTGTCTCGGTTGACTAACTCAAAGCTCAGGCCTGCTGTCAGTAGGAGCCTCCGGAAGGAGCCCCTGTGAGGAGACTCCACAAGAGTCCACATGGGGACTTCTGAACTTCCAACCGCTCCTGGTTGCAGCCACCTTCTCTGCCATCAATATTTTCCTTGAGCCCAGCTTCATGGGCACCCATTTGTCCCTGTCAAGAATGAGGGCAGCGTTGTACAGTGGTTATAAATATTGGCTTGCAATTGCAGCTTCCTAGGTTTGAATTTCTTCCTCCCTAGTTGTTAGCTGGGTGACCATGAGTGAGTGACTTCACCTCTTGGTGCTCTTAATAGTGCCCGACTCATAGAGTTGATATAAGAATTAGGCGAAATAATGTATGAGGCCCCTAGCCAGAGACAAAGATTAAATGTTCTCATTAAAAGGTCCTCCCTCCATCCAAACCACAAGTCTTTGCTGTGTGTCTTCACCAACCCATCCAGAAGGCACATAGTGCCAAGCATCCCAAAAGAAGCATAGGTGAAAGTGCCTTGGTATTTGGACATGGGAGCAACTGACCTGGTTGTAGGGAACATGCAGATTTTTCAAGGGAGAAGAGATAGCATTTGTTCTGGGCCCTGAAAGACTGATAGGATTAGGCCCTGCAGAGATGAGAGGGGAGGACAGTAGGAAGCAGGGAATGGTGAAGTGTTCATGGAGAGAAGTCCACAGCAAAACACACATGTTTTGTCTATACTTGACACATCATAATTTACTGTAAAAAGACAGTGTTTGCAATTTACTAAGGAGTTATGTGTCACACACAACCTCTCCAAGCTTCTTACTCTATTTGGTCACCCCTTGGGTAGAGAGACCAGGGGAACACATCGTCCCTCACAATTGAAGTTCCTCTGGCCTATTACTCTTATGACTTCTCCATCATAGACTTTGTTCACTTTGTTGAAAATGTGGTGGCCAAGGTAAAGAAACAATTTCCTTGGATTCTTGGGGGAAATGAGAATGAGACAGTGAGACCCAAAGGGCACCCTTCAGTGCCCTGCAACCTGCCTGCCTAGTCCAGGGACCTGGCTTTCCTTCTTAGGGAAGGTAGAGATCTTTAGCCCAGTTTACAAACCAGAAAGACTTTTTGTTATGTTGGTCTCATGAGTTCTTGGAAACCACGTATGAAATAAACTAAAACATTTGTTGTAGCATCTTTTAATCCAGTGTATCAGTTAGGATAAGGTAAAGTTGCTGTAACAAAGAGTCTGAAAAGAGAATGGCTTAAATAAGACGGAAGTGTATTTTCCTCTCACAGAGCAGTCTAGTTGGTGCCAGCTGGTGGGGTCAGTTGTGCTGGACAGTCATTCAGACCCAGGATTCTTCTATCTTATGGTTCAAACCCCTTGGGTGCTGGGCTCATCTGTGTTGTTGGGGCTGGGTGGCTGGCAACTACCCAGCTCCTGGGAATTGGAAAGAGAAGCCAAGAAGAACAGTTTTTGTTTAAAGCAAGGGATGAAGAAGTTGCGTTCATCACTGCTGCACACTTTCCTTGGGAGAACACAAGGTCACATTGCCATTCTAGGAGAGTCTGGTACCATTTGCCCAAGCAACCCTGGAGGAGGGATGGGGTCTGTTAGCATGGAAGGAAGGGTGATTAGTGATTCTGCTCTATCTCACTGCTGGGGAAATGGAGAAAGCTGAGACTTTATGTTGCTCTGGACTATCACCCGTCAACATAGCCAGGATATAGAAACCAACGTGTAGAGTGCAGTGGACAGCCCTAGACTGACATGTATGGCTGTTCTCAGAGAACTTTGGACTTTTTGCTGCTCCTAAATAGTACTTTTTTAAAATAAAAGTATCCACTGCCTAGCTCTCCCTGCTCCCTAATGTGTGAGGCTTATCACTGCCTGCACCAATTGCAGTGAAATCATTCCGGCAAATTGCCCACTACTTGATCTAACCTGGCATAATTTATACATTCGTGTTTACTACAAAGCAGTTATCAGTGGTTTCATCTGTTCCTCACTGCCACCCTAGAATGAAGGCTGGGCAGGGTTTCTCCACATGTTAAAGAAAACAGCCTCAGTGAAGTTAAGAGATCTATTAATTAGAATAACTAGATTATGCTTTAGTAACAAGCGGCCTCCAATCTTACACAACAAATGTTTATTTATCACCCTCACAAAATCCACTATGGGCCTGAATGACTCTTAAGGGCAGCTGTCCTATATGTGGCCCTAAACAATCCAGGCTAATGATAGCTTCATTCTCCTGTAGCTACAACTTCTGGACTGCCCAGCCCCCTTGACCCTCATGGCAGGACAGGAAAGGGGCTGGATGATCATATCTGTCAATCACACACATTGATTTTGCTTATATTTCATTGGCCAAATGCAGTCACAGAGCTCTCAGACCTGCAAGAGCGCTGAGAAGTTTTGTCTAGAAGGGGAGGAGAGCTGGATACTGGTGAGCATTCATCACATCTACCACACGTGTTTGCACAAGATCCCATGGTAAATCATGGCACCTTCAGGTTTTTACAGAATTTTATCATCTCCTTTCTCTCCCTCTCTTTTTTTTTTTTTTTTTTTTTTAAACAGGGTCTTTCTTTGTTGCCTAGGCTGGAGTGCAGAGGTATGATCATGGCTCACTGCAGCCTTAACCTCCTAGGCTCAAGTGATTTCTCCTGCCTCAGCCTCTCAAGGTGCTGGGATTACAGGTGTGAGCCACTGACTCTGGCCTGAGTTTTCTCATTTCTGATGTAACCTTATGCTGACAATAAGGCAAGCTCCACCTACATTTCCCTTGGTATAACAGAAAATATTTATACATGTGACTAACAAGATAGCTATTTTGGGGGAGAAAAAGGTTAATCCCTTTTTCTCCCCCAAACTTCCTTGTGGAATGACGGGCTTTCTTCCAGAGTAAGCAGCTTACCTATATTTCAAGGCCCTAAATCCACATATTTAAGATCCCTCCTTTGGATTAGGACTCTAAGGAAAAAACTCTTAAAATATACACATCTCTCTTGGCTTACAGACAGAAATGTAAGCCATTGTTATCCATTTCTACCTCCATATGGTGATGATATTCTTAGTGAGCAGAGACTAGGAATTAGAACAGGTATGTTTTGATAGGGGAAGAGGAGGAGGAGAGAACAGAGGAAAGGGTGGTGGGGAGGGGTGCAGGGGAGGTGGTTTGGGATGGTTGGAGGGGATTGGATGGTGACCACCCCTATCCTTCACTGAGCTGAAAGATGAAGAGCTGCGTGGTTGGTGTGTTCCTGGTTACAGAAAAGCATGTGTGGTGATTCTGGGAATGCTATTTTTCCCTAGGTGCCAAAATGACTACAACCAAGTGGGAGTTGGGCTGCCTCTGAGGCTGGTTCTTGTGTCCTTGACCCAAGGAGCATAGCTACTGCTTTTCACCCTTCCCTTTTCTCTCCTTCCTTGGAGAGGGAGTCGTGAGCCTCAGGTCTGAGTCCTGGACAGCCTTTAATAACTGTGTAACTATGGAGAGCCCTCAACAATCTGTTTTCATTTTCTTCATTTGTAAAATGGAGATAAAAGTATTAAATATTCCCTTCAGGGATCTTAGAGAATCAAACAAGCCAACCAATATGCCAGCTTTGTTAACTTTAAAGGGCTGTGCAAACACAAGGCATTGCCACGCAGCAGCAGCACGATCATTATTTTGTGGCCTTGGCCACACACAAGAGCACAAGATTCAAAGAGATCAGTGACCCTAAGTACTCAGGCTAGCTACAGAGTAGGCTACTTCAGGCTTAGGAAACACATGTCATCGACATACCTGGGTCTAGTTTCTCTCAGTCTCTCTTTCCTAGATTCATTTCCTAGGAGTTCATTGTCCTTCTCCTCTGGCTTTCTAAGCAGTTATCTGCCTCCTTCTTTCAGTCTGAAATGAATTCACACTTCTGGGTATGTGTTAGTTTTTTGTTATTGCATAATGAATTAGCAGGAACTTGGCTTAAAGCAACACAGGTTTACTGCCTTGCAGTTTCTGTGACTTCTTTGCTCAGGGTCTCACACAGCTGAAGTCAAGGAATTCTTATCTGTAGGCTTGATTCTAGGGGAATATCTACTTCTAAGTTGGCAGAATTCAGTTCCTTGAAGTTGTAGAACTGAGGCCCCTTCTCTCTTGCAGGCTGTCAACCTGCGGGTCTCTCCTTCTTCCTAGGGGCTGCCTACCACTCCCAGCTGCATGGCCTTCTCCACAACATGCTAGTTTGCACCATCAAAGCCAGAAAGAGAAACATCTCTCCCACTTTGAATCTCCATGACTTCAGCAAGGGCTGAGTCCCTTCTGTGGGCTCACCTAATTAGGTCAGGCCCACCCAGGATAATCTCCCTTATGATTAACTTAAAGTCAATTGATGAGGGACCTTCATTAATAACATCTGCAAAACTTCCTCTGCCCTGCAATGTCATGTAATCACAGAAATGGTACCCCATCACACCCATCATATTGACAAGTCCCACCTCCTCCCCTTCTGATATCTTGTGCTCTTATGTGTGTGCTCAAGGCCACAAAATAACACAATAAAGATGATAGTGATACTGCTGCTGCTGCATGGTAAATCCTCAGGTTTGCACAGTCCTTTAGAGTGAATAAAGCTGGGATAATTGCTGGCTTGTTTGAGAGCCCTGGGGGGAATATGTAATACTTTTATCTCCATTTTAGGATATTTCCATTGGCTAGTACCCCATAAGGAGTTAACTCCCCTGCACTTCCAGGTTGTGTCATTGGCCCCTTAAGGGTCTGCTCTTGAAGCCAGATCTCATGCCACAAGGTGGTGTGGGGGCTTATGCCAGACCCCACATGGAATCCACATGGCTGCATGGAAATGTTCTGCTGAGGTGACAACCGAGGTGGAGCAAACAGCTGGTGGTCTGAGGGGCAGGTGAGGCCATGAGATCATGATGTGTTTGGTAGAGTGGTGCAAAGTAGTCTCAGAGATGCACAGGCATTGCATATTGAGGAGTGACAGAAAGCTACTGTGATAAGCCAAGTGAGAGGAAAGCATGACTCCAAGGCAGAAACCATGAGAATAAAGAGGAAGGGAAACAGTCAAGAGGTATACATTTTATTTCAGTTATTTACTTTACAAATAGTTTCTTCTTATTATAAAAGCAATAGATTTAAATTTAAAAAATGGGAACAGTGCAAAAGTGTGTATAATAAAAAGGACGTCTTTTTTATGTCCTAGATTCCCAGTTACAGCTCTAAGAGAAACCTTTCAAAAAATTTCTGGCTTATACATCGACAGCATATAGAAGATAAATAGATGTGCTTATGTGTGTGTTTGTGTGTATGTGTCCTTTTCAGGGATACAAATAGGATCTCACTATGCATTAGGTTTTGCAACTCAGCATTTCACATATGGGTAAGCTATAGGTAAATATTTAAGTTATATATAGTCTTTGGCTCTTATAAACAATGCTATAACAAAATTCTTATATCTAATTTTTGTGTGTAAGTACAAGTATCTGTGCAGAATAAATTTCTAGATGTGAAATTGCTGGATCAAAGAGTGGATAGTGTAGAGTCCTGATAAGATAAGTAAAGAAGAACAAGGAAGGGGCCCCAGGTAGGGGAGGGCCTAGGTAGGGGAGAAAAATGAGCAATTGTTCTGAGAGATGGCCAATCACAAATGATTTGAGGGTACAATGACCTCCTTCTGCACGTACCCCCTCCAGCATGACCCTATAAAACTTCCCTGCAGCCCCAGGCTCTTTGCAGACAGCCCTTCTCTGCTGTGCTGCCCATTGCACCCTTGAAACATATTTTCATACTTTCTCTAATCTGCCTTTCTTTACCTACAACTGTCTTGGTAAATTTTACCACCCATGACACCATCCCCAACTAGATGCACCCAGGACAGCATTAAAATTTCTATAGATATTTCCAAATTGTCTTTCAAGAATTTGTCTAATTTGCACCTCCCTCCCCAACAGCCCTAACAGTGTTTGGCTGTGTTTGTTTGCCTACAGCCTCACCAGCACTGGCTATTATCAAACATCTTTGTCTCTACCAAACTCTTGGGAAAAAATGAAATTAAAGTGTTTTCCTTTGCATTTCCTTAATTATCCATAAGATTGAGCATGTTAGACATCCAAGGAGGTTTTAAATGATCAATGGTCTTGGTCTGGAGCATCCCAACTATACAGGAGACCCCACTTCAGGGAACCCAGAGTCATTCCTAGCAAGATGAGATGGCGTAGAGAGACAGTCCAGCACAAAAACCACACAGGGACTGGAGGGTTTACCTGAAGCAGGGAGAGACAGGGAGAGGCTAGCTGGTGTTTTGAATCTGATGAGACAATGGACAGGGCCTGGATGTTTATGGGAACATTTTGCTTTGAGCTTTGGCACATCCGAAAGAGCCTTGAAATTAGTTTGTTGTAGAGAGTCGTCAGTATCAGTGACTTACTGATCCTTGGGCACAAAACATGCCCTCAGCAAATTAAAAACCCTGTGAGTGATGTGAGTAAAACTCAAAATACTCCTGCATATCACCCAGTCCTGATCACGCTTCCCTCTAGGCTAATGTCTTTGGAGGAAAAGAGTGTCTTTTTAACTCAGAGGAAAGAAAATCTGGATATCAAAGTCAACGCAAAGAGAGGTATGTGTGTTTGCAAAGTCAACTCAAAGGGAGGTGTGTGTGTGTGTGTGTGTGTGTGTGTGTGTGTGTGTGTGTTTGGCTTGGGGGAGTAACAATGGTGTTGACCCTATTGAGGAGTGGTGGGTGGTGGTGGGCCTGGCATTGCTAAGGGTGGTTGCGGTGGGTGTTGTGGGGTGATCCTTGTTACATGGATGCTTAGGATCCTTAAAGCTAGAGAGAGATGAGATGTCATTCATCTATCCCCCACATTGTGCCATGTCAATGCACAATGAGAATATCAAAGCCAGCCAATTAGTTTCTCCTTTGCCCTCAACCCTATTGCCACATCTTCACTCTCCAATACTTCTCTTCCTTTTTCCTTCCAACCGTATTGACATAATCAATGACATTTCTAGAGTGACAGTTCCCTGCAGGGTACACAACAGGAAAAGACTTTATGTTTCTTCTTGGAGAGAGCTGGAGTCTCTACCTGCAATAGTGATCAGGACCCTTCTGTAGCCTGAAGCAGGGTGCCATAGAACATTCCCATTGAGGAAGAGTCACCTATTTTGTCAATGCAGTTTGCCATGGGGCTCATCTCTTACACCTAGCAAAGAGTCACTCTTATTTTACATAAGTTGCCGGAGGCTACAACCAAATCTCTTGCCCTAGGGGGCTAGTGTGATATGCTGGAATTTCTCTTTCTAAGGTTCCTTGTGTATATTCTCTTCCTCTCCCTCTCCCCTTCCCCTATTCCTCTTTCTCACCCTCTGCTTCCTTCTCTCTCTCTCTTTGTGTGACCTTCTCTTTGTGTGACCTCCTCTCTGTGTGCTAAGGAAGTATTGGGGGAGAAGGATAATTCCATAATGTTCATACGGTTGGCTTCAAAGGAACCTCCCTTATGTCCTCAGTCATTTCTATGCTACTTGTGGTCTGCGTGGCTCTTTTCAGAGACCTGTCACCCATCACTAAGTTTTTCTGGACTTGGTGAAACAATTAAGTGGGTCAAATCCCTCAGTTGTTCTGGCTTCCAGGGTGGAGAATTTAGGGAGGATCACACGGCCACAAGCTGAAATGTACTTCTCTTTCCTTCATGTCAGGATGCTCTGAAGTAATAATCCAGCAGTGCTCAGGACTCACTAATGCAGGGAGTGACATTCTAACACTGACTGGAGACACCACTGGCTATCATGACTTTGCTAACTGATGTGGCTA
Organism: Homo sapiens; assembly: GCF_000001405.40. Taxonomy (NCBI): domain Eukaryota; kingdom Metazoa; phylum Chordata; class Mammalia; order Primates; family Hominidae; genus Homo; species Homo sapiens. The sequence continues at coordinate 40,452,394 of NC_000006.12, read as the reverse complement.
ATTCTAAATTGTTGTTGGTTTGGGATGTCAGCAATATCACGGGAGCAGTCCTATGGCATGGTTGACCCAAGATTTGGTTGGCCTTGGGCTTTTGATATTGACCAGCCATGACTCTGTCCTTGAGGCCAGGTGATGCCATGGACATGAGGCAGGGTGACCTAGAGAAACTCTGACATGCATTGTCACATGACACAACAATTCTGATCTACACTTTGCCCTTGATTCTTGGAAGACCTTCACTGGGTGGTAAGATTGGACACTTCGGACATCCTCCTAGAGTCTTCTACTAGTGCCCCTGGCCTTTTCCCTGTGCCTTTGTTTCTCCTTGTGTAGGAGGGAAGATAATGGTGATATCTACAGTGACCTGAGGTATCCATAAAGTCATCTTAGTTGGGAGAGATACCCTTGGAAGTAAAAAGATGAAGGAGTGATGATGATTCCTAGAAATTGTCCAGCAGCAGCCTGTGCATTTCTTTCTTAATCCTAATCTGGAAAGGTGTCATATGTGCCTTCTCATTATTTCTGGATAGCCAGATGGTCCAGGCCCAAGGGAACATCCAAACAAGGCATTTGTTTTGTACTTTGGGTCTCCTAGAAGGGGCACCTTGCCTCCCCTGATCACATAGAGCTACACATGTGACTAGGGAGTGGCAGAGAGTTGGCATGTTTCTAACAGGGTAAGGTTAACACAAGGCTGCTGCCTGGCACTACAGCTCCTTCTCGTAATTGTCAGGAGACCAGGATCCACACGGCACCACCGAATTCTAGTAATGAAATGTCTGCTCTCCCCAACACAGGCCGCGTGGCCAGACTAGAGAGGTGCTCATTAAGTCTGAGGATTGATAATTCAATCACCATGGGGCCAGATGTAAGCAGAAGATGCTGCTTCCCCCAGGGGAAGAGCTTGTCTCGTCCCTTCCCCTGTTTATCTCTTGCCCCACCCTCTTGAGCTGCAGCTGCTTTAGGGTCTCTCCAGATGAGGCATGTAACCCAGGTCTCAGGTGTGCAGGAAGAACCACATCTAGAAACCTCCAGCCTCTCTTCATGGAGTAGATTCAGACAGACAAGTAATGGTCCAAGATTCAGTGAGGCCCCACTTCTTGCCAGCTTGTGGAATAGGAATTGAACTTTGGGAGAAGTCACCTCTACCACATAAATTCTAATGAAAGCTGTGGGCACTCTTTACAGAAAAATGCATGATCACAAAAAATGTGGCATACGATTTCAATCAGTTCACAGACCAAAGAAATCCCCCCATGGATTAAGGAGTAAAACAAACAAAACCTCCTCTCCTAGATTATATCACACATGTCTAGTTCCCTTAGTGCACTTCTCTTTAGTTTGAGGAAACAACAATATCAAAGCTAATAGTGATATCCATGGAGATGCATTTATGGTGTCTTTGAGGTGAGTGGCACCTATAGCCCACATCTGTGCATGTCTAAATATTGTCCCTCCTTCAGGTCTCATGACAAAGCTTCTGAAATTCTTCCCTGATCTTCCTTCCTCCTCTGTCTGAGCATTCAAAGAACTTTGTACTCCTCGAGATAATACTCATTTGCTTCTTACATTATATATTTATACATCTTATGTCCTCTCTAAAGGAGATCTATTCCCTGGAGGTGGAGGCCAGTGAAAATTTGTTTCATAGTTGGCTTCCCTCAGCACCTATTACAGCAACTGTGTATGTAGTAAGTTCTCAGTAAATGTTCTGTCAGCAAATAGATGGAGAATAAATGAGTGTCCTCACTTGGTGTTGCCCGTGTATAACCAGTCTGCCCATGACGGGATGAAGCTGGACACTGGACAAACACTGCACACTTTGCCCTCCTTGCAGGCTTCCAGCACGGTTGCATCCCCCATGCACACCCACCCAGGGACAAGGAAAAGGCTGCCCCTGTGAGGAGGTGCTCCTCCCTCCCTCTCTCCCTTGCAATGTGCTCAGGGGCCTTTGACATTTAACTTCAGTGCAATTTGTTTGTTTTCACCCGAGTTGAAAATACCAACAAATGTCACCTGCCTTCACTCCTCTCTCCCAACATGTGACTCTGATGGGCCAGGAGCTGGCAATACTAATGAGAATCTTAAGTCTCCAAGAATTGGCAGGGAGATGCAGAGCTCTGGGTAGGTAAGATGTGGATATGCAGGTGGTTCTAGCATGAGAAAGGTGAGCTCCGAGGTAGGGAAGGTGAGGCAAGGATGCAAAGTCAGTGGTGGGGTAAGGAGGCCGGTGAGGACAGTTCTCTCAGCACCATCGAAAGGAAAGATGACTTCGTAGTCCTGTGTCTCTCTCTGTTTCAAAAGACTTTTCTACATTGTCCTGAAGTTTTTCTAGTTCCCTGCGTCTGTGTCAGCTCCTTCTGCCTACTGTATCCATTTCTCAGGGAGGGGGCTGGGATGCCACCTTATATTTTTTGGAAATTCATATCAGTTAGAAAAAGATTTCATTGTGAGTGATAAAAAATAAAACCAAAACAATGCAAAGTAGCCCAAATGAGATAGAATTTTTTTTTCTCTATCATGTAACAAATACAGAGATAAGGTCTATATTTGGGTGAACAGCATTGTACCAATGTCAATTGTGCTATGGCTAGGTAATATGTTACCAATGGGGAAAATGGGGTGAGGAGTATATAGAAACTCTTTATACTATTTTTTACAAGTTCGTATGAGTCTTAAACTATTTAAAACAGAAAGTTGTAATGAAAAAAGAGACAAACTGTGGGAAGTTCAGGGCTATATGGTGGTGCCATGATCACCAGATACCCAGGTTCCTTCCATCTTATTGTTTTGCATTCTCAAACCTGGCCACCACCTTATGGTCCAAGATGACTGCTCAAGCTCTACCCACCCCATCTACATTCCAATCAGTAGAAAGCAGGAAGGAGCAAAGACAGGCATGACCTTTCTCTAAGGATACTTGTGGGTCATCACATAGTAGACATTTACTCACAACCCTTTGGTTAGAACTAAGTCACATGGCTGCAACTGAGTACAAGGGAGGCTGGGAAATACAGTCTTTATTTGGGGGTGGCCTTTTGGCCAAATAACACTTGGGACTTCTTTTCTCTTTTTAAAATTTGTATATTTTGTTGTAAATTTACAATTTGTATATATTTATGGGGTACAAAGGAATGTTTTGATTTATAAACACATTGTGGAATAATTATGTCAAGTTAGTTAACATATCCATCACCTCAAATACTTAACACTTTTGTAGTGAGAACATTTGAAGTGCGCTCTCTTAGCAATTTTGAAATGTACAATACTCTATTATTAACTATATTCACCATGTGCAATTGGGGATTCTTACTAGGGAAGAACAGGAAAATGTGTATTAGGGAACAACCAAGAGGCTGTGATAGTCACCCCACAGAGGAAGAGCACAATGCTGCGTGTCAAGGAAGAGTTGGTTGCTTTGGTTATACTTCTGAGCCCCTAGCCTGACTTCCCTGTTACCCCTCCCAACTAAAGAAGGAAACTGTGCTTGCTTCCTTCCTTTGGCAAAACAGGACCAGGACCCCTTTCCCAGCCCACAGAGCCTCCAGCCAGCCTCCTCCATTCAATCTCCAGCTCTGCAAGGGAATTGAAGCCGGAAGTGTTCAGCTTCCTTGGTTCTGCCTTCTGCCAAAGGACAGGAAACATGTATATGGTGTGAATTAAGAGAAACGATTAGGATCTCCCAGCCTTGTAATCTCTCCAGACACCAACACCACAAGTCAGGAGATAGTGCCTAAAAATTCATTAGCGATTCGGTCCTTTGGTAAAGGCAGTGTAGAATTCTCATTTAAGATAATCAGCCATTAATATTTTAACCATCTATGTATTTGATCTTTTTGAGTATTGCAGCAAGATAAGAATCCAAAAGATTAGGGCTGACGGAGGATGCAAAGATTTCATTTTTTTCATTTTTATCTTTTATTGTAAATTTACAATTTGTATATATTCATGGGGTATCATTATTACTTTGGCAGAAGTGAGTCTCTTTTGGCCTCAGGCTCGCCCTGATCTCCTGATTCTCAAAATAATTATTTTTTCACCCTATCTGAGGCTGCCAGAGGTGGGGTCTGGAGGGGAGCACGTGCTTGATGGGTGCACCAAACCCAGGGGGTTGCAGGAGAAGCACAAAACTCACTACCTCAGCCAAGCACTTGGCTCTGCTTCTCCTCTTCATAGTGGGAAGGTATGAGCTGCTTCCCCAACTCAGCAAGCCCGCAAATCCCAAGGCCAAGTGATGGGTGTGAGTGGAGGAAGGATTCACGGGTGTGAAGGACACTGCTCAGGAGGACCCACGCTCCCGGTCTCTCACAGGCTATTGCCCTAACACTAGGAGCACTCGTGGCTTTTGACACCTAAAGGCTGGGCCTCCCTCCCTGAAACTCCAGGGCATGCTCCCCATTCTTTCTTGGTTAATTATCAGTTAATATCAGTGCTTGATTATAAAGTGATTACTGTTTGGATAGAGCCTTGTGTACATTTTGTTGGTTGATTCTAATGGAGGAGAACAGGGGTCAGTCCTAGGGTCCCTAGACTCTGGCAATATCTACAGAGCTCTTTGAGAGCCCAGATGGATGAGGGGCCACCTACTAGGTGGACCACCTACTAGGTAGGCCACCCAGAGTACATCATCTAAACACCTTGATGGGCCTCACCTTATCTGTAAATAGAAATAACTACCACACCCACTTCATAGGGTGGGTGGGAAGATGAAATGTGTTAAGGCAGAAAATGCTTACCATAGAATCAGCACTCAAGTGTTCACCATTTCATGATGATGATGATGATGATATCATCTACGTTTGAAGTAATGAAGAGTGAGAATTATTTGAGCAAAGTCAAGTCTTTCACCTTCTGAGAAGTTCACAGAAAAATAAAGGTTTGGGAACAAACTTGTTAAAGATTCTAAACTCAGGTCCCCATTTAGTTCAGGTGGAAGAAGACATCATGGGATGGTGACAGCTCTGCCTCTAGTGATGTTAAAGGTAGGCAAATTTGGGGAAAGAAGAGAGCCTGAGAGTGAGGCAGAATTCTGAGTTTGAGGTTAATGTCGTAACATTACCACAACTTTAAAGGTAATTAATGTCCTCATTTACACAAGAAAACTGAGGCATACGGTGGGGACATGCTTTGCTTGAGGTTAATGAGAAGGTTGGTAGGGTCTTTTGCTTTGATAGAAAAAGTAGAAATACTTTTCTTGGAAAACTAATAGGATAATGAGGGAATGTGTGGCCTTGTTATAAGGAAGCCCCAGTCTGAGCGGAGACACAGCCCTGACTCAGGGACCCCAGTCTGGGGGAGACACAGCCCTGACTCAGGGAGCCCAGTCTGAGGGAGGCACAGCCCCATCCTCAGGGAGCCCCAGTCTGAGGGGAGACGCAGCCCCAATCCCAGGGAGCTCCAGTCTGAGGGGAGATGCAGCCTCGTCCTCAGGGAACCCCAGTCTGAGGGAGACACAGCTCCATCCTCAGGAAGCCCCAGTCTGAGGGAGACACAGCTCCATCCTCAGGAAGCCCCAGTCTGAGGGAGACACAGCCCCATCATCAGGGAGCCCCAGTCTGAGGGGGGACACAGCTCCCACTTCTCTGGGAGGTCTAGTTTGAAGGAGAAACAAGGCAGATTTTGCTTTTATCATTTATTCCCTGCCTGCACCTCTCTGTCTCCTACTGGAAGAAGATAATTGTGTGTCTTCCTCTGTGCAGACTGTCTTGCCTTTAATAGATTGCAGCCTCCCAGAGGACAGAAAGAAAATTATTTACTCAGATTCTGTATGGAGCTCAGCACAGCAGGTGTTCAATGTATACATATCGCCGCTAATGATGTAGCACAATAAATACACTTAGCCCTAGTGACAGAAGCCTGATGAACACAGCACACAGCAGCTGTATCAGCAAGGCCATTGGCAGTGAGGAAGCTGCTGGGGAGAGAATTACTAAAAAGCCTGTAATGATCAGACACGAGGAATGTAGGGGCAGCAGGGAAGGGGGAGATCCTTTCTCCTCTGTAGCCCCCATAACAGGTGAGCAGGGCTGCATTATGGCCTTCGTGGGCCCTAGCCACTTTTGCCTTGGAATGCTTCTTCCTTCATTAAAATTAAAAATTAAAAAATCTCTCCACTGCTGGTTGCCTTTCTCCTGGGCAAGGAGGCCTCCTACACCCAGACTACACCCCAGCCTTGGATTCAGGAGTGGCCAGGCTGGAGGAAGATTTGATTATTGCTCCCTAGTCATGGCTCTATTCCTGCCCATCTAACCGACAACAGCAGAATTTCCTAAACTAATGGTGAGGTCCCCAGGAGGTGCTGAGTTCTATGAACATGTTTTACATTTCAGCTTTTTATTTTGGTGGCAATCTAAAATTCATTCTTTACCAAAGCTTCTCCTTGAGAACAGCCAGTCACAACTTAAAGAGAGTGCACTTAATAAGAACTGTAATGGGAAACACTGTTTTGAGATTTTATTTTGTGCCTGGCCCTGGTTAAGTGTTTTACAGGATTGACTCAATTAATCCTCACAACTTTATAAGATTATTCGATTTTACAGGTGAGGAAACTGAGGTATTGAGAGGTCAAGCAACTTGCCCAAGACCACAGGGCCAGAAAGAGGCAGGCCAGGATTGAAGCTGAGGGGATTCCTTAGTCCTACAAAGTGGCTGGACCCCAGAGGCCATGTGCCTACCACTAGCCACCTTGCCAGTAAGTCAATTTCTTAAGCCAGCACTTCTCAAGCCGGGGCCTCTTGAGGATGCTTCCTTTAAAAGGTTTCTGTAATTGTCCACCTTTGGTAGATCCACCTCTCTCCAATCACAATACCTTGAATCTTTGTTCTTCCTTCTAGAATGTCCTCATTAAGACAACTGGCCCAAGCTGCTGAAATCCTACCACCTATCATTCAAGGCCACAATCAGCACCACCTCCTCCAAGAAAAGTTCCCTTGCCCTAGTTGGTGGGGGAGTCTTCCATAGAATTCCCATAACTCTTTACCACTTCCTTTTCTCTCCGCCTTGAGAATGATGTCATCTGGGAGGGGGTAGGACATACCTGGACTGCGATTCCAACTCTGCCTTTTGTCATAAGTTATTGAACAAGGTGTGGAAGCTTCCTCGGCTTCAATTTCTCCACTTATAAAATCGGCAGATGGTACTGCATTATTGAATGGCTTAAATGAAATAACGTGTAAAACACCAGACACCCTGTAGATACTTCCCTCTTCCCTTGGATTGCACCTATCCAGGTATATGTTTGTAAGCTCCTCCTGAGAAGAGGGAAGATGTCCCATCCAGCTCTTTCACCACCCCATGTCTGCATGCCCACGTGGGGCTGGTGCTTGACAGAAGCCTAACTGAATGGTTGAATCATTGCTGCTGAGTAAAGCAGGTCCCTGGGGGGGTGAGGTGGAGGGGGTGCAGGAAGGAGGGAGGGCTTGACTGCAATGTTCCAGCTCTTGACAGCAAACAAAGTCAACAGGGAGGAGACTGGAGGTAATAAAAAAAAAAATCATGAAGAAGACAGAGGCAGGAGGAAATGGAGAAGCAAAAAATTGCAAAGCAGGAAAAAAGAAGCCCTATTTGGACTTGAGGACTGAGAGGGAGACTGTGCGGGGTGGACAGAACTGCTAGGGTTTTCTGAGTCTTCACTGCTCCTTGCCCACATTTAATCAAACCAGGGCTGGAAATCAACTTGAATTGATGACCCCCACCCAGCTTAATTGCCCAGATGAGGAGTCTGAGGCACAAAGAGAAGTGGCTTGTTGAGGTTCAAGGCAGGGTCAGTGCAGGGACCCAGCTTATAGAACTCCTATGCATGCTCTTCCTGCTGTATCCGGTTGTAAGTGAGAGTCAGGATACTCCCATTCCCACCCGAAGAAAGACAATATTAGGAATGCAGAGAGCAAATCCCAGGGTAATGGAGCCTGGTGTTTGCAATAAAAATTTAAATGTGCTGTCCTGGTGGCAACAGCGGCTTTTATCTGATCAGCCTGTCAGCTCTTTAGAAGGCTGGGTTCTATAAATGGCAAAACCAAATTGAATTCATATTTACTGCTCTTGAGACTGTGGGTTTGTTGTTTCCAATGGATTAATTTCTCTCGTCTGTCTCTGTCTCTTTCTTCTTTCTCCTTTTCCCCCTTCTTTCCCTTCTTCGTTTTCCTATACTTCCAAGTGCCTTAATTATCCAATAACTCATTGAGAAAGCTGAAAAGAGAGAAGGACTACCTGTCTGTGCTATTTTTCATTTATTTGCTCCTCCAAATAAACTCTCCACCTTTAACTGCCCTGCTCTGTGCCCGGGTAGGCTGACCTGTGCGGGCAACTACATGCAAGTTTCCTTACCCCTTGGCCTCTAGTTAGGTTTGGCCATTGGGGGGCATCAGCAAGTGGTGAGAGGGTGGTGAAAGAGACAGGCTAATTCCCTTGGCCAGCTCCCTCCCAGCCCTAGGTTGTCAGTGGGTTGTATCTGTGTACTTAGGGCTACATCCTCCTGTTGGACAACTCTTCTCCCATGGCTATGCCCTGACTGGGTTCTAGAAACTGCCCTCTACCTTTGTCCCTTTAGGCTAGGGGTGGAAGGCTGAGTAGCTCCCCTCTGTTGCCACCCACTGGGTGCTATGCCACCTCTTCTTTGTTCCCCCACCCTGCCCACATCTCTCTAAATGGTCCCTTCATCAAACATCCTTCAGCTGCTGCTTGGATTCTCTCATCTGTTTCCTCTCAAGCCCCTGACTGATAATGTGTCTCCACCCCTTCTCCCCAGAACTGCAGGGACAGAGGACAGCAATAAAGAAAGGTGCAGGCAGGGAGACTCTGCTCCATTTGCCTTTTGCAAAGTGGGAGGAAGGATCCAGGGCCTGGATTACACCTGGTCTTGGGGGAAGCATTTGTAGTATGTGCATGGGGATAAGATGGCATATAGGCCTAGCCACTCTTTGCCCTCAAAGGCCGTGGAAGTCCTGATCCGTATCTCATCCTGACCCTTTTGTGGCTGCTTGGTAAATACTTCAGAGCTGGCTAATGCATGTGAGTTAGGGCAGCCTATTGTGGGAATCCCCCAGATGGGCCTTTTCCCTATTGCGGCTGTTTTCTATGAATTATGTTTACTGAAATAATCTGTGGGGGCTCAAAAACAGTAAAGGTAGTCACAGCTGAAAAGTCCTCTTGTTTCTGTGTATCTTGGTTTCCTATAAGTCCAGGTTGGCCAACAGGTGAGGATTCTGTCCCAAAGCCAAGGATAGACCAAACCTTGCCGGTACCACGTGGGATCCCTTTGTCTATAACCTGTTCTCCACTGCAGCAGCCCAGCCTGGCCACCCACAAACAGGCAAATGAAACACAAACGCCCTTCAGGAAGGAAATTTGATTTTCTAAATTATTTTTGTTTTAATAATAAGAGGGGTTATTAGAATCCTAAGATTAAATATGCTATGGGTGATGTTACACCACACACATAATAACAGGGCAGGGTGATAACTGCAGGCCTGTGTAATGAGACTCTCCTCAGAGCAGCCTGAGGACATGATGCTCAAGAGACGCAGCGTGGCCAGCCCCTGCTGAGGCCCAGCTCCGCACAACCAGGAGGGGTGTTCAGGGAGACCAGGCCCTCAGCAGGGCCCCATGCAGTGAGGAGAGGTGGCTGTGAGGAAACATGAGGACATTGCTCATGTCAGCCTCAGACCCAGGAGGCAGAAATTTGGGCTTATCCTTGGTATACAGAAAGAAGATACAGCTCTGTCTGATGGAGCCCCAGTCTGAGGGGAAACAGAGTCCCATCCTCAGGGAGCCCTAGTCTGAGAGGAGACCCAGCCCTGTCCTCAGAGAGCCCCAGTCTGAGGGGAGACGCGGCCCCGTCCTCAGGGAGCCCCAGCTCCACCCTCAGAGGGTCCCAGTCTGAGGGGAGACTCAGCCCTGTCCTCAGGGAGCCCCAGTTGGCTGAAGGAAATACAACCCCTACCTGCAGTAACTGTCAAGTCTTGTGTCAGCCCATAATTATGGAGTCTAGCCACAGTGACCTTTAATGCTACCTAGCCTCCTAGCCTTTGCCTACCCTCTATCCTGTGTAGGTTGAAAAAGAAAAGCCTATTTTAATTTTTGCCTGGGCCAACCATAATGAGGAGAGTAAATCATAGAGTGAACATTCTCCAGCCAAATGGAAATGAGTTTAGGATTATCTGCCACTTTGCGTTATTCACCCCACTGCTCCCTTCATTAGCCCCTTCCTAGAGAAGACCCTGCACTGAAGTTGCTCCTGGATGGGTACTAGGGAAAGGGTGAGGCCTTTGGAGGGTAGAGGGTGCTGGTGTGTTAGTGAACTGGGGTGCTCTGTGATTCAGAGCAGGAGGGAGTAAGGGGTTGAGATAGCAAGGCCTAGGGCCTGGCACTTGGATCTGCTGGGGAAGTCCTTGGGTGAGGGAGAAAGGCCCGGCAAGGCCCTGGTGACTGGAAATGCATCCCTGGGCATTCTCCACCTTCACCCTCTGGGTGAGAAGGTTCCATCCAGGAACTCTGGTCTCCCTCCAGGTTCCTAGGGTTGGAGCCTTGCTTGAGAATTAAAGATGCTTGAAACATGGGCAGTGTTGGGGGTCAGGGGCAGTTTGGACAAAGAATCTTCAAAGTCATGACTGATTCAAAGCAAAAATCTCATTGTGTGACACGAGGGCCCCCACGTACTCACACCTGTAGGCTGGAGTGGAGGCTGATAGGCAGGGAGAGGAGGAGCAGCCCAAGGTCTAAAATGACGCTGAGAGCTGCCAGCCTGTGGGTTGTCTGTGTCCCCAAAGCAGGGACAGATCACAGGCAACCATGAAGATTAATGCATTCGAAGCTGACAACACAGCAGGAAAATAGCATTTGTTTCCATCAAAGCTGAACAAACAAGCTGTGCTCCCTCTCTCTTCCTCAGGCAGACTCACTCACATCCAGGCCCCCACTGGTGAAATCCAGCCCTCCTTTACCCACACAGCCCTCCATCAAGAGACACACCCGTTCACTCACCTCCATTCATGTGAGGCCCCCTCACTCACACGCCCTCAGGAGCGCTGTCACACACGCCCACTGTTGCACAGATCTTCCTCACACACACACCTCTCCATTCACATTCTAGCCTCCGCGTTCACACCCCTCACCCCATCCATGCATGGGCCTCCCTCCATTCATGCGCAGACACTCATTCACACATTGGCTCACACGTGTCTCAAGACAACAGACGGCGAGTGCCGCACAGCCCAGGTCGTGAATACCCTGGGTAGAAGATGTTTTCCATTAAACTATTACTACCAGTCATTGGCACGTGAACTGAGGTCTCCTTCCTCTGAAAGTTGCTGGTGTTGTTAGTTATTGACAAGAACATGCATGATTTTTAGATCATTTTTTATTTCCCTGCATCTCACGTTTCTACAGCGGCCCAGTCTCAGTTAGTTGGTCCCTTATATAATGACAGTTATAATTAAGAAGTTTGCTCTGAGCTGGATTCCCCAGAAATGGAACAGTGATTTGAAATAAGGATTTGAGTGTAAGTAGTTTATTTGGGTAATGATTGCAGGAAATGAGGGAAGAGAAGTGGGGAAATGAGATGGGCAAAGGAAGGAGGCCCACATACATTGCATTAAGGAGCAGGTGACTGGGCAGGGCAACTGAGGCTCAGCCCTCCTAGGGGCCTGTAGAAGACTATGTAAAATGTACCTTGGAGTTATCCCACCCAGGAGGTGAGGATGTTGAGGTATTTATCCTCTGTCTCCCTCACTAGCATTGGTTGGGGACTGTTCTCTGGAGGCAATAATTCCTTAGCATACCCAGCCTGCCCCAGAGGTGCAAGCATGCACTTGCATTGAGTCAGAGGCCACAGGGTGTCAGAGGGGCCAAGGGCTACTGTGTCTGTTCATGCTGGAGCATCCATTCATTCATTCATTCATTTATTCATTCATTCGTTCATTCTCTCCTCAAACATATCCCAGGTGCCTACTCAGTGCCAGGTACTGGATTTGCTACCATCGACTCAGAGCTGAGCAATATACAATCCCTGCCAAGAAGGGGTTCCCAGGTGCACAAGGGTAGAAGGCAGGCAAACACATAATTGTGTTGCAACACAATAAAAGCTATCACGGACGTGCTAATACGGAGGCATAATGCTGTCATTGCGAACAGAGAGGAAGTGGTTCTGAGCTTAATGACTTACTTATGATAACAATTGCTTATCTTGCACAATAGAAGTTTAAAAAGAGCCTAATGGGCTCATTCTGCCCTTTTGATGTTTTAGACATTATTTTGCCTTTTTTTTTTCCTGTTGTCTGTGTTACCAAAGACTGCTGTTTTTATCGGGTTTATGAAGAAGTTTGGAGATTCAGGATGTGGCTCATGTCCCCAAGGTTTTGTTTGGGGAAAGAACAGGGAATGTTCTTGCCCATCTTGTGTGGGTGTCTTTCTGCAGCCACTAAGCTAGAACCTTCTGAGAGCAGGAGGCTCACTCAGGGGATTCTCTGTCTCTCTTTCTCTCTTTTCCCCCTACCTTCAAATTAGAAACTGTGACTCCAAAGTCGAACTAAGAGGTCCCTGAAGTCAAAGGCTATGCCTCCCCTGTCAGAGTGGGATCTCTCTGGATCAGGGGCCCTCTCCTACCCCAACACACACTCATTGAGCCTGCTTCTGCTGCCTCTTCTCAAGATTCTAGAAGAATCTCTATACATGGTGGCTTTGGAAAGGAGGTTTTGGAAATCAACTCACTGATGCTACCTCTTAGATGAAACCTCAGAATGTCACTTCCTGAGAGTGTATGGGCACCCTGCAGGGAGGCGGATGTGCTGGAGACAGCAAGGCTGGGATAGGGGCTTCACACTGGAGCTGGCACATGGTGCTGGCAGCATTCACCCCCAGCAACTCCCAAATCAGAAAAGCAGCATGTTTCTGGGCTTGTATGCCCCCATACAAGTGGAACTCAAGTTTCCTTTCCCCACCCTTTCTCCAGAGCTGGTCCCTCCAGGGCTCACCTTGAGTGGTGTGATTTATGGGGAGCAGTGGGGCTCTGGGAGGGGAAGTCTGGAAAGAAGGTGCAGGCAGCTGCCTCTCCCTGGCAGATCCCAACCCCTCCCACTCTTATTAATTCACACTTTCCAGGCCTGGAGCACCCTGGAGGGGCCATTTCTTTTTACCTGAAGCGGAGACAGGCATCTTACTTGATTTACAGGCTCTAGGGGCGGGCGGCTCCTCGGCTGGTTGCTAAGGTATCTTTTAAATGGAAATCAGGGTACAGAGATATCACATATATCGTGCCAGCCATCTGCTAACTGTTGCCTCTTCTGTCTGGAACAGCTCGAGGTGGTTCTGATTGGGAGGCAGAGCCCAGGGAGGGGAGTGAGGGGAGGAAGCCCCTGGCTGGGGGGAAAGCCTGTGGTCAAGCCAAGGAACAAGAACTTTCCTTTTCTGCCACCATGTTCATTATTTTTCCACTCTCTGTCCTCATCTTTGTTTTTCCCTTTTGTTTTAAATGTAAAAATCACATCTGGAGGCTTTTATTACAAACCAAGGGCCTAGTTCCACAACTTTATATTTATTATTGCCAGTATGTATTTCTGAACACGTGTATGTGTGTGAGAGACTCACTATTATCAGGGCCTGACAGGTGGGTCTTTCTGGGCCAGTTAGGCCTCTCTACTTCCGAGAATGCCAGCGTCCCTTCCAGGCCCAACCCCAAGCAGGAAACACAAGTGCCCACATGTAGCCAAACAGCTGGTTCACCACCAGTTACTAAGCAAACCCATAGTGAAGACAGCCAGTCTCTCTGTACGCCAGGCACATGGAAGCCTCCAGAGGGGCCTCCTTTACTCTGAGCATGGCCTGGAGCCAGACGATCTCCATTTAAATTGTGGTTCTGTCCAGGGTAGCTAGGGTAGTTTAGGCAGGCTCAAACCTCTTTTAACCTCACTTCCTAGTAGCTAAAATGGGGATGACAATATTCAGGGCCACAAGGTAGGGTGGGGCAAGTTGCTCACTGCACGAGGTTGCTCAGATAAGGGAACCCTACCAGTGGCCAGCAGGAACACCTCTTTCTGCCTGCACAAGGGTACCTTGTGCAATTATGGTGGCACTCACCTTGTGGGGTTGTGAAGACTACATGAAGAAACCCAGTCAAGGAAGGGAGGAGATACTGTTTCTATCCTGGGTAAATGCCCAAGACTGGACTGCTTCTCTGGAATGGTGTAGGTTCGGTTTGGGGAGTGTTTTACTTCTCCCTGCTCCCCTGTATCTACCTCTCTTTGCCACCCTGCCTTACCCCAGTGCAGACTCATAGACATTCTGGGCAGACAAGCTCTCGCTCCTTTGCAGATGGATTCCTCCTATGAAGGCTGATTCTGACATTTGATACCAGCATCCATTTCAGCCTCGCTTCTGATCCCCACACACCTCTCTCAGCTTTGCCCACAAATAATCCCACTGCCCCTCCTGCCCACTTTCATTTATCTCTTTGTTCCTTGTCCTAGCCCTTTTCCCTAATTGCCATGTGGCTATGAGCTTCTGAATATTCTGTTGTGAGCCCAGATGGAGGATATCCTGGTTCCTCTCCACCACCTACACCACCCTAAGATACTTAGAGGGAACTAGGCCTGGCGTTCCTCTTTACAGCATTTGTCCAAATTCTTGCCCAAAAGAGAGAGCCCTTGCAACCTAGATATACACTAATTACACATATTCATCCAGTCCCCTTGTCTCCCTCCCAACTTGGGATTTAAGCCGCCTTTTGTTTGGCTGTTAGAACAACATATTAAGTGACAGTTCTCAGAATACAATTTTAATTAAGATTCAATAGTCACTTCTCTGTCAGTAATCTTCCATGCTGATTACTTAAAATATATTTACCCAGCTCTATTATGTCACAGATTTGAATTCATTAGACGTTTGTTAATCCTCCACAAACTTTTTTCAAACTGTGGTTTGTTTAACATAATTTACAAGGACACAACTGTTTGAAACAATGGGCTCTGTGCCTCTGAGCTCCAGGGTATGCATCTGGAAGCGTCTGGGCCTTCTTTGCTTGCTGTTGCCATTGCTGTCTCTACCAGAGGGCAGGCAACACAGCCAAGGGTAGAAGGGCACAAAGGATGGCGGAGGCAGTCCATCTATATTGCACAGATGCGGTCCATATGGATCAGCCTCCCAGAATGCAGAGCTGGCGGGGAGAGGGTGGAGAGAGGATCTGGAGGGACAGTGGAAGATATCCAGCACAGGCCATGAATAGCCTTGGCCCTGGGCCCAGGGGCACCTGACAAATATCATTTCCTGTGTGCCAGGACTTGAAAATGTTGGGAAGTGCTGTTTAGCCTTAGAACACTGATGCATTTACTGATAAGAGCTCATAAGAGAGATGGCCTTTCTCATGGGGCCATAGAACACTACCCCATACACATACACACACACACACACTCAACCACCTCTTGATTAATTAGCAAGGGACATCCTTGGATGTGGCTGTGGCTGTTCATGTGCTCTCGTGGGTATAGAGAATACCACTCAACTATATTTGAGCAGATGCCGTAGCCAGAAAAACGTCAGCCTTCTTCATTCTGTGACCACAATGAGTCACAGGGAGGTGTAGCTAGAAAACTCAAGACTCAATGCAAGTGGAGAAGATCCTCATTTTGTTCTATGAGGCCCCAGCAAGTAGAGACCAAGAAGGCCAGAACACCTTTGAGCACAGAGCAAGTTGGAAAGGTGGCAGGTGGAAAGCTTCCATGTATCAACACCTGTGACCTGGTGGGGCCTGGGTAAGGTGAAGCTGGTCTACCTTAGGTGGGAGCTTGGTGAGAACAGGGACTGGCAGGGTGGGCAGGTGCTCATGGGGAGGCCAGGGCAGAGCTGTGTGGAACTCGGCACTTTGGCCAAGGCTTTTAATGAAGGTGCCCTTGATGAAGATGAAAAAAAAAAACACATATCCTATAGAACAGAGGTCAGCAAACTCTTTCTGTAAAGGACAAGATAGTAAATATTTTAGGCTTCAGTGCCATGTGTTATATGCAGCAATGGCTCACCTCTGCCATGGTGGCACAAAGGAAGCCACATGCGATATGTAAACAAATAAGCATGGCTGTGTTCTAATAAAATTTTATTTACAAAAACAGGTGACAGGATATATTTGGTCTGTGAGCTACAGTTCACAGCACTACCCAGTATGGTAGCCAATAGCCACATATGGCTAATGAGCATTTGAAATGTGCTCTGAGGGTAAAATACGCACCAGATTTTGAAGAGTTTGTAAAATAAAAAAGTTAGCCATCTCATTAATAATTATATTGAGGATATATTGAAATAATATTTTGATATAGCTAGTTATATAAAATACATTATCAAAATTAATTTCACCTGTTTCTTTTTACTTTTTTAAAAAATATGGCCACTAGGAAATTTGAAGTCACATTTTTGGCTCACATCATATTTCTACTTCACAGTGATGCTCTCTCCAGAAAAAATACAGGGCAAGCCTCTGGCCCTTGAAGGGTCTCAGGTAGGAGATTTACCCTTAAAGAGGCGCAATAATGGAATTCAAATATACATAATAAAGTGTATGATAGGAATAGATTTTTCAATATATTACGTATCTTTTTTAAAAAAAATAAGCTATTACAGGAGGCCAAGACGGGCGGATCACAAGGTCAGGAGATCGAGACCATCTTGGCTAACACAGTGAAACCCTGTCTCTACTAAAAACACAAAAAATTAGCCGGGTGTGGTGGCGGGCACCTGTAGTCCCAGCTACTAGGGAGGCTGAGGCAGGAGAATGGCGTGAACCTGGGAGGCAGAGGTTGCAGTGAGCTGAGATCATGCCACTGTACTCCAGCCTGGGTGACAGAGCCAGACTCCGTCTCAAAAAAAAATAGGAAACAAAAAATAAAATAAGCTAGTTTTTTCTGCATCTGTGCTCCTCAAACTGGGAGTTATAGAGCTCTACTTCCACAAGATATTGGCCAGGCGAGGTGGCTCATGCCTGTAAATCCAACATTTGGGGAGGCTGAAGCAGGAGGATCACTTGAAGCCAGAAGTTCGAGACCAGCCTGGGCAACATAGCAAAATCTGACTCTACAAAAATAAAAATAAAAATAATTAGCCAGGCATGATGGCAAGTGCCTGTAGTTACTCAGGAGGCCAAGGTGGGAGAATCACTTGAGCCCAGGAGTTTCAGGCTGTCATGAATTATGATTGTGCCACTGCACTCCAGCCTGGGTGACAGAGCAAGAATCTGTCTCTCTCTCTCTCTCTCTCTCTCTCTCTGTATATATATATATAAAATACATAATATATATATAAAATATATAATATATATTATCTCTCTGTCTCTCTCTCTCTCTCTCTCTCTCTCTCTCTCTCTCTCTATATATATATATATATATATATATATATATATATATATGTAAAACCATTGCTCAAGAAAGGGATGTCTTTATAGTAAAAAGAAATAGGAGTAATGCAAACTTAAACATTAATTTAGTGTTTCACTGCAGCAGAATTTCTCAATTCTTCTAAACTTGCTCATGCGTACAGAGCTATTGTGAGAGAAAGCAAGAGTAGGCAATGCTTCCCCACCTTACTGGCCTTAGAAGCCATTTTTGCAGAACTCTAATTAGTATGTTTAGCAGGCAATTTGAGGGGCTGGGCACGGTGGCTCACGCTTGTAATCCCAGCACTTTGGGAGGCCGGGGCAGGTGGATCACCTGAGGTCAGGAGTTTGAGAACAGCCCAGCCAACATGGTGAAACCCTGTCTCTACTAAAAATACAAAAAGTTAGCTGGGCATGGTGGTGTGTGCCTGTAGTCCCAGCTATTTGGGAGGCTGAGGCAGGAGAATCACTGGAACCACAGAGGCAGAGGTTGCAGTGAGCCAAGATTGCGCCACTGCGCTCCCCTGGGAGACAGAGTGAGACTCCGTCTCAAAAAAAAAAAAAAGAAAAAAAAAGGCAATTTGAGAAATGCTGGTCTGCATAATGCTACACAATCAGTGTGCTGCATGATTTTCCAAAAGTCCAACTCAACTGGCTATCATTTTGCTCTATCAGTAAAGCCCCAAGAAGCACTGTATCAATAAGGCCACATTTAGTACAACATGGGATAGTGAGGAAACTGTTGACATTTGGAGGCGCAAAGACTTGAGTCAGATTTCTCTTCCTTTCTTTCTTAGATAGCCATTCTTGTAAAAGCACCTACTATGTGCCAGGCAGCGCTTTAGGCTTTGGGCATGCAGTGGTGAATGAAAAGAGGTCCCTTCTTCTTGGGGCTTTACGGCTAGAGCAAAAGAACAAATTATAAAGAAGACAAATAGTTAAAACATAGATAGGGATTAGTTGCAAGGAGAAAATACAGAGCAGAGAAGAGGGCTATGCAGCGGGGCGGGGCAGGGATGATCATGGAAGAGCATCTGGGAAGGCCTCTGGGAGAAGGTAACTTGTGAGTAAAGATCCAAAGGAGGCTCTGAGGCCATGATCAATCCTCGTCTGTGTATAGATAATCCCTTCCTTCTGAAGGGGATTCCTAAAGCCCAAAAGAGCTGATGTATGTGAGGGTCCAGATAGAGGCTAATTGCTTATGAAGGGTTCAGAATTCACTCCTTTGCCTCCCATCACACCTCCTTCTTCACTTCCCACATTCTCAAAGATTCATAAACTATGTGGATTCTCCTTGGTGAAACAGTTCCCCACTGACCTTGGAGTCTCTCAGCACCAACTCTCTTCTTATCTACAACCTCATTCTTAAGGAATGCTGGTTCAATTTAATTTCATGCTAAGCCTAAACCAATTAAGAATGTAAAATTATGCCTCAAAAAACAGCCATAATATCCTTTCAAACTCAATTATTGGATAAGCCAATGATATGGTATCGCATTCATCCATCCATCCATCCATCCATCCACCCATCCATCCATCCATCCATCCAACAGATAGTTATTGAGCAGCTACTGTGTTCCAGGCATTGAGCTAGGTAATTGGGATACAGCAATTAGTAAAACAGGCAAAAGTACCTGCCCTCTTTGGAGCTGACCATAGAGGACTGAAACAGGAAACAATAAATAAACATCATAAATAAGTAAACTAAATAGTGTGTTAGAAGGTGATAAAGCTAAGGAAAAGAGAAACAGTAAAACTGCATTAGAGGGATTCATGGAAGAGATTAGGTCTTGCTTGAGCACTTGCCATTCTATGCCACTCCCTAAGGCAGTGAGGGTTAATGTGAGGGAGGAAGCTCTGGGTGAGTGCATTAGGAATTTGCCTCCTGACCCTGAGCTTGTGTTTCTCCCTTCCAGGCGCTGAGTGACCAGACCATGGAGACCCTGCTTGGTGGCCTGCTAGCGTTTGGCATGGCGTTTGCCGTGGTCGACGCCTGCCCCAAGTACTGTGTCTGCCAGAATCTGTCTGAGTCACTGGGGACCCTGTGCCCCTCCAAGGGGCTGCTCTTTGTACCCCCTGATATTGACCGGCGGACAGTGGAGCTGCGCCTGGGCGGCAACTTCATCATCCACATCAGCCGCCAGGACTTTGCCAACATGACGGGGCTGGTGGACCTGACCCTGTCCAGGAACACCATCAGCCACATCCAGCCCTTTTCCTTTCTGGACCTCGAGAGCCTCCGCTCCCTGCATCTTGACAGCAATCGGCTGCCAAGCCTTGGGGAGGACACCCTCCGGGGCCTGGTCAACCTGCAGCACCTTATCGTGAACAACAACCAGCTGGGCGGCATCGCAGATGAGGCTTTTGAGGACTTCCTGCTGACATTGGAGGATCTGGACCTCTCCTACAACAACCTCCATGGCCTGCCGTGGGACTCCGTGCGACGCATGGTCAACCTCCACCAGCTGAGCCTGGACCACAACCTGCTGGATCACATCGCCGAGGGCACCTTTGCAGACCTGCAGAAACTGGCCCGCCTGGATCTCACCTCCAATCGGCTGCAGAAGCTGCCCCCTGATCCCATCTTTGCCCGCTCCCAGGCTTCGGCTTTGACAGCCACACCCTTTGCCCCACCCTTGTCCTTTAGTTTTGGGGGTAACCCACTTCACTGCAATTGTGAGCTTCTCTGGCTGCGGAGGCTCGAGCGGGACGATGACCTGGAAACCTGTGGCTCCCCAGGGGGCCTCAAGGGTCGCTACTTCTGGCATGTGCGTGAGGAGGAGTTTGTGTGCGAGCCGCCTCTCATCACCCAGCACACACACAAGTTGCTGGTTCTGGAGGGCCAGGCGGCCACACTCAAGTGCAAAGCCATTGGGGACCCCAGCCCCCTTATCCACTGGGTAGCCCCCGATGACCGCCTGGTAGGGAACTCCTCAAGGACCGCTGTCTATGACAATGGCACCCTGGACATCTTCATCACCACATCTCAGGACAGTGGTGCCTTCACCTGCATTGCTGCCAATGCTGCCGGAGAGGCCACGGCCATGGTGGAGGTCTCCATCGTCCAGCTGCCACACCTCAGCAACAGCACCAGCCGCACTGCACCCCCCAAGTCCCGCCTCTCAGACATCACTGGCTCCAGCAAGACCAGCCGGGGAGGTGGAGGCAGTGGGGGCGGAGAGCCTCCCAAAAGCCCCCCGGAACGGGCTGTGCTTGTGTCTGAAGTGACCACCACCTCGGCCCTGGTCAAGTGGTCTGTCAGCAAGTCAGCACCCCGGGTGAAGATGTACCAGCTGCAGTACAACTGCTCTGACGATGAGGTACTGATTTACAGGTGAGCAAGCGGCTGTGGCAAAGGCAGGGAGGGTGTCTGGCTGGGGAAGGAGGAGGGGATGGGGAGGTCTTGGGGCTGCTCCCACCTATACCCCTCTTCCCCAAAGGTGTCTGTGGGGATTCTGGGGCAAACTGTGCCATTCGTGCAGGTAAGAGGAGATAAAAAGAACATCAACTACAAGGCTAAGAAGAAAAGAATCCACACGGGCAGCCTGAGAGATATGTGTAAAGAAAGACCACACCTCCCGGCTGGGTGGCTGTGGTCAGTGGTCTTATGGCTATGAGCTTATGAATGTTCTGTTCTAAGCCCAGTTGGAGGATATACAAGGACAATGAATAGACCTCTTGGCTGAAGGTTCTGACTCCCCAAAAGAGGCATGCATTTGACCTTCACCTGGACTCATATGCAGTCATGGTTAAGGCTCTGAGGTCAGAAAGAGTGAGATTCAAATCATGGCTTTTCCACTTGCTAGTCATTTCATTCTCCTGGCCTCCCTCAGTTTTCTCATCTGTAAGATAAGGATAATTAATACCTGACTTAGTTTGGACACTCACTAAATGCACTTATTCAGTTTTGGTAACTGAATCAAACTGGCTTTTAAAAAAAAAAGAGAGAGAGAAAGGGAGGGAGAGTGTGTTGACTCATGTCATTAACAAGTCAGGAACCTGCTTCAGGTTCAGCTGGATCAAAGGTCCCCTACAAATCTGTATTCTCAGTTTCTTACCTTCCCTAAGTTCTATTTTTCTCTGGGTTGGCTTCACCGTCAGGGAGTCTCTTTCCCCTGGGAGACCTCTGCTGGGTCCTCTAAGCAGCCCTAGAGCCTACTTAGAGCCCTAGAGGGAGAAGAGCTTCCCTTTCCCAATTGAGCGCTGACTGAGTCAGACCACATCATGTGAGCCCCCTGGGTCTTACAGGTAGCATCAGCCCTCTCACCTGTGCTGAACCCCCTGGGCCTTAGTCTCTGCATCTAGAAGTGAAGACAATGGTACTGACCTTGAAAAGTTCTCTGAAAATCAAGGGGTCATTTCCTAGGTCTGGTAGAAAGGGAGGTTAAATGTGGAAAGCTGCAATAGAATCACATAAGTCATTCAGAGGAAAGAAGGTCACAGAGTGACAGAAGGCCAGGGGCCAAAATGCTGACCACAGATGAGTTCCCTTATATGAAACATGAAGGACATGGCCTAAAACCTTACCGCTCAAGGAATGTATGGTGTCCTTTGAAATTCTGTGTGTTTTATTTTATGCATGTAAAATGATTGTTTGGAGATGGGATCCCATGAGTTTCATCACACAGCCAAAGGGCCCATGGTGCAAGAGAGATCAAAAATACTTGATCCATCCTGGAGGTCTCCTCCAGCTCTGACTGTCTGAGTTGATGAGTCTCTGGATTGGAAGCTCTGGGAGAGAAGAGTACATGGGGAAGAATAGAGTCAATGTGACTGAGGGTGGGTATGTTGTGGAAACCGTAGCAGAGCTGGGGAACTCCCCTTACTTGGCAGCTGCTGGCCTGGTCTGGATAGCAGTGTCACATCTCAGGATGGAGAGAAAGCAGCATCGGAAGTTACCCACATGCATATGTGCACATATATAGGAATATATAGATAGGGGCATATAGTCAAACTTAAATATGCATATATGTATTTTTCTCACTATAAAAGTCATAGTCTTTACTGAAAATTTGGAAAGTAGAGAAAATTATGAAGAAGGAAATAAAAATTACCTGTAATCCCACCATCCAAAGTTAATAAGAGAAATTTGGAAGGTGTCTGAGTTCATTCAAATGGTATTTATAATCAATCCAGTGTATATTCTGTATCTTAATTCTTCCCACTCAACATTACAGCTTGCTTAGTTCCCATGGTATTAAAATATTTTTTATTTGGCTGTATTATAATTTATTTAACTAATCTCCTATTATGGAACATTCAGGTGGTTTCTCATTTTTCATTATTAAAAGTAATACAGTGAGGGATATTTTTGCCCATAAATATATTTGTGCAACTTCAGTGATTTCCTTAGCATATTTTTCTAGGAGTTGAATTACTGGTTTATGGGTAAATTATAATCTTTATACATTACATATAAATATTTACCCTTTCACCAGTGGAAGTACTCATTTTGATCACACTTTTGCCAATATTGAATATATAATTACTTTCATCTTTGCCAATTTGAGAGGTGAAAAATGGCACTTGCTTTAATTTGCATTTCTTTGCTAACTTATGAGGTTGACCTTTTGAAAATAAATATATTTCTTTACTTGTGAATTTATTATATGGTCATGATTTTGATAAAAAGTGTAAAGGCAAAAAGCTACCAGCTCTGCAGTTTGCACAGGGAAACGCAGTTCGTGAGGGGGAGAGAAGATGTTGGATGCCAGAAGGCAACACACTAGCATTGCCAAAATGGCGCAGCTTGCCAGGGGTCTCAAAGATACTGGGAGGAGGAGGACAGGGCTTGGGGTAGACTCCTGTAATCACTCAGGTGGGAATTCAAATTACTTTTATTTGATGATTGAGAACCTGGAGACACTAACTTTCTAAGAATAATGTAAATTAAATGGAAACATCAGAAAACTTGGAATAAAAAAAATGCAGCTAACAATGGTGACTTCTCAGGGCTGGTTATGCAGATAAGAGGAGATACAGTGTGGAAATCCTCCAAATAGTGGGAGCACATAGTAGTAAACACTCAAGGAATACAGATTATTATTATCAATACTAGTAGTAGTACTAGTAGCAGAGTAGTAGCAGTGAGGATAATAGTAGTATAAAATAAGACTAGCATCACATCCACCATCCTGGGGAATAAAATGGAAGAGGAAGTTTAGATATACAATTCAGTCTTCTCTTTAAGAAGACAAATTTCCAAAATTTTTGAGAAAAAAGTAAGCGTTGAGTCTGTAGCCAGATAATGGTAATAGCAATCACTGACAAACATTACTGCCAGGCTACTATGTGTTTGATGCTTAGCTTTTACAGGCAGTATCTCATTTAATCCTTCTGGATATATGAAGAAGCATAAAAGACCAAGAGAATTAAAAAATAAAATTCTTCCAAGATCACACAGCAGAAAGAGGCAGGGCTGTGATTTGAACTCCGGCCTCTGGCTTCAGCACCCAGACTCAACCCCTGTGGTCATGCTGCCCACTGTCCTAAAAGGGGTTATGGCTTGAGAGAAATAGGAGACTCTAATAAAGAATCTGGATTTTTAGAAAATGAATTGTCCTCATTAGAAAGCATGGACACCAGTGGGCACAGGCCTCTCTGCCCTGCTCATTTTAACAGGAAGGTATATAAAAGAAGGGAGGAGAGGTCTGTATCTGAAGATGAGTATTAAAGAGGAGCACATGCTGTACAGAGAAAGCTAAATGCAGCCATAGAGGGCTTTTTAGTCCATGTTTATGTCCAAGAAGAAAAAATGTTGATTGGGAAAGAGGTTACAATGAGAATAGATAAGAAGCAAAGACTTGCAACTTGCAACTTGCCTCCATCTTCCCCAGCAAGGAGAAAAGCAGCAGCAGCAACAGCAGCAATAATAGTACACACCTGCATTGATGGATTATTTGTGCTGGTCACTATTCTAAGGGTCCTATGTGCACTAACTCATTTAGTTCTCACAAACCCTTAGGAGGTAAAAACTATTATTTCACTTTAGATAGAAGAAACTTGCTCAAGGTGTTAAACAGGGGGTAAGTAGCAGAGATGGAATCTGAATGCAGGCAGCCTGTATGTTTGCCCAGAGCCTCAACCTAACAAGACCAATACTATGGAGAGGAATGCCAAAGCCCAACAGGCCTGCATCACAGTGCCGTCTATGAGTTCTGGGTCACCAGGCTCTGATGGGCCCCATGTAGGTGAGTAAGGACTAAAGGAGCAAGTAGATGAGGTTCTCAAGCCTATGGTGGTGATTCTGAGATAGCATGGACAGAGAGATGCCTAAGACAGGAAAGGGGTGAATATTCTGCTTTTCAGGGAATAAACTCTGTAATGCTTAGCATGCTAGGCTGGACATGGAGTCCCTATACAACTCTGGAAAGACTTTCTCAGTAGGTAGCTGTGAGCCCTTGGAAAAGAATGCTAACCTAACATGGGTTCACTAAGGGCAAATCCTGCCAAGTCATTGAACCATGTCTTCAGGAGATGCTGTGGACCAGTAGTTCTCAACCTTTTTGTCTGCCTCCTTGCCATTCATGAGGGCAGGTGCTTCTCAGGGACATGCCCCCTTGCATAGTGACTCTCGGCTGGACCAGCATCTCTGGAGTGACAGGTCCAGTTGGAAAAAGTCCTAGGAGTTTCTGCTGGCTGTGAGTCACTACCATAAACAGAGCACGTCACAGTCATACAGGACATTTGGCGAACTCTCATGCTGTCTTGGGACACAAGGGAGAAATGTAAACTGATGGAGTGAACTTGTAACTGGTCAAATAACCAGACTGATTAATAAATTGATGTAAATATGCCAGAAAGCCTTTGGCTTCTGCCTCAACATCTGTTCCATTTCTGTACTGCCAGTGTATTTTCTAATTAAGATTGATAACTACACAGAAAATAGGCTTGGCCAATTGTCATGTCAACAAAACTATCAATCAATTAATCATCTATCTTCACTTTGGTTCAAGGAATCAATTGCAATTGCACAAGTTCAAGGTAAGGAAAATCTGGCTCATCTGAAATTCTGTGTGCCTAGGTTCAGAGTTGTAGTTGATCTTGAGGATGTTATGGCCACAATGTGATGGAGCTGGTGAGAGACCCCTGTCATTTTTAGTTGCGCTAATGGAAGTATAGTGGTCAGATCATGAGAGGTTATGGTTCTGCTGAGTCATTCTAGCTGGTCAGAGCAGAGCTTTAATATGTTTAATCTGGGATGGCACAGTCTTGGGATTCATGTTTACAGGCTGCAGTGTATCCAGAGGAGGGCTGATGAGAATGAGGTTCTGGAAGCTCATGTGAAATGGGAGAAGTTTACCTTGGAGATTAGAGGACTTAGAAAAGAACTCATGGCTCCTTTAACTTATTCGAAGTATTTGTGGGTGGAAAAGAGGAAAAGACATACACGCACACATATAGACACATGCGTGCATGGAAGTAGGCATTGGCCCGTTACAAAAACAAAATTCCAACAGCAACAGCCTTACACATGTCTCTCATTGCTCTCCATCTGGCTCCGAAATGATTTGGCTTTGTATCTATCTTCCTCTCGCTAGCATGTGATATTCATGCATGCTCATCTCCATGTCCTCAGCCCTTGGTAAGTCCTGGTCCAAAGTAGCTATAGAGTCAACATTTGGTGAACTGGACAGACTGGAAATAAAGATCAAAGCTGCCCAACAGCAGATTAAAGTAAAAGCTGCCACAAAGTAGTGAGCTGCCCATACCAAAAGGGTTCAGTAGAACCTGGCTGACTCCATTCCAGGGATACGAAGCAGGCAGTCTGACTTTCAGGCAGGAGTGAAAACATTTAACTTAAATTATCCCAGCTCTCATCGTGTGTGGATCTACTTGAGACTTTCAGAATCCCATGATCAACATAATATGGCTTCCACTGTTGCTAAATTCACCTACTTTTACTAGTTGGGGGCACTGTGTCAGCTTGCCTCCTGGAGTTAAGGTGCATTTAAGCTCCAGGGCCTGGGGTCAGAGACAAAAATCTTGGCAGAGGCCCAGAGAACCCAACCAGACCTGGACATAGGCCATTGACAGGTCACCAGTGACCCACCTCGAGGTTTCACAGAAACCCCAAAGAGCTAAGAGCAATGTCTGAAAACATCAGGGTCTAGTCTACATACCAGGAAGGAGGAGCAGAGGCATGGATCACCCCAAATCATGGATAACTCAGACCAGATTTGAATTAGGCTGTATAAAACAGTGCTTTGCGCTTTTTTCAGCTAATAAGCTCCATCATTATTTAACAGTCCTGGCTGCACTCCCAAGCTGCTTGCTCTTCCTGAGTACACACAGCTGAGCCCTGCAGGCAGGCGCTGTGACACACTGGAGACAGACAGTCCACCAGCAGGGCCTGGCCTGTTTCCTTTGTGACTAGGGAGGGCTGACTATCATGTCCCTCAATGCCAGGGCCCAGCCTGTCAGGAAGGGGCTGGCACTAATGGTGACAGCAACAAAGGGGAGAGAAGTCAATGAGGGGTAGGGGAAGTTTGGGAGAGGGAAGTCAGAAAGGCAGCCTCCTCTGCCACCCTGGAGGGAGCAACAGT
This sequence comes from Homo sapiens, assembly GCF_000001405.40. NCBI lineage: Eukaryota > Metazoa > Chordata > Mammalia > Primates > Hominidae > Homo > Homo sapiens. Next base: position 40,425,502 of record NC_000006.12, on the reverse strand, counting down.
TCACCCCAGCTTGGCTTCATCCCTGGGGTGACATGGAAAGTTAAATGCCCTGCATGTCATTATCAGCCCAAGTGACATTCACAAACACTTGTCTCTAAGAGTTGTCAAGAACATCTGTCACCAGGCGTGATGTTGGAATGATCCCCAGGAGAGCCAGGGGAAGAGCAGGCATGCTCCTAAGGCAGTCAGCCGGGATGCAGCCATGCCTTGTGTTGCTTGTTATGCTGCCCCCATCCTTGTGTAGAAAAGTGAGGGGCTATAAGGAGAGAGACCCTGAAGATGGAGAGATGACAGCCACCCCAGCCCCTGTCGCGCCCTATCTGCAGGCTCCCTTTCCCATGCCATGTTCTTCCATGATTGTTAGACACATGTCCTGTCCTGGGAGACTGGACCACCCTACTGAGTTTTGCAGGGCTGGGGCAGGGGGCTGCATCTTTTACTGCTGCTCTGTCTCCTATCTGGGGAAAGGACAAGAGGGCAGATTCAGCAAGTTTTCACCCCATCAGGACCTTACCACTCCACACCTCAGTGGGGCTGTGGCCTACCCCATGAAAAGACAGCCATCTCTACTGTGGGGTGGAGAAAAATTTGCTAATGAAATCGACATCTCAGGATCTGGGGCCATGGGGAGAAGCTAGTGGGAAGTGGTGTTCTTAAAGGGAGAAGCTGTTAGGGACAGGTGTTCTCTAAAGGGAGTGGGGCATGCCAGGAACAGGACCTGTGAGAGAAGATTCTTTGACTCGGCTGTTTCCCAAGAGGGTCTGGATTCTCCTGGAAGGGTGGGTTGAGTCCCCACAGGCAGAGGAAGAGAATGGTATAGAGGAGGAAATAGGGGTGGACAGGGAGGAAAGGCAGCTCCTTGGTCAGAGCCCGGATCAAAATGAACCTGCCTTGGATTTTATATTTTCTAATTTTTTTTTCACGCTGTTGAAACATGACATCTACAAGAGGGGATGCAGAAGACAATAACGTTAAACCCATTTTATAGATAGTAAAACTAGTCTCAAACAGATTGCGTAGATTTTACAAAGTTATCCAAAGCAAAGACTAAGAAATGTAGTCTTCTACATCCAGCCCTTTCCACTGTGCTATGTACCTGCTGTGGGGCACATCTCGCTAAGGCCCCAAAGACTTTTTATTAAGGCTGGAGACTTGGGGTGGGGACACCAGCTGTAATTTCTCCTTCTGGGGAAGTATGGAGTAGCCTTCTGGAAGTCCACAGGGATTTTCTCTGTCAGCTTTAGTCGAGACTCAGTCTCATACTTCTAAGTTCCAGCAATGTTGGGGAAACAGGGGTGCCAGTGAGAAGCTTGGTTCCACTCCACCACCTGGGATCATCCAGGTAATCAATGGGCAAGATGAGGATTTCTGGTTTACATGTCACCAGGTAAGCCACTGTGAAGTGACAAAGTTGCTAGAGGCATCACAGAAAAAGATGACTCTGGAGTCAGAAGTCCAGGGTAGTGATTAGGATGAACAGAAAACTCAACTAGTATGACTTAAACTCATAAGGGTTTATAACATCTCATGTAAAAGAAGACCAGTGGAAGGGAATTTAGGACTGGTTTTCTGGGTAGCATGGTCATCAGGAGCCCAGTTCCTTCTGTCTTTCTGTCCTACCATCCTCAGCACACAGTTTCTGTCCTTAAGGTCACTTAAAAGCACAAAATTGTTGCTAGAGCACCAGTGATCCCATCGCCCTTTTATGCAATAGGAAAGATGGAAACAAGAAGGGCAAGAAAGCAAAGTGGGGAGTTTCTCAGAATCCCCATCCAATAACTTCTCCTTGCATTTCACTGGGCACACATTTCTGCAAAGGAAGCTAGGAAATGTAGGGTTATTTTTTCCAAGTTAGGCACAATGCACCCTCAGTGATGCAGAGAAGATAGGAAGGCAGGTAGCACATCCACACAACTCCATCATTTACTAGTCCTGGGACAATGGGAAAATCACTTTATTGCTCTCCATCTTTATTTTCTTATATGTAAAATGAGAACAGAGATTCCTTTCTGCATATTTCATAGGATTGTGGTGAGGACTGAAAGAGCTCATGTATTTGAAAGAGCGTTCTTCATAGTTAACAGCGGCATACTGGTTAGCTGAGAGTACTTATGATTACTAGGAGCCTGCCCACTTTTTCTTCTTGGTCCTGTCTTCTAGTCCCTATTCCCCAGCCTGCCTCTTCTGTCTCCATTTTTCAAAACCAACAGAGCTGTAAACTTGGAAAGTGATCTGATGAGGTTTTAAGGGATCAAGGTATAAGGTATAACCCCTTTCAGAAATATTTTCACTTCAATTGGGAGTTCTGAAAGACCCAAAGGAGTGAATCCCTGATGGTGGAGTTTGAAAACCCACAGGAGGTTTGTGCATAGGGGAGATGTTTTTCAGGGCACCTTCTAAGAGCATCTCAAATCATATTACTATCCCCACATCCTGCCTCTCTCACTGTCCTCAAGAAGGTGACACCACTGGGATTCAAAAAGCTTCAGAGCATCTGTTCAGAGGTGACTAATTTCTCCACATGTTATTCCCTTCTCAATTTCCAAAAGCTGTGGCTGGAGAGAGCTCCAAAGATAAAAAGTAATTAGCAAGAGTAAAGAGATTACAGTATCCAGTCTCCCTCTTTTCTGAAATGAAGCTTTTTCCCCCTCCAGTAAGAGATAACAAGAGAACCAGTCCAATTAATTGTACATACGTTTGGTTAGTTTGGAGATGGGAGTGAGGATATCGTTTATTCCATACCAGGAAAACACCAAAAAGGGCTTACAGAGGGATGGGGTTAGGCCTGGAAGAGTGCCTGGGACTTGGGGACAATGCTGTAGTGGTGGCCATCAAAACAACACCAAACACTTATCTCACAACTGAACTTTCCCAGGCGTGTGCGTATTCACAGAACCCAGCTCTATTCAGCCTCATTAACAGCCCAGGTCAGACCAGGAGTGGGGAAGGTATGGAACTCAGGCATTCTGACCCCGAGTCCAGGGCTTCCTACCACCCATGTTTCCCAACCCTGACTGTGTTTTGGAACCCCTTGAGTAGTGGCATCCCCCCACCAAAAAAGGGATTCTGAGTCAGCTTGGGTTGGTGCCTGGATATTCTCGTTTTTAAGGCTCTCCCAGTGATTTTGACATGCATTCAGCATCATGCCCAGTGAAATCAGGGGTTTGGACAGCACTGGTAGACAGAGTTTCTGTAAATCCACAGCTAGGGAATTGGTCTCCAAACTGCTAGTGAGGGAAGAAGCCAGAAGGCCTGGGTTCAATCCCAGCTCTACCATGCACTACTCATCTCTTTGAGATTTGCTTCATCTAACATTGGAAGAAAAAATCTTTTCTCTATGGGGTTATCTCCAAAGAGATAACATATGTGGAAACACTTTGGAAACAAAACACCATGTGCATTTCAGCTCACTGGAGCCATTTTTTTTACCCCTCAGCTGAGTCTGAGTGATTACTATAAGAAAGATGGAATCAGGGGCTCCAGACATGGGCTCTTGAGATCTCCCTTCTCTTTACTTGTCTGAACCTCAGGCTCCTCACCTGCTAAATGGAGATAATGATAACTCACCAGGTTGTTGTAACATTGGAAAGAGATGACAAAGCGTGAAAGAAGAACATCTTCATAAAGTGTGAAGTGCTTCTAGTAGCAGAAATCTGACTTTTCCAAATTTGGGGGTTATTTCCGTCATTCTGAAAACCAAAAATAAAATTCTAAGGCCCACCAACCAATTGAATGAACCCCTCCATTCAGTCAAGAGCATTCCAAAGTTAACCTGAAAAAACTTGGCCATGATAGGAATGAGGAGCCACATGTGCCTCATTATACCCTCCTCTCTTTTGGAATTACTGACAGAACAGACTCTTTAAGTCTGATAAGAAACATTTACAATCTATTTTCTCTGAATCCTGCTACCTGGAGGCTTCATCTGCATGATAAAACCTTGGTCTCCACTACTCTTTATTGTTACCCAGACACTCCTTTTTATTGATAATAACTCAGCCAATTGCCAATCAGAACATCTTTAAATCTACCTATTACCTCAAAGCGACCCACCTCTTGCCTTTCCAGTTTGAACTGATGTACATCTTACATGTATTGATTGATGTATTAGGTCTCCCTCAAATGTATAAAAGCAAGCTGCACCCAGACTACCTTGGGCACGTGTCTCCAGGACCCCCTGAGGCTGCATCATGGGCATGTCCTTAACCTTGGCAAAATAAACTTTCTAAATGGATTGAGACCTATCAGATACTTTTGTGAGTTCACAATTCTGTCAAAGCATTCCAGAAGGAGGTAGTTCAGAGCTGGTATGGGAGCTCCATGGAGTCAGGGACTGAAGCAGGTCAATTGCATTATTCTTAATGTGTGGCTCACTGCTCTTGCTCTTGCTCACATTCTCTACCTGGGGACTTTCTCTGGTGTGGCCTATCCACAGAGGAGTCGCCAACCCTGGGATCAGCCCTCAGCCTTTAACAGAGTTTGGAGGATTAATACCCCAGCTTCCTCAGCCTTGGAGAAAGGCAGATACATGGTCTATGCTCACTCCCAGGGGCTCCCATTAGGGGTGGGCCTCATTGCCCACAGTGGTAACTTGCTTAGCAAAATGCCCTGTGCTGACTTCCTTCCACACTTCCTTACCACAGTTTCCTGAGCCCACCTCCCAAATAAACTACTTGTATTCAAATCCTTGTCTCAGGGTCTGCATCTGGGAAACCCAAACTAAGACAGGCACCAACCACTTTAAAGAATCCCACCCACTGACTTTTGCTGCTAGCTTATTGTATTTCCTCCAGTGCACATTGGAGGCTGAGGAAGGCGATTGTCTGTTCACGCATGTTGCTCCCCATTAGATAAAATAACGTTCTGCCGGGAAGTTAGAAGTGGGGAATGGATGTTGGGGAGGCGTATGATGGCCACAGAGCTGCATGGGCGAAAGCATCGCTGCTGTGAGCATTTCTTGGCACCTGCCCACACAGTCCCAGCAACCAGTAGCCAGTTTGTGGCTGAGGCCAGCCTGGGGGGGAAGCTGATGGGGCTGCTTTCCTGCCTGTCTGTGAGTGTTCTTTTCTCATCTCTGGAGACACAGAGCAAAGCAAAGAGGGAAGCTTACTTCTTGACAATTAGGCCTATGGTCTGGCATGAATGTGTGTGATGGGAGTGGGCACCCTGTGGGTGACAGAAGGGATCACAACAAGAAGTCAAATTAATGTCCACCATCTTCAGGGTCTCAGAGGTGGGGCAGGAAGAATGGCACAAAACCACAGGACGCGATGGGCCACCCCGGGGTGAATGCAGGGCCATGCAGCCAAGCACTGTGGATGAACGAGCTCGTTAACTCTTTACAAAAGAGAGCTATTTCCAGCAGGGGTGGGCTCCAAAGGTGGGCTCCGCTGTGCTCTGCGGCTGTGGGGCTGATGCTGTGGTTAAGAGTGCTGATCCAGATATGCGAATGAACTCCGATTGCATTGTAAAGGAGGTGAGCGGCAGGAAATGAAGCATGGAAGAGATCTGTTAAACACCAAACCTTTGCACTAGGTCATTAGTCAGTAATGGTACTAAGTAAAGGAGCTTCTCAGTTTAGCAATTAGCCCCGCAAAAGGTTAAAACGTAAATGAATTGCTTGGTGAAATTAGTCCACTTGGGCTTTTCCATGAGCTAACTGCCTGGCTTGAGAGGAACATATTCTGGGGGGCTATGAGAGCAGGTAGAGTGGAGTGTAAGCTGTGTCCTGGGGTTAAGGTGGGATTTGGAAGGAAGGAGGCTGTGCGGGGTCAGGGTGAGGGGGTGGTAGCTGTTTTGGGTGAAACCAATGAAGACAGAGACAGAGGCAGGAATGATCAGGCCCAGTCAAAGGCCTGTGAGGGCCCCTGGTGTATTCATCAGCTGCTGCCACAACCATGTTGCATAACAAAGAACCTCAAACTCTAGGTGGCTTACATCCAAGAATATTGAATTTCCTTAGTCATAGCTCTGCAGGTTGGCTGGAGTTGAACTGGTCTGGCCTGGGCTGGGCTGGGCAGGACTGCACTTGGCTTCAGGCTCCAGTTCTGATTTCAATCTTCTCTGTGTATCTCATCCTGGAGCCCCAGGAGAGGGGTAGTGGTTCTCCAGGTATGTTCTTCTCATGGTGATAGCAGAAATGCAGGAAGGCAAGCCCACCTGCAGAAATGAACGTCAAGCTTCTGTTGGTATCACACCTGCAAAATCCCGCTAGCCACAGCAAGTTACATGGCCAAGCCCAAAGGCAAGGTGCAGGGAATGAACTGCGCTCAGCATCAATCCATGAAAGGCTGTGGAGGTGCTGCTGTATCACAGGCTGGTAAAGAAACAGGACCAATAATTTGCGACACTTGACTTTCCTGGCAGAAAGCCCCCTTAGAGGGCAGTGGTTCTCAAACCTGAGCAAGCATGAGAATCACCTGGCAGGCTTGTGAACACACAAGTGCAAGACCCTGCCCCTTGAGTTTGTAATTCAGTAGGTACCGAGTGGAGCCTGAGAATTTGCACTTCTAATACATTCTCTCCGGGATGCTGATGCTGCTGGTCTTGGGACTTTACTTTGAGAATCACTGGTCTAGGAAAAGGATAGGAATGCAGAGGTTGGAAGAGGGCAGAGTATGGATAGCCTTGAATGTCACACAAAGTAGCTATGTTTCTGAGCCCTTACTGCACTCCAGGTACTGTTCTAAAGCTGTTCTGCATGTTTTCTTATTTGGACTCATGTTAACCCTATGAGGTGTGATCCATGATTGCCACTTGACAGATGAGGACTCTGAGCCATAGGGAGGTGGCGTGACTTGCAAGGTCTCACAGCTTGGAGGCAGGGGAGCTTGAGCTTGGAACAAGTGCTGTCCTGACTTTGGGCTTCCTCCTGTTGCTGATGAGAAGCCAGGGTCTAGTTCTGAGGGGAAGAATGACCTGGGGTGAGGAAAACTCTGTATTTGGAACCAGATATTCATTTATTCAGTCAATAAATATTTATTGTCTGGTCAAGACCTCAGGATTGGGAAAAGACAGGCACAGCTCTTGCCTAGGGAAGTGATAGGAAGGCAGAGGTGGGAACAGGGAAAAGTATGGGTGGCCTTGAATATCAAGGAGCTTACATTCTTACTGGGGGGAGAGATGAAAAGTTCAAAAATGTACACGAGGAAGAAAAATAAGCAGTGTAACGAGACCGAGACCAGAGGGCTACAGTTTTATATGGGTGGTTAGGAATCGCCTCTGTAAGGAGTGATGTTGGAGTGGAGACCTGAATGGAGTGAAAGAGTCAGGCAGGTGAAACAGCACATACAGAGGCCCTGGGGAGGGATGCATTCATCCTGTTGGAGAAGTGGCAAGGACTCCAGTGCCTCTGGAGGAAGAGTGGCAGTGAATGAGTGAGAAGACTGGACAGGGCTAGATTACATAGGCCCTTGCTGGCCATGATGAGGCCTCGGATTTTATCTTGAATGAGACGGAAACCTCTGGGGCTGGGGCTGGGGAGATTTGAAAGTAGGAGACTGGCATGATGTGATTAAGAAAGAAGATTCTGCTGCTGGTTGGAGAATATACCGCAGCAGGCAGGGATAGCATCAGGGAGACCAGTTACGGGATGGTTGCAGAGTTTTAGCTGTATCTTGAGACCCTGTTGCTCCTGAATGTTCACATCCATAAAATGGGAGAAGGACCCCTTCTTTCTCTCCCACTTGGGGCAGGAGGAGATTAGGGTGTGCGCCTGTGAGTGAGCAGGAAGTACTTAGGTAGGGAACAAAGCAGCATGTTGTCATGATTTTTCTGGCAGAATCCTTGGGCCTATGTCTGCCCAGCCTGGGAACCTCACTGAGGCCCAACTCATAGCCGTGAGTGGAGAGGAGTTTTGGATCTCCCCCTGCAGAGCAGAGCATCCCACGCCATCACTGACCCAGCTCCTCTGTCAGCATTCCCCACCCCCTCTACCCCACAACCTTGTACTCTGATAGGGAGTAATTATTTATATTTTTGCTTAATTAGCTCATTAGGTGTGTGCTGTGGCATTTCTGACAATAAATCACCTACTCTAGTAGCTCATAAGTGCATTTTTGGCTGGTGCCTGGCCCTGGCAATGAAGGTGGCAGTTGTCATACATGAATGTGGCCCTTGGTCAGGGGCTCAGTGACCTGTGCTCTGACTCCCAAGGTGTGCGTGGACAGGTCGGGAGGCTGCCGAGGCACTGAGCATGGAGACAGGATCTTGGAAGCTGAGATGGTGGCAGCAGCGGCAGCCGGCACTGAACACCAGATATTTTTACCACCCGTCAAAATGCCACCGCGTGTGAGCCAGTGCCAAGGGCTGCTTCCCAAGGCTGCTTTGCTCTCCTCCCTCAAGCTTTGATTGTTGCTAGGAAAAAGGTCTGAGTGGAACAGGGAGGCTTTGAAGATTCCTGGGTTGGCTTGGCTGGTGCTCAGCAGTCTCTTCCCTCAGGGGCCGGGGGCTGGAAGGAAGCTTCTGTCCTGCAGCAAAAGGGAATGGGTGGGGAGCTACTTCTCCCAGGCCAGGAAAGCAGGAGCGCCCAGGTTTAGACCCAAGCCCTATTCTTCCCCACCCTGACTAGAACAGGCCTAAGAACAGAACCCTGTTTAAAAATGCTTCCTTCACAGTTCGGAGGGCCGGGAATTCCACCATTAAAGATGGGTTTCTTTGCACATTTAATGGGCAGAAACCTGGGAGATGGCGAAGTGGGTTTTTTCCTGGGACTGGCGAACAGTGGATGCTGACCCGAGGGAGGGCACAGTGGATGCCCTAGCAGGAGAAGGAGGAAGGGGGTCAGGAGGGGTCACGAGGTGACCTCAAAGCTCAGTTCTCCTGTGTGGACTTATTGCCAAGGGCTTGGGAGAGTCAGGGAGAGGAAAGACAGAGTCAAAGTCCCTGGGACCAGTCCAGTTGCTTATTTATTGCAACTCTCTTGGACTTGGTTCTTCTGTCTTTAAAATGGGGCTCATGCTTGCTACTCTCAAACCAAAAAAAGTCCAGTGTAAGAAAAGGTCAGTTCAAGCTCATCCAGGCCAACGCTCTCCTTTCTGTGAATCCTTGTGGTGCCCACCACTCCTCCCACCCACCACCCCTCATTCCCGCCACCCCCTTGGGATGTTGGCTGACCTCATGCAGGAATAAATTGCCAGAAACAAGAAAGCCCCCACCACTGTTGGGTGCCACTGGCTAAAATGTTACACCTCATTGGCCGGACATGGTGGCTCACGCCTGTAATCCCAGCACTTTGGGAGGCTGAGGCGGGCAGATCACTTGAAGTCAGCAGTTTGAGACCAGCCTGGCCAACATGGTGAAATCCTATCTCTACTAAACATACAAAAATTAGCAGGGCGTGCTGGCACATGCCTGTAATCCCAGCTACTGGGGAGGCTGAGGCAGGAAAATTGCTTGAACCCAGGAGGCAGAGGTTGCAGTGAGCCAAGATTCCGCCATTGCACTCCAGCCTGGGCAAAGAAGTGAGACTCCATCTCAAAACAAGCAAACAAAAGTGACATCTCACTGCAGGCCCTCAAATCTATCTCCCTCTACCTCCAACCTTCAGATTCTGCCTTCATCCTTATTAGGCATAAAACTAATTCTTTTTCTGTAATATGTTCAGTTAATTTTTGAACATAATTCTCAGTTTCACCCAGTGCTATTTGTTCAGATTCAACATCCTACCTCCCTGCCTTCCTCCATCCTTGCCTTTACCTTTAGTCATTCGAGAGGTGTTTAAGTTTACAACTCAAGTCTGGGCCACACATGGGAAGGGCAGCTACAAACAAGGCATTTCTGCCCTCCTGCAACTCGCATCTCCCAGGCAGACAAACGTTAAACAACTATTCTGGGAGGTCTTCACCGATTCAGTAGCTACAGCTGTGATAAATGCTGTGCAAATATATGCTAGAGCAGGTCCTGGGGAACTGACCTAGCCTGGGGAAGCCAGGGAAGGCTTCCTGGAAGAGGTGATCCAGAAGGTCAAGTAGGAATTCAGGCCGGGTGCGTGGCTCATGCCTGTAATCCCAGCATTTTGGGAGGTCGAGGTGGGTGGATCACCTGAGGTCAGGAGTTCAAGACCAGCCTGGCCAACATGGTGAAACCTCGTCTCTACTAAAAATACAAAAATTAGCTGGCCATGGTGGCACGTGCCTGTAATTCCAGGTACTTGGGGGGCTGAGGCAGGAGAGTCACATGAACCCAGGAGGTGGAGGTTGCAGTGAGATGAGATTGCACCATTGCATTCCAGCCTAGGCGACAAAGCAAGACTCTGTCTCAAACAAAACAAAACAAAACAAAACAAAACAAAAACAAGTAAAAGTAGGAGCTCAATCAGCGAGGAGGCACAGGAGGCATTGCGGGGAAAGACTGGCATGTTTTTCTGTCTCTGGAGCAGAAAGTTGTCTGGGGTGGGTCTCTGGTCCCTTGCCTCAGATGTGTGCAGGTTTTGTGATGTCTCTTTGCAGATGTGGGGTCTGGCAGTGGGCAGTACACTGAATGTGTCCTGTGTGGACCAAAGTGGGCTGAAGAAGCTCCTCTGAAGCTGAAAGTGCCCCACATTTGAAGGCAGCCTCAGCTCTCCCTAGTCTCCTGTGGTGCCAACTCCCACACAGAGTACCCCAACAAAGCCACTCCCCTCACATTGTCCGGAACCATCTTGCTGCCTCCTCTCTAGGCTGTTCCCAAAAGAGAGTGGCCCAGGGCCGTGTTCAGCTTTGTGGTCACGTGGGGTTTATAACTGAAGTCATCCTCTGGGTGTCACAGTGACCCCGCCTGGGGGGGCCAAGCTTCTCACTCAAGCCTTTTTATTGATTTTCAATCTTCAATAAAACATTAACAAATTTTGCGTGTCCGATTTTATATGTTTTAATGTTTCAAGTCATTGCATTTCTTTGATTGGAAATAAATGGGTTATAAATCACAAAGCCAATGGATGGAATTAGGTCAAAAGTGCTAAGTAAATGCAGGCGGTTTCTCCTCCAATAAAGATAAGGATAATAAGAGTCAACCTTTCTGAGAAATTATTCCATGCCACGTACTGTTCTACATGGTTTCTGTTTATTAGCTCATTTAATTATTTCAACATCCTGACAAAAAAGGTGCTGGTATTACCTTGATTTTACGGCGGGGAGGAGGGGGGAACTGAGGCATGGCCTGGTGAAGAAGCCTGCCCGAGGTGTCCCAGCTGGAATTTGAAGCCAAGCAGACTGGCTTCAGGGTCTGCAGCATCTTGAGGCCTCAATAGTGCTCAGCTAGCTTCTGAGTGCCCACAGTGTGGGCCCCACTGCACCAGGCACCTTCATAGCCCCCTGGGAGGCAGGGTTACGATTCTTTCCTAGGTTAGGAATTGCAGGGAGAAGAGAGGGTATGTAAGCTGCCCGAGGCCTCCCAGCTAGGAGCTGGCAGGGCCAGATTCAAACCCAGGCCTGTTGTGCTCCAAAGAGCTCCTGCCTGTTCCTCTTCCTCCCAGGACATGAGTTAGGATTGAGGGGGTGAGACGAGCGTCTTGGAGTCATAGGTAATGTCTTCAAAATAGAGGCCAGTGAGCCCATTTCCTTCAACCCTGTCCCCTTCCTGGTCGCCCAATCTACTAACAACCCCGGAACCATCAGCCTACTGGCACTCAGAACCACCATGAGGGGGAGACTGAACCAGACCCACCCATCCCACCCACCTGCACATAAGGAGGAACAAGAGGAAACAGGTGGGTGCTTCAGGAGGGGAGGGCTCTCAGCTAGACAAGTAGGAGAACTTCCGTCAGTGCTGGTGATGTCTGATAAAGCCACGGCTGCTTTGAAGGCAGAGGGGAGCCTCGGCTGCTTCAAGGGCCTGGGGGATTCCATCTGAGGCAGGCAGGCTGATGCATGCCTTCCACCCCTTCTCCATGCTGGGAAGATGATGGCCATGTCCTGGAGTGTTCTAATTTATAACTTGCCACTTGAACCATGGCTGCTCTGCCTCCCACTGCTGCCTCTTCCCAGACTGAAAGGAAACCGGGTCGTGGTTCAGCCCTAGAGACAGCACAGGCCTGGGGAAGAGCGAGATTTAATGCTCAGTGTCTGCCCTACATGAGTCATCATCCCCCCAGAGCTACTGCAGCCACTGCCTCCCTGGCCCACCCAGGCCCAGGCCCAGTGCTGAGTGGCAGGCAGGCGTGTATAGCTGGAGGATGACACTGTGAATCTCGGACAGTCACGGGATTCCCTGGTGTGGGGACATACAGCAGAGGGAACAACAGATAGATCACAGCTGGGCTGTTGACCCTGAGTCTTAAGCAAAGTGGAGAATAAGAGGTCATATTTATCTCATCAGAGCTGCGGGAGCCATGAAATATCAGAGTATGAATAAAGGCAGCGGTAAATCACTCACCACTCTTGCAAATGTGGCCAATCTGTCTTCCAGTCCCATCACCCACTGGGTGGCATGGGGTCAGTGTGCACAGAGATGGAGAAAAAGAAGAGATAAGCCTCCAGAGACCCCAAACGGTGCTCTCTGGAACACGGCAGTGCTGGGAATCATTGACCTTCTTAGATTCCTAGGATGTAAGATCTCCCTCACCTCAAAAGTTCACCTGCTCAATGAGGTGATGCCTGACCACCCACTTAAAGCTGAGCTGTCCCACTCTAACCTCAGCACTTTCTTTTTCTCTCTTACCTACTTGTTCTTTTTTCCTTAGCACAGTCCACTTTCTAACATACTAAATCAGTTACCAATTGTGTTTACTGTTTGCTCTGTCCCCACAGAGAATGTCAATTCCACAAGGCAGGGACTTGTATCAGTGGGGGTCACTGCCATCCCCACAGACACCTAGAGCAGTGCCTGTCACATAAGCTCCACAAACATTTCTTGGATGAGTGAATGAGTCTGGAAATTACTTAAGAAATGGCTTAATTCGAATGCCTCACGGTGTCAGGGAAAAGCGGAGACCCAGAGAAGGGATAAGACTTGACCCCAGTCTCATAGCCTGTTAGGGGTTGCAAAGCTGGGAGAAGCTCTCAGGCCAGAGCTCCAGGTCCTGCATGGTCTGAGCGACTCTCATACCCTCCAGACGATGTACTTGTCAGTCATGCTCTGTTACCTATGGGACCCCGGAGCTGTGCAGCCCCAGGCTAGGCAGGGGTGGGACCTCGCTTGCTTTTTCCCTTGATTTAAAAAACCAAAAATCTTATAAATTTCCTGATAAATAATTCATTAACTCAAAGGGATCCCTCAAAATATGAGTTCCTTGACTGAGGAAGGTCAGAAAATTTTTCTTCCTGAGAATTTGTAAGGTGTGGAGTGGGAGTGGGGCGGGAAGTGTTTATCAGGACCCCTCCCTAGGATACCTGCTGCTGTGCCAGATCCTTCCATGGATCACTCACGCAGTCTTCACTTCCAGGCTGCAGTGGAGCATGATAACAAGAGCTCACAGCTAATGAACAGTGTGCCAAGGCTGCTGTCAGTGCTTTTAGATATCCGACCATTGAGCCTGTCCAGCAGCCCTATGACCTGGATGGCTTCTGTCTCCTCCCCACGTTACATGCAGATGAGAGACCTGAGGCAGCTATGCTAGCAAAGAAATGCTCCTGTTCCAGATGTTTAGAACACATCGGTCAACAAAACAGCTGGCAATCCTGGTCCTTATGAGAGGAAAACGGGCAACAGGCACCACAAATGAGTAAATGATATGGGTGCTGGGAGACAGTGAGTGCCACACAAAAAAGAAACCCCAGGCAAGACATGGCAGGGTGCTGGGGGTGGTGGGTAAGTTGTAATATTAGCTAGCGTGTCCAGGGCAGGCCTCACCGAGAAGGTGGGATTTGAGGAAAGACTTGAAGGGGAGCTGGACTGAGGTCTGTGGGAAGGGCCCTCCAGGCAGAAGGAAGAGCCAGGGCAAAGCCTCCATGGCTGGAGTGTTTCTGAGGAGCAACGAAGAGGCCAGGGTGGCTGAAGCACAGAGTGCAGGGCAGGGTGGGCGAGATGGGGCAGAGAGGCAGTGGGGCCAGACCCCACAGGGCCATGTGGCCTTTGTAAGGACGCTGATTCGAGTGTTCACCCGACCTGTGCATGTTCACAGGTGCTCACAGCCTCAGGTCAATCCTTTTCCCTGCTCACATGCCCAGGGCTGCTTCCACGCTGGCCAGTGGACGCACAGTCACACTCACATACGTACCTACACGCACACACTGGCCAACGGCCACTCACTCACACAGCCCCCCTACTCCTACCGTGCCCGTTTGGGGTTCACCCTCCACTGCACCTGCATGTACCCCAGCAGAGCAGGGACGACTCCTCATCAGCCTCACTCCCATCTGCCACCCAGAATGGCCTCTCCCCAGCTGGAGCAGGAGAGGGAGGAGAGTGAGCCAATTTCTGGGGCTTCAGACCCATGCACCTCAATAAACAGTGCTGGAGAGACTCCCAGAAAATTACAGATGAGATAAGTCTGTGATTTACTCACACGTGATTTATTTACATGATTACTTCCACACTAAGATGACAGGCCCATATGGCCATCCTCCAGGGACCCTGGTGTGCAATTAATGGCTCTGTTCTGTGTTCATTGTCCCCATAGGCCCTGGCTGCTCCCAGACTTGGGGCAGGACAGAGGAAGGAGGATAATTACACTGCTGCTTTTAGTAATTCACAGGCAAAATCAGGATGGTGCACCTCTAGGCTAGGCCAGCCCCACCTTAAAGCTCCTGGCTAATGAACAAATCCCATAGGAAGGCTCCTCTGCCCATCTGGCAGAGACCCCAACCCCTAAAACTACCTGTGCCCTCAGGCGGCTCATCTTCTGCCACCAGGAGGGGTCCTGCTGCGAGGTGGGTGGAATGGATGGTGTTAGTCTGTAAGAGATGATAGAAAGATAAATAGAAGATAGACAATAATAAAGTATGTAAGCATTCACTATATATATAAATGATTTATTGAGTATATATTGTATGCCAGTGCTTGGTGTACATTACTTCTGATCCTCATATAACTCTGCAAATTGGGTTTGCAAACTGCTTTTACAAATAAGAAGACAAAAGCTACGGAAAGTTAAGTAAGGGAGTAAAGATATAGTCAATAAATTGTGGAGATGGGATTTGAGCCCAGGTCACTTTGATGCTAACTCCTGTGTGCTTTCGGGGTCAGGGACGTGCTGCTGCCCCTACTTCCACAACCCCAATATCCCATCCCCTTCCTCCTGCCTCCCCCGTGCTCCCATCACCCCTCTTCCAGTGATGTTCTTGTGAAATTCTAGAATGTTAAAAGCACAGAGAAGGAAAGTGAATTGCTCAAGGCTGAACAAGTCATGACAGAGTGGGAGTTAGAGCCTCATCCTCCAGCCTGGACATGAGGATGGCTGGTGGGTGGGGACGGCTCTGCTCCCCCACCCTCCCTCCTGCTGACTCCAGGGTTGGGAGTGCATCAGGACCTTCCACTTGGCTGGACAGAGTGGGGCTTCCCAGCTGCCCACCTGAGACCTCCTGCTATAGGTCGTCACTCTCCCCACCCTTAATTAATTCCTTCCTGAGCAGACTGCTTGTTAGAGACAGAGGTATCCAGGGAGAATCAGCAGAAACACAGCCCAGCGAAGTGCTGAGTGGGCTCCTCCTGACTGCTGGGTGGAAAGGGCAACTCTCCGTGGGGTGAGGCAGCAGGCAGGATGATGCAGCAACTCAGCAGCCGGATGCCCAGCTAGTCTCTCACCAGGGGGTCTGCCTCCAGGCATGCAGCTTGGAACAGCCCCCAAGGAAGTGTCAATAAGTTTCTCGGTCACTCATTCATGCACGAGTGCTGGCTGTCCCCATTATAAAAAATGGACACCTCACATTTATAAATGCTTCACCACTTACATACTGTGTCCAAGTAGATGTGCGTCTTAGGTTTTCCAGACGGTCCTTTGGGGGAGGTGGTAGTGTTCTCATTCCCGTTTGACAGATGAGGAGGCTGAGATTCAGAGAAGCAAAATCCCTTGTTCAAGATTGCTCAGCTAGCAGATGGTGGGGCCAACATTTGAAACTGATCTTCAAATACCAAATGCAAACATCATCATGGCTTCTTTTTATTGCATAAACATACTCTCAGCAGCATACTCTGTACTGAACAAATATCATAGTACTTAATTTTCACAAAGACACCATATGATTGCTGTTACGAACCCATTTTGCAAGTGAGAAAACTGTGAAGGCGAGGCTCAAACATGGGAAGTGACTCACCAGGCATGGCACAGTCAGTAAACCTTCTTCACTAGAGCACAAATTCACCCTGGGGGTCGATACAGGTTCCTTCTTATGATACAGCTTCTGATCTGACAGAGGGAGATGGTTATAATTGAAGGAAAAGGTGGGGCCCCAATGCCCCTCCATGAAATGACTGAGGGCTTCATTTTACCCAGATTTGCTTTATTAAGGGTGCAATAGTTTGAATGCTTGTGTCCTCTTTGAGATTCATAGGTTAAAACCTAATCCTGGATGATAGGATGAAGAAGTGGAGCCTGTAAGGGGTGATAAAGTCATGAGGGCTTGTGGCTACCGAGGGGGCTCTCTGTCTCTCTTGCCCTTCCACTGCTGCCATGTGAGGATACAGAAAGAAGGCCCTTATCAGACCAAATGCTGGCACCTTAATCTTGGGCTTCCAGCCTCCAGTTCTGTGAGAAAATTTTGTTGCTGTTTTTTAAAAATATAAATTATTCTGTGGTATTCTGTTAAGCAATACAAAGAAACTAAGACAAAGTGTTACTGTTGACTTCACCATTGGCATTGAAACAAAATACAGTGTTTACCATTCCTTCATTTATTGCCAGGCACCCCTAGCATTTAACACACTTTACCTCATTTAGTCCTGACTATATTCCTACACAGTAGGTACTAGTGTTCCTATTTAACTGAGGCAGAGGGTAAGTAATCTGCCTAGGGTCACGCAGCTAGTCATTGCTAGAGCAGGATTTGAACCCAGGCCCAGCTGCTGTGAACCACCATGCTGGATCTTCAGCGACTTCTTCCCAGGCATTTGATTCCTGCCAACTTCTGCTCTGGAGTTGCTCTACTCTTCATCCATTGGGGCACATGTAGAATAGCATCAGATGGCCAGGGGTTCTTTCTACCCCTCCCCAAATGCTGTCTCCTTCCCCAGATCTGACAGGACCACCCAAGCCCATAGACAATAGAACCAAGAAGCCCCTGCCGAGGGTGACTGCCACCCATATGTTCATCAGCCTCCCTGAAGTGACACATCTATTTCCAACAACCTCTCCTCTTCCTGCTCACCTGGTAGAATTGGCTTTGCGATATTTTTTGCCATTTTTTATTGTAAAATATACATAACATTTACCATTTTAACCACATTTGAGTGGACAGTTCACTGGCACTAAATACATCATATTGTTGTGCAGTCACTGTCACCATCCATTTTAGAACTTTTTCATCACCCCAAACTAAAACTCTGTACTCACTAAATAAGAATTCCCCATTCCTCACTCCCCCCAGCACCCAGCAACCACCCTGCTACTTTCTGTCTCTATGAATTTGACTACTCCAGGTCTTTTATATAAGTGGAATCACACAAGATTCACACAAGTTGTAGCATGTACCAGAATTTCATATAAAATGCTTCACAAATTTGCTGTCATCTTTCTGCAGGGGCCATGCTGACCTCTGCATGGTTCCAGTTTTAATGGAAATGCTGCCAAAGAGAGCATACGATAGCATTTTCAAGGAGGCTGGTGCTGGCTTTGCTCCGGGTGATGCCCCCATGAAATTATGGATCTGCCAACTGGCGTGAATGGTCCGACCAGGTTCATCATTAGGTGGTGTTTACTTGGTGTCTGCTGGCTGTTCTAGCGTGACTTGGGCACAGCTGGTGGGGAATCTTCACTTTGCACACGTCTGTGTTTATAACAAGGTATAATTGATCTGACACCTTCTGCATTTTTTCTCCAAGTGATGAGTTGTTGTTGAACAAGCTCTTCTCAGCTCCTCCAGGAGATAAATGACAAGTAGCATCATTGTAGTCATCGCCATTGTGGTACCAGATGACCCAGGAAGGGAGCAGACATGTTTATTCCTATTGTACTTGATTTCTCACACTCACCACAGAAGGCTAGTATTACTCTCCCATTTCACATGTGAGGAAACAGAGGTTCAGAGAGAGGAAAGTCACATGGTCTACAGTCACACATCTGGTCGGGGGCAGAACTAGCCTTCAAAGAGAGATTTCTGTCTGAGTCCAAAGCCTACACTCTTTCCTCTAAGATATGCCAACCCAGTCCCTGGGGGCTGGAAGCTAAGGACAATTAAATACAATTAAATAGAGAAGACTTCTATATCTGTGGAGACCTGAATGAGGACACACACACATACACAGAATGAGAGAGAGAGAGGCAGGCCTTACATGGGCTCAAGAGCTTGCCTGGGTTGGCTGAGCCTGCAGTCGTGGGGACACTGTTTAAGCAATGTGGCTTAACAGCAGTCCTGGGAAAGCACAGGGCCTCTCCATTGACAGTCTGCTCAGTGTGACCACCAGTGGGATGTGGCTTCTAGAGAATCCAGTGTACTTCCAGGGAGGGGGTGGTGTCCACAAGTGTGATGTCTGACTGGGGCAATGTAGGGTCTGACTACTGAGAACCCCCAAAGAGAAGGGCCAAAGACAAACTGACATGTGATCAGGTATGATCAGACGGGGCAGCCTGCCAGCAAACTAGAAACTGTGCTATGAGGAAATGGTTGGAGGAAATGGAAATGTGAATTCTTCAAGGTGGGATGAGAGAGTGGCCTCACAATATGGGAAGCAACAACATGTCCAAAAGAAAGAAACAGGCTTGTTCTGGGCAGCTGTGGGGTTGCATTGGGCTGGTGGGAGGAAGACGCAGTCTGTCAGACCACGGCCCCCATGAGTCACTCAGAGTTGTCCAGAGCTAGGATGACTGCCTGGCATGTCCTGGAAGTGTGTGAGCAGAGGGTGCTGACAGCCAGGTGGGCCTGCTATGGAGGCGCTGATGAGCAGGGGGGCTCTCAGGGTCCTTCTCAACCTGGAGTTCCTAGGATCTGTGCATGGTGAGGGCAGAGGAGAACTGGGAAGAGCAAGCAGACACCTTGGTTAGTCAGCAAGAGAAGTGCCTGGATCAGCGGGCAGGCTGGCCCCAGTGGCCTGCACCAAAACAGACTGCCAGACCTCAGACGGCTGGCCTGCAGAGCTGGCTGTGCACCTGATCCATGAGCCAGTATCCAGCCTCAGGCCTGGATTCACTTCTCTGTCCTCAGTCACAAACACTAGCACAAATTAAGCACTCACTAGGGACAAGGCACTGTTCAAATCACAGAGATTCGCTCATTTCATCCTCGTAGCAACCCTGCGACGGGGCTGTATCATCTGCTCCCTCTTACAGGGTGGTTACGTGGCTTGCCCAAGGTCACACTGCTGGTCAGTGACAGCACTGGGGCTTGAACCCCGGTGGTGCAGTGCCAGTGCCTGGATTCCCACCTCCTGGCTTTATCCCCTCCATGAAGGAGCCCCATGGAGGAGGGCGACGCTCCCTCCCTGACACTGTTGCCTCCACCAAACACTTGGGCTGCGACTTTCCCAAGTCCTTGCCTGGCAGCTGCATCTGCCATGCCTCCCAAGTCAGGGAGCAAACACAGGGCCTCCCAACGAGTGATCCTCACCTGTCACCAGGTAAGGCCTAACGCTGGGGAGATGAGCACAGAGGCAGCCTGCTGGGGCTCAGCTTTCTTTGGCCTAATTTCCTGTCATCTCTGCCATTGCTCAGCCAGGCCTTTACTAACACTTCCTCCACATGAACTCTGAACAATAGTTTCATGGGGGGTTGGAGGGGGGACCCATTCTGCTGCAAGTATTGAAGCCAAGATGCCTCCCTGCCAGCCCAGCCAGGGTCAGGCACTGCCCGAGTCTCCTAGTTTCTAGCCTGCATGAGGTTTGCCAGCCACAAATCCCTGAGGCCTGGATTTCCACCATCAGAGAGGCATTTCCTTGGGGTTACATGGGTTAAGCATGGCCCACTCCTTTATGTAACAGACCCTCATGCGGGGCTTACTCTGTGCCGGGCACTGACCTAGGTACTTTATGAATCATGACTCCTTGAATCCTCATAACAACCCTATAAGGCAGAGATTATGAACGCCCCATTTTACAGAAAGGGGATATTTCTAGGAAGCAAACACAGAGAGATTAAGAAACTTGCCCAAGATAAGGTATTACAGCTGGTATGTGCAAAACCAGGATTGGAACCCTACAGTCTGACTCCAGAGCCTGTGTGCATATCCACTGTACCCTGCTGCCTCTTCAGCTTCTCTTGCTAATGGCAGGTATTCCGATGACATCTATCATTGTTATTGGATCTATGAGGGATTTTTCTCAATAGAAATGTGTCAGATGTGTAATGGGTAGCTGGGTAGCTTGAACATGAGAGGCAGAAAAGCAGGAACCAGAATATCGAAACAAAGGACCAGAGGGGGCCCAAAGACACAGGCTGGCTAAGGGCTGGCCCTATTTGAGGACTGTGGGGAAGGCAAGGCAGCTTTGCCAGTGGGGCCAAGCCTTGGGAAGGGGCTGGGGCACAGGCTGAGTATGGGAGGCAGAGAGAACACTCCAGTGGGCAGATAAGCTTGAGCTAGGCCTGAGAGAATCCCAGAGAGGGCACGCTGAACCCAGAGGTCTTAGGAACCATGGAGAACTGGAAGAGTCATAAAGGAGGGATGAAGTTGTCCAGAGCCTCAGAGAGAATGGGGAACTGCTCAGAGGTCTAGATCAAAGCCTCCAAGACAAATTCATCCCTTGTGTGAACTCCCCAAAGCTGGACAACATCACCTGGACTGGCCCACCTGTTTGGTGCATGAGGGCTCACATAGAAAATGACAGTGTTAATACCACTTGCTGGGTACATGGATAGGGCTGCATAGCATGTTCTAGAACAGCACCATCCAATAGCACTGCCTGTGTTGATGGAAATGTCACACAGTGGCACTGTCCAATCCAGTAGCCACTAGCCCCATGTGACTACTGAGCACTTGAAATCTGGCTGTTATGACTCAGAAACTAAATTTTTAATTCTAATCAATTATTATTAATTTGAAGTTAAATTTGAATGACCACATGCAGCTACTATATTGGGCAGTGCAGTGTAGAATATTCATTTCATTTGCAAGTTCAACCAATGTTTTCAACGGTCTGTGCTGTGCCAAGTATCATTCTAGGTGTTGGGAAACTATCAGTGAACAAAACAGGCAAAAAAAAACAAAAAACAAAAAACAAAAAAACAACCCAAACAAACTCTGACCTCAGGGAGCTGACATTCTAGTAGACAGAGAGAAAGACAATTAACAGTAATCATAATAAATCAATGATATTGTCTGTTGGGCAATAAAAATGCATTGGGGAAAAATGGAGTGGAGTAACAAGCCTGGGGAAGCCCGCAGTGTTGATAACGTGATCTGGGATGGCCTCGCTGAGAACGTGATATTGGAACAGGGACCTGAAAGAGGCAAAGCAGCTAGCATATAAATATCTGGAGGAAGAGCATCCAGGCAGAGGGAACAGCCAGTGCAAAAGTCCTGAGGCAGGATTCCCCTTGGCAGATTTGAGAAGCAGTGGGGAGCCCAGATTGTAGAGTAAGAATGGGGAGTAGAAGGAGACAAAACCCAAGAGGTGAGGGGCAGATTGTCTGGGGCCTGTGAGCCATGTGAGGACTTTGACTACATGAGGTGGGCTTCACTGGGAGCAGGAGCAGGGTTGAGCAGAGAAAGACAGGATGTGACCTGGGTTTTAACAGGATCCCTCTGACCACTTGCAGAGAAGAGGCTGGGGGATGGGAGCAAGGAAGGACACCCAGACCCAGAGGCCAACTCAACAGGGGCTGATGCCAACCCTGCCTGCTGTCTTGCGGGCTGTGGAAGTGGATGTCCGGGTACACCTGAGGATTGAGGCAATGATTGGGGTGCTTTGTCTCAGAGCCTCAATCATATTGAAAGGAAAGTGGCCCCTTCACTCACTGAGAGTCTAAAGTAACTGCCAGTAAGGCAGGGGTGCCTCAGGGCATTTGTGGAAGCTCCATATTCTCAGGAGCCACAAGGGCAGAAGAACAGGGACAGAGGCCAGCCCCCAACCCCAGGCCTCTGGTCCCTGGCCCCAACTGGAAGATCAGTCTTCTGATCCTTGGAGCCCTCACTGAATCCCACCAGCTCCATGATCGTCCCACTCTAAAGAGCAGACATGTGCTTCCCCCATTATCACTCAGGCCCTGGTGCTTAGGGAAGGCCAGCATTTGGCACTAGTCACCAGTAGGCTGTACAACTTGTACTGGTAATTCTGGTAATTCTAACTACTCTGATCTCTAGGCCAGAAACAGCAAGTATGAGACACCGGCTCCAGAGGACTCTGTCCCACTGAGTTTAAACACAGCCTCAGAATCCTTAACATTAGCACCCAGCAGCCAATCTCAGAGTTGGAACAAAGAGTGAACATACTTGCAAGAACCTGGCTCCTATCTACTACCTTGGTGACTTCATTTCCTACTACTCTCCCTTTCCATCTCTCTGTTCCAGCCTCACCGTCCTCCTCACTGTTTCTACCTCAAGGCCTTTGCACTGGCACCTCCTTCCTGCCTGGAAACTCTGCCCATGGATATCCACGTGGTTCCCTCACTTCCCTCAGAATTCCCAGGAGCATGCGTCCCGAAGTAGAGAGATTGTCCTCCTCATTCACTGGAGTCCCATTTCTGGCTCTAATTAGCTATGTGAGCCCAGGGCAGTTCAGTTAACCACTGCCTCTAAAACAGGTAGCACAATTATTAGATGTACTTCCCGGGGTTATCATGAACATGAATTGAGGAAATGTGAAAGTGCTGGGTTCAATCTTGGCTGAGCACAATCCTCCTCTCTGTGAGAGCTTAGTCAAGTCACCTAATGTCTTGGAACCTTGATTTTCTCATCCATAATGATAATAAGACTAGTACCTCCCTCACAGGATTTCCCAAGGTTAAATTAACTAATACATGGAAAATATTCAGAACAGTGTTTGACACATAGTAAGTGCTCAATAAATGTTAGCTATCATTGTAAAGTAAGGCATGTTATTTTTTTCTTTTTAAATTGCTGGCAAACAGTTGGCCTGACTCCAAGACTTGCCTCCTGCTAAATCCTGATTCTGCTCAATTCAATTCAATGTAATACAGCATAGGGAAGATCATGCTCCGTGGCCTGGCAGACCTGGCTCAGCCACTTTCCAGCTGTGTGAGCTTGAGCAGGGGTTCTATCTGCCTGAGCCTTAGTTTCTTCATCTGTAATAAGGGGATAATTATTCCTACCTCATACAGTCAGCATGCAGAATCAAAGAGACTCTGCCTGTCAAGTTCCTGGCACGTAGTAAGTACTCAATAAATTGTATGCAGGATGGAACAACACTCATCTCCTCTACTCCCTTGCAGCTCATGCATGAAAGCAAACAGGTCCCTTTGGGGCTCGCAGGAAGAGAGAGAATCTGGGAGTAAGGGCTGCTTGGCTTGGTTTAATGAGGCCATGTCATGTAGTCTGAGATCTCAAGGCTAACTAGAGAGGGTGGCAAGCCAGTGGTTCTGTGAAGAGCCAGTAATGAGGACACAGAGAGCCAGGGGTCGGGTAGGGGAAGCCTGATGTGGCCCTTCCAAATTAGTGCTGAGGCTCAACAGGCAGCCATGGTGCATCACTGATGGAGGGAGGAGAGGACAGAGCACCTAGAAAGGCGTGGTGCTAGTGGGGCAGAGGGGAGGCTGGAGGCTGGAGGAATTATGCAGATACAAGAGGTGGTATTTGTTGACAACTCCAGGAAGGCAAGGATTTCTTGTATAGACACCAGCACCAATGTCTTCCTCTTACACAAACACACATTCACCCTGTCTCTCACTCACATACCTACTAAATAGCAAATACTTCAGGCTCACTTCATCTAACCTGTGGGTGTCTGTTAGTCAGGGGAGGCAACTGCTGTTGCAAATAATTGCCATAATGTAAAGCCTCAAGCAGAATCAAATTTGATTTCTCACTTTCCTAACAGTCCAGAGCGGTGTGCCAGGTTATCAGGAGACCTTCCTTATGGGAGACTTAGGTACCCAGTACGTACCTCCCTCTAGGCCTTGTCATCCTGCCCAAGGGTCCAGCTGGCAGAAGGAAAAGGGAGTGTGGGGAAGGCACCCGAGCTACTGAAGACCTGGCCCAGAGATGGCACAGATCATCTGGCACAGATGACATCCTCCACATCCCTTTAGCCAGAAAGGGTCACATGGGCACACTAGCTGCAAGGGAGCCTGGAGAGTGTAGCCTAGACTGGAAGCCATGAGAGAGGGGGAGAGTGGGGTTTGGTAGTCATTCCACAGGCTCTTCCTGGAGGCTGAGGACCAGGTGGAAACTCCCACTCCATTCCCATTCCTATTCCTGAGGCCCAAATGCCTTTTCTGGGGGGTAAACTCTGTTCCATTAGAAAAGAGGAGCCTCAGCCTACAGAGAGAGGTCACATAGGAAGTCACCTCAGAAGTTTCAGAGGATGTGGGAGCCTCTGGGGGAGGTGGGGTTAGGGGGTTGGTTGAAAGAGGGGCAGAACAATGACTAACATTGCCTAGGACCAGGACCCCTTATTGCCACATACATGTAAACACCTACACTCTGGCACACACTCACAAATACCCACACATTCAGCTGACAAATGATACTTCTTAGACACACATCTTCTCACACACAGGCATACACACAATCACATACCCCAAACACATATGTATATGCACATCCATGAAAGGTTTTCAGGAGCCCTTGCAGTAAGCCTCAAGGATATAGAAAAACACCTCTCCAGGCCGGGTGTGTTGGCTCATGCCTGTAATCCCAGCACTTTAGGAGGCCAAGGTGGGTGGATCACTTGAGGTCAGGAGTTTGAGATCAGCCTGGCCAACATGGTGAAACCCCATCTCTACTAAAAATACAAAAATTAGCCAGGTATGGTGGTGCATGCCTGTAATCTCAGCTACTCAGGAGGCTGAGGCAGGAGAATTGCTTGAGCCTGGGAGGCAGAAGCTGCAGTGATCCAAGATCATGCCATTGCACTCCAGCCTGGGTGACAGACTAAGACTCCATCTCAAAAAAAAAAAAAAAAAGGAAAAGTACCTCTCCAGAAAGATGTCCTCAGAACCAGCCAGTGTCTGAGAGTCACCATTAACTAACCCTTGAATATTAGATAAGAATCCCTCACATATGTTTAGGCCCTAACATTTTGCAAAGCACTCTTGCACTCACTGCCTAACCGTAGGGTAAATATTTACTCAGCATTGACTCTAGGCCAGACATCGTGATCAGCAGTAGAAATACAAAGAGGAATAAGACACAGTTCCAGTCCTCAAGGGAAAGGTGTACATGAACGACCCCCAGGGCTTTAACAGGGGACTGTAAGAGTGGTTGTGGGAGGAGGGAGAGAAGAGATAGCTCTGATGAGGTCAGAGGTAATTTATGAGTCAGGCCTTAAAAGATGAGGTCACCCAGTGGAGAAAGATATGATGCTAAGGAAGAGGGACCACTGTGTGCAATGGGATCAAGTTGGCTTACTGGGGGAGTGATGAGTGATTCCGAGAAGCTGGTAAATTGTTTCCTAAAGCTGGAGTTTCACTAGATACAGCCAAGATGTGCTGCTGCTGACATGAAGTGATGATCATCTTTTCCCAAAGTGCAAGGAAATAAGTTAATAAATAGAATGTTTTCAACAATGTAAGGGTTATCTCCTTGTGTCATTCAGGATTCAGTCAGAAATAAAAGAACATTTTAGGTCTTTTGAAAGAGGGAATTCAGGCCAGGAGCCGTGGCTCACGCCTGTAATCCCAGCACTTTAGGAAGCCAAGGCGGGCGGATGGTCTGAGCTCAAGAGTTCAAGACCACCGTGGGCAACATGGTGAAACCCCGCCTCTACTCAAATACAAAAAATTAGCCAGGCTTGGTGGCGTGCACCTGTAGGCCCAGTTACTCAGGAGGCTGAAGCACAAGAATCGCTTGAGCCCCTGAGGCGGAGGTTGCAGTGAGCCGAGAGATCGCACCACTGTACTTCAGCTTGGGCTACAGAGTGAGACTGTGTCTCAAAAAAAAAAAAAAAGAAAAAAAAAAAGAAAAGAAAAAGAAAGAGAATTCAGTACAGGGTTTGGATTTCAGGGATGATGGAGCTGCTCAGAGGTCAACAACAGGTGGGGGCAGTGAGCATGGGAGCAGTGGGTGGGGGGCAGGACAGTGAGGCGCTATAGAGATTAGCAACAGCTGGGAGCCACCGCCACCCACCCATCCCCATCCAAGGCTGGAAGGACACAGGAGGAGATGGCATGACCAGTGACTAAGATCCTAATGTGTCTAGCAGGAGCTGGAACCCTGGCAGCTGGAATCACAGAGGAGATTCACTGACAGGGTGAAACCACTTGGAGACGAAAAAATAGAAGAGATACCTGGCTTCTCCCCTCTTCCGGCCCTCCAGTCTCTCTCTCCAGTGCCTCCATTGGCCAACTCCAACTGGCAGCCTGAGGGCTCAGAAACCTGGGAACAGACAAGGGAGCCTGGGAAATGTAGTTCCCCACAGGCAGAGGCAAGCAGGTGAAATGTGGAGAACAGATTCGAGAGCCCACAGTAGAATAACAGTATGTGCCTGTGATTTCATAGACCTCTAGTATCAGCCGTAGATTTGTGTGCTAGTGTTAAGCTGAATGAACAATGCCAAAATAATATTAACAGAAAAGGAAAGAAAAAGAAAAACAATCCAGAGGCAGCCACTTAGGCTTGTTTTGTGTTTCTTTGGTAAGTGCTTGGGGTTGCAGTTTCAAATTGTCTTTTAGAGTGTGTGAGCTTAATTAAATTTAACGCACTGGAGCAGTTTAACTTAAAATAGCAATTCATGTTTTCTGCTAACAGAGATGTTGGTAGTTTACATGATGGAAAGAAATCTCTCAGGATTTCAGGGACGTGTTTTTCATGGAGGTGCCCATGACTGACCTGATGGTTGAGCCATTTATTATCTATTGTCCCTCGGGATCCACTCTCCCCTCCTCCGCCTTGCCCTGCACTCTGGAAGCCTGACCTGCATGTGCCTGTGAACTCTGGCTTTCGGTTTGGTTCAGCCATGCAGAGCAGCAGCAGAAGGTCGGCGGCAGAGAAGAGTGAGGTCCGGCTACTTCTTTGTCCGGTGCCCACCCTGTAAGGTTGCCCCTGGCAGCTTCTGTTTCTCAACCAAATTCTCTAAACCAATGTGCCTCAATGGAGGGTGACTTTGCCCCCAGAGGACATTGGGCAATGCTTGGAGACATTTTAGCTTGTCACACTGTGGGTGTGTTCTGGCATCTGGTGGGTGGAGCCCAGGGGTGTCCTGGGATTGTCCTCCTACGATGCAGAGGTCAGCCCCACACAGCCAAGACATAGTCAGCCAAAGTGTCAACAGTGGTGAGGCTGAGAAAGCCTGCACTAGCCCAGGGCTCCTCAAGCTATTCATTGTGAAGGAGCAGCTTCGATTTTCCCCACTCTGTTGCAGGCCAGTGTTTTTGTAAGACTAGAACTAAGTTACCAGAAATAATCATCATGCACTTCAATGTGACAACCAATGCCAAATTGCTATAAAGCCTTAATTCCTACTCTTGACTTCTGTAGTGTCTGATCATGGAACAGGAACAAACAGTCCATGGGCCGGCATCCATCTGTGAGCCACACTACAAGCAGCACTGGCCTACATGCTTCTCTCTCCTGGGGATGAGGCAGACGTAACACCTCGGCTCTTGGCTGCTATTAGCTCTGGGTTCTTGCACATTCCCTTGTGATACCCTCTTGCCTCTTTACAACTAGCCCCTTGATAAATAAGATCTTTAATTATCCTTCTAGGAAGTGCCATCTGCCCATTCAGGGCCCGGCTGATTCTGCAGTGTTTTCCTACCTGGGCAAGTTTTTGAGAATGTGGGCAGCGTCAGAGGCTGTGTGGGTAGAAGGACAACAATGTGACAGCAGCCTGGTTTGGGAGCCCAGCTAAGGAGTTTGCACTGTCTCTTGTAGACCATAGTTAGTACTTGAAGCATCTCAGTGGGCAGGCGACACAGCCAGAGTTGTGTTTTAGGTGGAGCACTAGAGATGGTGTGGTGCTGAGAATGCACTTTCAGGGAGCAAAATTTGTGGCAGAGAGCCTGACTGGAGGCTGCTGAGTCCATCCTGACCAGAAATGGAGAGGCCTAAGCTAACACTGTATGTGGAGTTGGAAGGCAGAGGGTGTTCAGAAGGTAGAATCTACCAGCCAGAGTGATGGGTTGTGAGCAGGAGTGAAGGGGGAAATCCAGGCTCCCCAGCTATAGCTTGGAGGATCAGTGGATGGTTTTGTAGGGTTGGATGATGAGGTGGACAGGGGGACACAGGTCAGAGATGAATTCTATATCTTTCACTAGAGTGCCCATTTCACGTGGCTTTCTCATGCAATTTGTCTGTTGGTTGCCTGGAGGCAGAAGTGTCTTGCTTTTAAGAAGTGTGGGCTGTGGGATGCAATGGACCTGTTCTGGTCTCAGCCCCATCATTCCCCCAAGGGAAAGTTCAAACTGTTCAGCTTCCTCCTTCTCTAAACCGGAATAACTTCCTCAGAGGGTTGTAGGAGATTAAATGAGATAATGCGTGTAAACTTGCCAGGACAAGTAAGTGCTAGGCAAATACTGGTTATTATTGTTATTAGAAAAGGCAAACTTGACCTTGCCAGCCAGGGCTGTTTTGAGTTAGCTGGCTCTGGCTCTCCTTAAGTCACCCCAACTCCTCCTACCGCCAACACACACACACAGACGTACACACGCACACATACACACACACACACACACACACACACACACACACACACACACACAGAGCAGAGGAATCAGGAGCCGCCTTCCGCCTTTCTGCTCTTCATCCTAGCAGGCTTTTCCTGCTGGCCTTGTTTCTGATGGGCCAATTACAGTGCAAAACTGTTCCAGACCTGACCTTTCATCCCGGTTCCAGTGGCCCGCCAAGAATCAGCCTTGCCTTGTTACACCTCCATCAGCAGCACAGCCCAACCGCAGCTTCATCACATTAGGATGTGGCTTCATCACATTATGATTTTCTCTGAGTTGGGGAGCAAAGGTGAGTTGGGGAGACCAGGCAGGGTTCCTCACAAAGTTGCCCAGGAAGGGCAGGAAGACGGGGCAGTGTCCGAGAGGCAGCATGACCCAGGGGTCAGGTGCGGAGGCCCTGGAGCCAAACTGCCTGATTTAAATCCCAGCTCTGCCAACTTACTAGCTGGGCCTCCTTGGGCAGGTAGCTTAACCTTTCTGTGCCTCAGTTTCTTATCTGTTAAGTGGAAATGAGAATAACAATAATGGCCTCCCAACAATGTTAGGGAGTATTAAAAGAGTCTTAATCCCCTTAAATATCTCACAATAGTGCCTGGCACAGAGTAAGCCCTCATGTTAGCTGTTCTTCTTATTTTGTTGCTATTAGTAGTAGTACTAATAGTAGTACTAGTGTGATCTGCTTCCCAGGAGAAGGTGGCTAAATATTGAGAAGATTTCTGGGCTCGTGGTACATCTTTGGTGACCTGGGGTGGCTGTGTTCAATGCAATCATGAATGTGGAAACCTATGTTACACAACAGGTATTCAGTAAACAAGGATGTCCATCCACCTCTCAAGTGGACATGCTCTTATATCACTGTGGCCCAACAAAATGGTGGAATGCCGTGATTCAGAGCAGACTGACGGTGGCCTCCCTGGGATTTAATCCCAGCTCTGCCATGTTATCTTTGCATAACACTTCTGCACCTCTGTTTCCCCATCTGAAAAATCTGGATTATGATGGCAGCTGTGTCGGGGAGTTGCGGTAGGCCTAAGTGAGTTGGCATAGGGCACTTAGAGCATGGCGCACAGTTACCAGCTGGTGTTTGCTCTTGCTGTTGTCACTGTTCTGGGTGTGCTTAGCTCCTGCCATCTCAACTTACATCATTAGCCCTGAGGGGAAAGGAACGAGGCCCTGGAGGACTCAAGTGTCCCCTGCAGCATTGGCCACACAGGGCTCCTCAGGCCCTGCCCAGCAGATGGCCTAGCAGGCTGGCATCCTGTCAGTAGAGGAGCGTGAGTCACAGCAGGCTCTAAGCTGCTCCAGGGATGAAGGTGGTTGACCAGCCACAGGCCAGGGCGAACTTTTCACTGAAATGAGGAAAAATGCTTCCATGTCTGTCACACAGTGAGGAACAAGCCCAGACCGTGGACCCAGAAGCTAGTGTTAAAGGTCTCAACTGCTGCATACTAGCAGTCCCAGCTGTGTGACCTCAGGCAGATCACTTACCCTCTCTGAGTCTCAGCCATTTCTTCTCTGTGAAATGGGAGTACTGATCACTGCCTTTACAGGACTGTCATGATGCCCAGGTGAAACTGGCTCTGAAGTCTTCAGATAGACCTGTGGGGCTGGCTGCAGGGTCCTTGCTGGATCCACCTCTCCTAACCCCTCTGGCCTCTTCTGCCCCAAACACTGTGCTAAGGGTGGGGCTGTGTATTAGTCCATTTTCACGCTGCTGATAAAGACATACACGAGACTGGATAATTTACAAAAAAAAAAAAAAAAAGGAAAAGAAAAAGTTTAAATGGACTCACAGTTCCACATGGCTGGGGAGGCCTCACAATCATGGCAAAAGGTGAAAGGCACATCTCACCTGGTGGCAGACAAGAGAAGAGAGCTTGTGCAGGGAAACTCCCCTTTATAAAACCATCAGATCTCATGAGATTTGTTCACTGTCATGAGAATAGCTTGGGAAAGACCCACCCTCATGATTTAATTACCTCCCACCAGGTCCCTCCCACAACACCTGTGAATTGTAGGAGCTACAATTCAAGATGAGATTTGGGTGGGGACACAGCCAAACCATATCAGGTGGGCCTTGGGGGCTCAATTTCCTCCAGTGTGGCTTCCCCAGCAAAAGAGCAGGTGGGCAGGTGAGGAGGGAGGCAGCAGCCACTGGGGTTGCCCACTGACGGGATGTCAATATCTGTCTGTCAGTTCCAGTCCTCTGTGCATGGATCCCAGGTGGAAGTTTTCAGGCTTCAGTATTTCATATTTGAGATCTTAATTAAGTTGCCTAGCTCCAGGTTTGAGGGGTTGATGGGAACTGATAGAGCCCTTTCATTCTCAAGTAGTAGGGAATAGGAGAATGGGAGTGGAGGAACTACCAAGAAAGCTACACAGTGGTACCTTCAGGCCTGGGTATTTCTTTGGGAGTGTTTATGGAAGTGACACAGGCATCATCTCTGGAATCAGCAGAAGGCATGATACCTCAACAAGGGTCTTGGAGTTCAGGGTGTGCATCCAGGCTTAACAAGGTCACAAGGGTCCAGAGTTCAGGGTGAGGAGTTCCAGGCAGGAGAGGACCAGCCACAATGTGGGGAGAGTGCTTCCCCATCAGACCCTCCCCAAAGGTGGAAGGAGCAGTTAAAGTCTTCTACTAAAGAAACTCTTCCCCCAGGTTTCTTGGCTGAGCCTGGCCTACTACAACTAGGACCAAGGAATCGTCCCTTTCCTCTGGGATGCAGAAGTGCCCCCCAGTCCTTAACACTGCACTGTCCCTCCACCCCTAAGCAGCAGGCCCCCTTCTCCTGCATCCAGTCCTCTTCTGCTTAGACTCCCTCTCCCTCAGTCTGCAGCAGCAAACGCTCTCCCTCCTGAGTCATGAGAAAGCCCTTTGGAGGTGTGGGTGGTGCTGGCCTCTCCAGGCAGGACCTTGTCTCTGACACAGCACAGCACCTGGTCCAGAAAGAAGGCTCAGAAAGTGTTGATGGGGATCGCCATGAATCTCAGAGGTCACAGGAGGGCTGGAGCAAGCCTCGGGGTGGGCTGGCACAGGGTCAGGGCTGACCTGACTCTCACCCTGCCCATCCCAGAGACGGAGGGAATACTTGTAGCAGGCATGAAGGAGGGAAGTAGCGGGTGTCCCTTTGTATAATTTCTGCTTCTTCACACTTTAACCTCTCTGCCTCTCTGTCTCTCCCTCTGCCTGTCCCTGTGTGTCCTCTCAACTCTGCTTGAGTCTCCCCCACTCCTCTTTCCCTCCACCTCTAAATGCCTCCCCTTTTCTCTTCTTTCAACTACCTCCTTTCTCATTCCCTTCATCTTCATACTCATTGTGTTTTTGTGTTTTTGTTTCCATATATCTGGATTTTCTCTCACCCGGTCTCTGACACATCCTCGGTCTCTGACACATCCTTGGTCTCTGACACATCCTCGGTCTATACCTCTCCCTGATGCTCCATCTCTGAATCTCCCTCTCTCACCTTCCTTTCCACCCTAACCTGTCCCTTGGTTCCCTTGTCTGGGTCTCCCTCCTCACATCTCTTTCTTCTCTATTCCCTATGCCCTATTCCTGTTGCCTGCCTGCCCCTGCCCCTCCCTCCTCCCCTCTCCTCTGTCTCTCCTTCTCTCTCCTTCCATGTCTCTTCACTCCTCTGTCCCTTTCTTTCCCTCTGCCCCATTCTCTCTGTGTCCCCGTGTCTGTCTTGGCCTCCCTCCCCTCCCCCTCCCCATCTCTGTCACTCTGTTTCTACCTCTGTCCACTCCCCATCACCCTGTCCTTCCACCCCACCACCCCTCACTATTTCTGTCCACCTCCCTCCCCAGGATGATCCCAGCCTCCAACAAGGCCTTCGTGGTCAACAACCTGGTGTCAGGGACTGGCTACGACTTGTGTGTGCTGGCCATGTGGGATGACACAGCCACGACACTCACGGCCACCAACATCGTGGGCTGCGCCCAGTTCTTCACCAAGGCTGACTACCCGCAGTGCCAGTCCATGCACAGCCAGATTCTGGGCGGCACCATGATCCTGGTCATCGGGGGCATCATCGTGGCCACGCTGCTGGTCTTCATCGTCATCCTCATGGTGCGCTACAAGGTCTGCAACCACGAGGCCCCCAGCAAGATGGCAGCGGCCGTGAGCAATGTGTACTCGCAGACCAACGGCGCCCAGCCACCGCCTCCAAGCAGCGCACCAGCCGGGGCCCCGCCGCAGGGCCCGCCGAAGGTGGTGGTGCGCAACGAGCTCCTGGACTTCACCGCCAGCCTGGCCCGCGCCAGTGACTCCTCTTCCTCCAGCTCCCTGGGCAGTGGGGAGGCTGCGGGGCTGGGACGGGCCCCCTGGAGGATCCCACCCTCCGCCCCGCGCCCCAAGCCCAGCCTTGACCGCCTGATGGGGGCCTTCGCCTCCCTGGACCTCAAGAGTCAGAGAAAGGAGGAGCTGCTGGACTCCAGGACTCCAGCCGGGAGAGGGGCTGGGACGTCGGCCCGGGGCCACCACTCGGACCGAGAGCCACTGCTGGGGCCCCCTGCGGCCCGGGCCAGGAGCCTGCTCCCCTTGCCGTTGGAGGGCAAGGCCAAACGCAGCCACTCCTTCGACATGGGGGACTTTGCTGCTGCGGCGGCGGGAGGGGTCGTGCCGGGCGGCTACAGTCCTCCTCGGAAGGTCTCGAACATCTGGACGAAGCGCAGCCTCTCTGTCAACGGCATGCTCTTGCCCTTTGAGGAGAGTGACCTGGTGGGGGCCCGGGGGACTTTTGGCAGCTCCGAATGGGTGATGGAGAGCACGGTCTAGGTGGGGGTGGGCATGCTCCCTTTCCTGTGCGCAGGGTGGGAGAAGGGGAAAGAATCTCACTGGCAAGTGTTTGTGGAGTTTCCATGGTGATGTTTACATCCAGGGACAGTTTCGTCTCCCTGTCAATGGCCTCGTGTCCCCCCCTACCCCGCAACACCCACATCACCTCCCCACCACCCGGCCGGGGTGTGCTCAGGGAATGTGGACTCGCTCAAATGCCGGACTGAGCCCTGAGTGTTTGGAAAGGCGAGACTCCGCCTTTCTAATCACAAATGTAGCCTACAAGCAAGCGGCTTTGGATTGCTTATGGGTCTAGTGTTGTTTTTATTTCTTAATTTATTTTTTTTCCATTTCCCAGACTCCTCCTCTTCATTCACACGAATAATCGAGAGTTAATCGTACATATGAATGTGTGTTCCCAGCAGCCCTGGTAGTGGGTAATTGTTGCCAATTGACAAGAGGAGGGAATTATTCTGTTTCCACACTTGTTTGGGGGAAGACTGTGGGGTTCCCTGCTCAGAGCTCTCATTACTCCCAACCACCCCACACCCGACACTGGAAGGGGTGAGTGACTGACCCCCGATACCTGACCTAGTTTCCTTTGCTTCTCAAACATGACATGCCACACCCATCACAGAAGCTTAAACCAGAAGGGTAATTTCCTGGGTTCTTACGTGTGGGGAGGGAGGAGGGCTTCATGCTATAGGGCACAAGGGATCTTAACTTCTGGAGTTGCTTTGGGCTTGTTGCCACTCTTTCTGGGAAGCTGGCATGGAAAGTCCCCCTTGAGCATGTGGCAGGCCAGGAGGGCTTCTCTTAAGGAAAGCAGCAGGGGTGGCAGAAACAGCAGTGGACTTGGAGTCCGAAGTTCTGTGTCTGGGCTCCACAGTCACATGAATAGCCAGCTGAATAACTGGGGCAAGACCCTTTTATCTGTTGGGACCTGAATTTCTCAATTTGCAAAAATACTGGGATTGTACTAGGTCTCCAGTCCCTTTCCAGTTCTATAGGCCTATTAATTATTCATGACTCTAGATGTTAGGCTTTTTTGCTTAGTGACACCAGAAGCACAAGCTGGTTACAGCAGTGCCCCTCCTTTTTACTGGACACAGAGAATTCTAGAAGCCTTGGAGGGGGAAAGCTGAATCTTTTTAGAATCATAGGCTTTTGAAGCTTGGGGAGGTGTTTGCAATCATCCCATCTTTAACCCTCCCTCTCCCTTCCAGAGAGCATAAAGGAATTGCCGAGGGTCACACAGTGAGTTCATGACCAGGTCAGGGTAGAAGCCAAGGCCACCTGCCTCCTGGCAGTGGTATTTGGGATCCATGACCCTGTCTTCACTCTGCCTAGGGCTTTTCTGTGTCCAAAGGCTGTCCCATGTTTGTTCCTTAAGAAAGTGGCTCAGGGTGGGATGGGGGGATGCCTGCTCTTGGTTTCTTGAGGAGGGTCCATCCTTGGAAATTACAGGGTGGAATGGGAGGGGTGCATAGACTCCTTTCCATCTAGGGATAACCCCTCCCTGCCAGACAGTGGCAAGAGAAGGGGAAGAGGAGATGTGCCCACGGAGAACCTGCTGTAGACAGATTGGAATGACTTTCCCCGGCATCCCTGTCCCATGTCTACTCATCAGCAATTCACTACCTCTCCCTCAGTCTCTCCAACTCATTCTTTCCTCTCCCAACTCCTTCCATAGACCTCTATTTTCTCTCTTTTGTTCTTCCTTCTTCCACTTGCCAACCACGCAGCCTACAAAGCATACAGGCAAGACCATTCTGGACCAAAAAGTTCCAATGGCCTCAGACCTGGACCCGAGCTGCTGGCCCCCAACCCCACTCTGGAACACACAAGGAGGGATTTGCAACTGTCTATGAAGAATTACCTTCGGCTCTAGTCCCAGAGCCTCCAAATCCCAGGCCTTCCTCCTTCCTCACTCTCCTCCCTCCCCTCTCTTCTCTTCATCCTTCTTTTTTTTTCTCCTTTTACTCTCTGCCTTTCCCAGTCCCTTTCTGGTCCTGACAAGGTCATTAACAGATCAGGCCAGTCCCTCCTGAGACCTCAAGTTATAATAATTTTCGAGGCCAGTCCCAGGGCTGAAGCACATCCTTTCTATGGTCACAGAAGCACCCACAGAATTGGGCAACTTGAAAGGAAATCTCTTCCACCCTTTCTCTTTTCCCTTCCTGTTTTTTCCTCTTCTCTTTTCTCCCTCCTCATCTTTCTCATTCATCCTTTCAAACTATAGCCATTGTGGAAGTGGTCTCAAACACCAGCTTTCTTTTTGGCCTTTGGATTCAGACACACAGAGGGAAGGTGGTGAACAGTGGAAGGAACCAACTGACTGTCTATTCTCATCAGCGGTTCCGAGTTCTATCGTGACATGATATGTACTTGCTCTTGTGTTTGTCATGTTTCTGACTTGGAGTTTTGGAAAGCAGCATCCCTGTGGTCAGAATATAAATGCCAATCTTCTCCTTTGCTAGAAAAAAAATGTACAGTAAAATGTACAGTTTTAAAAACAACCACTAACCACACTCCTTGGGCGGGGGAAAAAAAAAACATTCTTATGTCTGTGAATGTCTGCTGTTCATTTCTCTGGAAACTCTGGGGTTTTCTAAAGATGGCTTTGAAGTGGCATTTTCTCTTGCACCTGTGTTTGTTACTGCCTGGTGGGAGCCTGCTTCTTGCCAAGTTCATGTATAAGGTGGGGGAATCTTCTGAAATAATAGAAAATGGGATCATCTTCCCAGAGTAAAGAAAGGTAGAGAAATCTGAAGAGAAGCTTCAGGCTAAGAAAAGAACAGTCCATCCCCAGCTGTCCTGACTGTCCTACCTGACATCTCCATTCTCTGATATACCAGCCCTACCTACTTTTTCCTGGACTGTGGTCACCACAACACCTGACTACTAGGGGCATGTAGGTATCTTCTACCCGTTTTGGTTGAGCCCTGGATGGTATTTTTTTCAAAAGGGTCTTTTACTGGGAAACCATGGGAGAACAAACCAAAACCCAAACTCAAGGTATAGAAACAAACATGCTTCTGGAACACAGCTTCCCAACCTTGTCTTTTCTAGTATCTAGATCAGCACTGTCCAATAGAATAAAATGTAAGCCGCATTGTAATTTTAAATTTTCCAGTAGCCATGTTGAATCAAATATAAAGAAACAGGTGGAATTAATTTTAATCTTATATTTTAACTCAATATATCCAAAATATTATTGTAACATGTAATCACTCAAATTATTAGTAAGTTATTTTATGGTATTTTTTGGTACAAAGTTTTAGAAATCTGATTTGTATTTTACATGTATGGCATATATCAATTCAGATGAGCCCTCTTTAAAGTATTTTACATGTATGACACATATCAATTCAGACTAGCCCTCTTTAAAGTACTTGAGAGCCATATGTGGCTAGTACTGGCCACTGTACCAGACAGTGCGACTCTAGACATACAATTGACTTGAAAGCACAGCTTTTAGAAGAGGAAGGAAACTGACAATTATTGAGTACCTACAGCTTCCAGTTACTGTGCTTGTTGCTTCAAATATGTTTCTCACTGAATCATCACTAAAACCTTTTTAGGTAGATAGTATTATGCCCATATTATAAATGAAGGGACTGAAGCTCAGAGGGGTTAAGTAACTTGCCCAAGGTCACACAGTTAAGTCTGGCTGCAAAGCCTTAGTTCTTCCCATGACATCACACTGCCTTCCCATCCTTTCTTCTTCCCGTCAACCTGTTATAGATTGTATTTTATACTGACTGAATGATTCACATTTGTAGCCTAATCAGGAAACCCTTGACTAGCCTAAGATCTGCGAGAAACCTCAGAGTGTTAATTCCAGGCAAGAGCACCTTGGTGAAGCAGTTCCTTCTGACCGTACACCGGCCTTTCTGGCCCTCCTTGCCTTGAAACACGTTCCCTCCCCTGGCCAGGAAAATTCCTCAGGATTCAGACTGCACTGCCCAGCCCACCCTGTGGTCACCCCTTCTTCCCTCTTGGTGACCTCTAGGAGGTTGCTTGTTGAATGAGCCTTCCATCTCCAGTCTTGTCTGGGCTGCTCTGCCCCAGGAGCCTATAACTTCTTCCCCCTAAGATAAAAAGCCTGACAACAGCTTGCTTCAGAGACAAAACCCATCTTCTCGCCTCTTTCTATTTTAATACCCCTGTCCCTATCAGGTAAGATACCTACCCAGATCCTCTTTCCTGATATACAGAAGCCTCCAGCTCTTCAATCTTTTGCAGAGGTGAGATAGCTGATACAATATTTGCCTAGTTGATTATTAAGCTTTCTGGAAAAACAGTTTGACCCCTTTCCCCACATTCTCGATAATGACATATCCCTCAGGTTTCCCTCAAGAGAATTTTCTATTTTTTCACCATTACAGTGTTGAAATTCGAAAAGACCTCAGGAACACTTTTTTGTTAAGGGATATAATTGTCAGCCAGGCTAGGCAACAGTCACTGTCTCAGGATTCCCCCTTCCCAAATGCAAAGTAACTTTTCTTTAAAAGTCTGTGAGTATTGATTTTTCATAAGTACAGCCTGAGTACTTCTGTATCTTCTGTTCTCAGTGTGCCTGCAGTGAAGGTCTCAGGGCTTCAGCAAGCTGGGTGGGGCTTTCTCTGTTCTTACAACCAGTGGGATTTCTGCAAACTGCTGCCAGAAAAATAGACACACTTATTCAAAAGAAGAGACTATTGGCAGGCAGCACTCAAAACCTGCATACACCGTTTTAAAGATCCCACCTAGATTATCAAACCTAGCCTTTCCATGTGATGCAGTTGGCAGCAAGAAGAATTTGTTGTGACAAGGAGGCTTCTCACAGGTAAATACCTGAGGTTTCTACCTTTGCATAATAGAATCAGGCCCATCCAGGTTACTGCCCCAATATCTAAAAGGAACCCTGTCACTTTCACAGTTTAAAAATATCTATTTGTGCTTTCAGCCCTTAAACCAAAGGTTGTAGCTTCCATCATCTCAATTAAGGTTCTGTACCTCACAGTCAGTCAATGTTTACAAGGCTCGTGGTTTCCCTTCCCTGAAGCTTCTATCAGAGAGAAATTGGCATGTTTTCCCCAGACCAAAGAGAGAAGCTAGCTTTTACCTCTAAGGCTATCCTGTGACCCCTATCATAGCTATTTAGGAACTTCTGACAGGTTCAGTGATCTTTCTCCATGTTCTCATTTTGTATAATGTGTGACATCTTTCTTTTGCTCACCTATTCTGAGGAAGTAGGCCCAGATTACAGGCTCTTCCCTGGTTATTTTCCTATTATTGTTGGGATAATTGATCTTCTGGTCCCTTTAGCCATCAGCTGAATATGCTCCTGGAGCCAGAATTCTCCTCCACTATCTCATGCCGGAGTCTGTCTGGGATTGGAGCAAGGAAGATCTCATGGTCTAGTCCTTTCCAAGATGTCAACAGTCACATGCTCGGTTTCCTACTGATGAGAGAATGGAGCTGGAATTTCACCCATCTCCATGGGATCCCCAAACCCATCTGGTCCACAGCCAGTCAGCCCACTGACCAACCTCCCACAGCCCCAGCCCATCCGTCCAGGCTGTCCATCTGGTTAGTTGGTGATGAGCACACCCCCTCTTCTCCTGCACCTCCTCTGTAACATGTGTTCAGTGGTGCTCCCTGGCATACCCCACAGCAGCACTAACATTTATATACTTTGCAAGGATGAGTTTTCTTTCCCTTGAATCTCCTAGGCTACATCCAAGATATCCCATTTTCCAAACCATGGAGACCTGTGTTAGCTGACCTATCTGACATTGTTTCCACTTTGTTGTGAAGTAAAAACCTCAGTGCACTACACCTGTCCCCTCTGTCATGGACTTGGCATGTCCTGGCAACTAGCAGGTAACTTGCTCACCATTTGAGGAGTACTGCTGCCAAGAAGAAGGGATTTAAGCCCTCAGTTGCAGCTATTAATCCTGAAGGCTTTCATCTTGGGTTTCCTGTTATGCTCTTCCCACCCATTCCTGTGGGGATCTCTTGGAAGACATGGTCCTTCCTGTCTACCAAAGATGGGGTGATTGCCTTACCTACCCAGACTAATTATGGAAAAGTTCTTATACTTTCATTAGGAGAACATTAGGTTGGCATTTTTCAGGTGAATATTGAACTGCAAAAGT
Source organism: Homo sapiens (assembly GCF_000001405.40). Classification (NCBI taxonomy): domain Eukaryota; kingdom Metazoa; phylum Chordata; class Mammalia; order Primates; family Hominidae; genus Homo; species Homo sapiens. The sequence goes on along the minus strand of NC_000006.12, from coordinate 40,385,796 downwards.
AAGTTGATAATCATACCTGACATTTATTGAGAGTTTCCTATGTGCCGTGTACTGGTCTAAGAGCTATATATAGATTATCTCAATTTATCATCAAAACAACACAATGAAATAAGTATTATTATTAATATCTCTATTGGGGAAGCTCAGGTAGAGAAGAGTTAAATAACTTGCCCAAGGTCACACAGCTATTGAGGCACAAAGTTGGGTAAACACTCAAGAGATGGATTTGCTCTGAAGTTTCTTACAGAGCTGCAGAGGATGTAAAAATGCAGAGCTGTCTGGGTTTCATGTCGAAGGCCTGAATCCTGGCATATGTGCCTTGACTTTCAGAAGACTGAGTCCAGCAGAAAAAGTGGGAGAGATGGTGAAATCTGTTTGTGCTCATTCAGCATGCTCTTGCTGACCTGCTGTGTGCCTAGCACTGTGCATGGTATTGAGAGAGATAAAAGTCAAAGTGAAAGACACTGTGCATGGCTTTGAGGGCCTTACACATTACCCTGAAGGACAGGGCCATAAGCTGATGCTTTAGATCTCTGGTTATCAAAGATTGGTCTGTTTTCACTAATTTCAAGATAACTTATAGATCTGGCAAAACTACTATCCAAGAAAAGATGGACAGATGGATTGGCCAAAGGCCATACAACATAAGATGGCACCTGTGCTTGGAAGAATTCACCAGATTTTAAGTTTCAAAATCTTGAGTCACTTTACAGAAGAGGAAATTAAGACCTGGTATGGAAAAGTGACTGGCTTTGGGTCTAACAGGGGCACATTAAGGACTGGGATCCTGTGCCTGGACAAGCAGGGGTTGAGGGAGGCATCTCTAGCTGTCCCAGGAGCTTGAGAGGAGGTGTGGTGGAGGGAACAAAGCAGGTCTGGAAGAAGGGTAGTTGCAGAGAACTGAGTAAACCAAGGCAGGTTCAGTTCCTCCTGAGAGAAAGAGGCTGTTTAGTTTGGGGGTTCTGGGTTGAGAGGCTGTTTCTTGGCCACAGTTTCTTTTTTGGTAAGATATCAATGGTAAGTATCGACTTCAGTAAGTATGCTTCTGTAGTACTATGTAGTTACACAGATCACATATTGGATCGGAAAAGGCAGCGTAATAACAGTCATTATTATTAATGATATGCATCATTTAAAGTAACATAAATTATAGCATATTAATGATAATATTACATATGTTAAGTTCATAGACTCTCAAAGCTGGCAAAAGCTATCAGAGGTCATCTACTCCAGCCTCCCTCAATGGCTATCAGGATCCCCTGTTCAATATCTATACAAGCTCTCCTTAATCTTATTAAAAGGAAAATCATGCATGATGAATTTCAGGATTTACCCAAGGCAGGAAGTAGCTCTCTGTGCTCTAATCAGACCATGGCTCCATATTCCCGGTGGGCCCTTGTGAATCCATCATTCTTGACTTCATGGGAAATCCAGAGCCCAGACATCAAGCAGCTCCCAAAGACTGCTATGGTCAAAATAGTGTTAAAAAACTAGGTACAGAGCCAGGGTTCCAGCTGGAAAAATCTCAAGAGGTTCGATATTCCCTGCCAAATCAGCACTGGTCTCTATGATTTTGAGAGAAGAAAGGAGGCAGGGAAGTGGCAGAGAGCACATGGTAACCTCTGTACTCCCTGATGCCCTGAATGTTCTGACATACACAACAGCCCCAATAGTAGATGGAAGCACCTGGAAAACTGTAGACTTCACTGCTGGGCTGAGGATGGCCATCCTGCCCCTCACTCATTGGTTCCCTAATCCTTCTCACCTTTCATCTTTGTTCCAGGATTTTCCCAACAGCCAAAATCTAACATCCAGTATTCTGGAATGACACAAATGCTGCCACCAAAAACCTCCCACTGTTCCCCTTCTAGGATGGGAAGACTGCCAGGTGCCAGAAAAATCACTCAGTGAGAGCCTGGCTCTGATCAGAGGGCTGAGAGTGGGCCAGAGGCTCTCCACTTGAGAAGGGAGGTGAGCTCTTCCCAAGGGGTGGTGGGATGGTAGCCCATTGACCAGCCCTCTCTGACACCCTTTAATACCTGGGCCCCCTCTAGTCCGAAGACCATCCATTTGCTTGAGGTAGGGAGATTAAAATTAGTTCCCAATTTGGTCTTCTGAATCAACACACTGGTCCCAATGTGAGTGAAAAAAAATGTTAGAGAAACGGTTTCATCCTAAGGTCAGAGAGGGTTGGTTGAAGTGTGCATGGCTGGACAGGTTCCTTGGGTAGGGCTGATGCTTCACAGTTTGTTTGGGGAGAGCTGGGGTGCGCCAGGACATATAACTGCAGATGGGGTGACTCACCTACATGAAGAGGTTGGATTCTGTTTTTAAGGTAAATAGAGAAGACTGTGGGTCACTCCAGAGGTCTGGGAGCAGGCAGGGAGGACCTCAACAGTGATTAAGTGCAGAAGCCCAATTCTTCCTTGGTCTCCCTGCTTTTAAGAGTCCTGGTGAGGTTCCTTCTTCTAAGGAATCATGCAAACTGCTCTGGATTAGCTCAGCTTTGATTTGTGAGGGAAGCAGAGGCATGGAATTTTCTTGGGGCTTTTTTCTTGAGGCTCAAGGTCTTCCATCCTTTCTTAGGTTACAGTAAATGAAAGTTTGTGCCAGAAGTGAGAAAACTAGAGAAAGGGTGCCACCTGTGCTTTCTACCCCAAACCAAAGATGAAGGGGCTCAGACAAGAGTGCCTGATTCCAGGGCTCAACAGTGAGGGTTCCTTCCCTGCCTGCATTCAGCTTTGTCTGCAGAATGGTGGAAAAGAAACAAAACTGGAGACATTTATATGTAGAGGTATACAAAGTCAGCAGCACTGTCAGAAAGATTCTATAGCATCTCAACATTCCAAACATTTCTTTAGCATGGATGACCATTTCTTCCATTCTTTATCAAAAGTCTAATTTCTTCACATTACAAAAGTTTCCAAACTGAGGATCAAAGTTGTTTATTTGGCTTAGTTTTTATAGTGCTTATGGGACAGAAGTAGGTCTCAAACTTTAAATCTTCTGACCCCAGAACTGGAGTTCCCTTCACACCACATCCCCGCACTCATGCATTACAGTGATGGCTGGCTCCCACAGCAGGAAAAAGGGCAAAACATGAGGCTGAGAAGGCAGCCCAGAGCTAGGAAAGACAATGTCCATGCAAGTGGGAGGAGAGTCAGGCCTGGGAGAGGTAGACAAAGGGCACAGGACCCTGGAGAGTTGAGACGGGGCTGAAGATAGCAGCTCTGCCAGAATTCTCCATGGACAGGAGGCTCTCTCAGCTCTCCAGTGCCAGTCTAGCTGGGGCAGGGGTCAGAGATTATTGTCCATTGTGACCTGAGCAGGAAAGATGGAGTAAGAGGGATCTAGGCAAGGATAAGTAGGAAAGAGTGAGGCGCAGCAGAATCAGAAGAGTCTGGTTGGGAGGACACAGCTGTCCAGGTCCAGGCTATGGGCCCAGTCCACCCACTGTCCACATCTAAAGGTGGGGGAAGGAGCAGTGTGCTGGATAGGGCTCTACCTGGAGTGACCCTCTACTTAGTGAAACCAGGAGGCAAGTAGGGACCAACTAGGAGTCATGGTCATTTTCAAGATTTGTATTTGTCCTGTCTGCCTTGAGGTTCCAGTTCCTTCCTGTATGAAGGCAAAGAATCCCATCCGCCATGTAAGAATAGAGGCACATTGGGAAATCTTGAGGCCTGGCGAAGGAAGAAAGGACTGGCTTCTCCATAAATACTGGAGGTCTCATGGCACAGCCCCACTCATCAGATCCACTTGTCTCTTCCAGGGAATGGCTTGGAGACTAAATGGGTGGAAAATTGCTGAGGGTAATGAGCCACAGCCCTTCTAGATTGTTCCAGAGTGTTAATTGGATTGTTAATCAGTCATATCAAGTCTCCCTGGGAGGAAGGCTTTTGCACAGAAGGGTGGGACTCTTTCAGAAAATACCATGGTATCTGGATTGGCCTTGAACCAGCTAGCAAAGGGAGAAATCATGAGCACAGGACTCAGGATTCTTTCCCCTTTTGGTTGTGAGGCAGCATGAACAGGAAAGCTCTCAGCAGAATACAAAGGACTGTTCAAAGAGGGAAGAGGAAACTCATGTTATTTACCAAACACTGTGGTAAGCATCCCATATTTCTTATGTGTTATTCCTCATGAGCCTCACCCATCCTTCTGACACAGGGGTTGGATCATTCATTTTACAGTTGAGAAAACTGAGACACACAGAAGTTAAGCAGCCTGCTGCACGTCACACAACTAGTTAGGGGAAGAGCTGGAAAGTTACTCCTAAGTTACCTAAGGAACAGCAAGGGACATTAGAATTTCAGTGAACTTTCTGGAAGGAATCATAACATGTGAGCAATGAGGTTAAAAAAGTGAGCCTAAGATTAAAAAGCAGAAGCCATGAAGAAATGCACTGGGCAAATAATATTGACTTCTCTGTGCCTGTCCCAGTGCCTCATATGGTAAGAAATAAAAGGTTGCTCTTAAGGTCCTTAAAATTTGTCCTGTCAAACTAAGCATTAAATAATTCCCAGATCACTGCTGCCTTTTTGTTTCCAAAATGTAGGGGCTGGATGGAGAGGAGGAATAAGGTGGCAGGCCCTAACTACAGCTGCACAGATTAGGTGGCTCTCTCCCCAAGGAAGGCAAGGGCACCCCATGTCCATTCCTTCAAGAGCTGAGTCTTTTTCCTAGCTTCAATATCCTCAAATGTAAAATGGTTCTGGTATCTACCTCAAAAGAGTATTGTGTTTGTAAATTAAATAGCTCTATATAGTTATACAAATAACAAATAACCTGTAGGACTTGATAAGTCACCAACTCATGATGATTAATGTAATGGATCACTGATAAAACTGTTATAAATTACAAGACATTAATGGCCATTACATGGATATTAGGTCTGGAGTCTCAGAGCTGGAAAATACCAGAAATCTCCAAATAAGCCTTCCTCAGCTCATCAACATCCCTGCCAGGTGGTGTTATTCTGATTACAAATTATTCCTTAGTTTTAATTCATAAATCCTCTAAGGAAAAGAAAACATGATATTCTCATGCCTTGTGCTTCAAGGAGCTTAGTACTTGACTGTGGCTCCAGGTTTGTACATATTCCACGTTCCTGCTCCTTAAAAGACCCCAGAGCCATAACAGAAAACTGCCAGTATCTGCTGTGGTCACCACTGAAGTAGAAACATAGCCAGCCAGGGTCCTTGCTGGGAAATATTCGGGAAATCTTAGGTGTACGTTGTTCTCTTGCCAAATCAAGTCGGGTCTCCATGACACAGAGTGGAAGGAAGAAGGGGAAAGGCCACAGGGACACTGGCCAACTGTGAGGCCCCATTAAATAAATGTTGCATTCTGCTCTGAATTTCACTACCAGTTGTGCAGTTCAGGACTGTGGCCTACCACCTCCCAGATGCACAGCATAGGCCAATGATGGGGCACTCTCTTCACATTCTAAGCAGGACACCAGGACACCACCACCCTGCCACTAGTAATTTGTTCCCTAATAAGTCTCCGTTTACCTTCATTCAAGGACTCGAAGACCAAAGTTATAAAAATAGTAACCAATAAAATTCCACGACCTCAATACTAATCACTCTTTACTCCCATCCACATCCTCCCATTTGACCTGACATTGAGGTGGATATATTTGTTCCTTTAGTTCTTGCCCTAATATAAGGTAAATGCTCAGAGTAAACTGCCAGATATCTACTGAACCAACCGGTATCAGGTCCCTGCCTAAGATAACAAGGGCATCCTTCAAAGGGGGAAGTGGGAGGGCCAAGGATATCCCTTATAACAGCCCTCCCCATGGTCCATCTCCCTCTAGCACAAACACCAATTGAGCTGGTTTGGGGGAAAGAATAAAATATCAAGGTCTTCTGAATCAGCACACCAATCAGCCCAAGCAAAAAAGAATGACATAGAGCCTTTATTAAACTGGTTCTGAGGTATGTGGGACTAGCCTGGCTGGCTGACCAGGCTTCTTGAGCCCCACAGGCCTCTTTCACAGAAAGGGAGTTTGGATCAACAAGACCATGTACAAAAGGGGGATAATATACCTACGTGAGGAGCCAAGTTTCCATGTTGATGGTAAATGGAAAAACTTTTGAGTCAGAGCTGAGCTCTGGGACAAAAAGGGAAAAGAAGAGGGATGAAGGGAAGGGGCCCAATTCCTCTTGACTGATTCTAAAGCTCATAGGGGGATTCCAACTCACAGCTAGCCCTCTGTACTAAGGAACCAGACGAATCTTGACCTCCCAGGGAACCTAGACCTGGGAAGGCTGAACTTGCTATTTGAGGGTCAAGTCTACTCCCTGAAGGTGGAGTGCTGGATATTTTGATGGGGACAAGGAGGGACAATAGATCAACCTCAGCAAAGGCTGGTAAGCCTGGGCAAGGTTCCACAGGGATGGATCTTCCTAAGGGGTGGGGGGGCTTCCCAGTTCCTAGAAAATGGCGGTGCGCGCAGACTGCCTCCCTCCTCTTCATTGTAGCTTGATCCTGCGCAGTGACCGTTCCTATAAAAGAAAAAAAAAAATCAGAAGAAACTTGATACATAGGAAGACAAAACAGCAGAGAAATAAGACAAAGTTAAAATCACAAAATGTAATTGGCAGCACATCTGTTTTCCAAAGATATTTACATAATTACTCCCATTCTCACAAGAATTCTGGATTAGGGCATTATGATTGTGTCACTTTCCAGTTGAGCGGGCATGCCCACAAAGGGTAAAGTGTCTTTCCCATGATCACACAGCTTAGATGGAAGACTTGGGACTTGACAAGGGGAACTTCTGACCCCAGATCTGGGTTCCACCAGCCCCAACCCTTCATCAGTTACCATAGGGAGGGAAGGGAGAAATGGGAGCGAGGCGGCAGCGAGCCCAGGAGGAAAATACCCACACGGAAAGAGTCAGGCCTGGGAGGGGCCGGACCGGGGCACAAATGCTGGAGGTTTCAGAGATGGGCTGGCGCTGGCGAAGGCAGGTCTGCCAGTGACGTATTTGTCCTGTGGGTCCTGGGCTCTTTCGTGGCACGCAGGGCACTCTCCTTCCTGGGATGGGAGAATGGAATTCTTCTTCCGTGAGAGAGAAAATACGGAGGTGAAGAAGAGCAGAATGGGCGAGTACCAGACTGCAGCTGCAGCCAAGCCAGGGAAGAGGCTAAAGAGGGTCCTCGGCGGCTCCCGCAGGACATTCCCTCCCCAGCCGGTCGGGAAGCTCCACACCTAGGCGAGGACGGGCAGCAGCGGCCCTGGGAAGGCTTCCGTGGAAACTTCCAAAACCACCTTGCCAGGTAAGTGAAAGTGCGCTCCGTTCTCTAGCCACATCCTAGGCCAAGTAAGTTCTTCTTCATTCTTTCAGCAGTCCTGATCTTCTTGGGGAGCACCCCTAAATCAGCCTGTCAAGAAGGAAGGCAGGCTACGGGTATCTTCCAGGAACAGATGAAGGTTGCGAAATAACTGCCAACTGTCTTCTGCTCTGGCAGTTATCCCGTTAGCCACGCCCATCGCCCCACCCTTCTGGCAGGCCTCCTCCAATCAGAGGCCCTGCCCCACCCAGGGAGAAGCCCTGGGCCTTCCAGAAAGTTCCACAGCCTCTGATTGGTCCTAGACCAGCTTTCCTGGGTGGGAGTGGGGGCAGGGGACTCCTGGAGTCCATGCAGTATGCAGAGGGCGGGGGCTTGGAGGAAAGTCGTTGATGATGAGCACTGCCTGTTGGGGCTAAGGGAGGTGGGGCCTTCCAGAATTTAGGTGGGCCATGGCCTGGCTTCTGAGAGGACAGGCCCGACAGAGTTAGGGCTGTGCTGGTACTGTCTCCTGCTCTCTACTTAACAGGCCTTTGAACCCTGGGTGCCTGTGATCCTGGAGTCTTTTCATTTTACCCCAGTGGAAAGCACCACCCAGAAGGCACTTGTTTTGAGGTCTCACAAGAGTTAAGAGTACGACTGCAAATAGACCCCCCCAGTGCCATCCTATGACTTTTTCCCACCAACCAAAGGCCTGGCACTAGAGAGAAAATGCTTGAACAGACTCAGTCAGCTCCTAGGGACCCAAAGTCCTAACTGGAGGGTTTGCTACAACACCCTACTTTTCTTCCCCCGGCTAATCAGCAGTGCCTGGAAAACCCAGGCTCTGCTTCAAAGCCTCAGCATCAAGGGTCCGGCCAATGGGAGAAAGTTGCTGAGCAGATGAGAATGCTCTTGGCCAATGGAAGAGAATGCCTTAAAGGCCAATTGGGGGATGCCCATATATTTATATTTATTGGGCAAGTGTTTTGAAAGACCTTGTTCTGAAAAGTTCAAATGTACCATTATATTTGAGCCTCCCATATCCCTTTTTAAAAAATTGATATAAAATTAATGTAGCATAGAATTAACAGTATTTAGTGTACAATTTAGTGGCTTTCAGTTCAATCATAAAATTGTGCAATCATTATCACTAACCCTATTGCAGAATATTTTTATCACCCTCAAAAGAAGCTCCATACACACTGGTATGGTTTAGATCTGTGTCCTGCCCAAATCTCTTGTCAAATAATAATCTCCACTGTTGGAGGTGGGGCCTAGTGGGAGGTGATTGGATCATAGGGGTGACTTCTTATGGTTTAATACCATCCTCCTTGATGCTGTCATGGCAATAATGAATTCTCCTGATATCTGGTTGTTTAAAAGTGTGTGGCACCTCCCTCCTCCCTCTCTTTCTCCTGCTCTGGCCATAGGAAGTGCTTTCTCCCCCTTTGCCTTCTACCATGACTGGAAGTGTCCTGAGGCCTCCCCAGAAGCAGAAACTGCTATGTATGCTTTCTGTACAGCCTGTGGAACTGTGAGCCAATTAAACCTTTTTTTGTTTGTTTGTTTTTGAAACAAGGTCTCATTCTGTCACCCAGGCTGGAGTGCAGCAGAAACTTCTTTATAAATCACCCAGTCTCAAGTATTTCTTTATAGCAGTGATAGAACAGACTAACGCATTCATTAAGCAGCCACTCCCCGTTCTGCCCTCCCTTCATCCTCTGATTGGCTTTCTGTTTCAATGCATTTGCCCGTTCTGGGCATTTCATGTAAACGGAGTCATACAATAGGTAACCTTTTGTGTTTGGCTTCTTTCAATTAGCATAATATTTTCAAGGCTCATGAGTATCATAGCCTGTGCCAGTTCTTCATTATTGGTAAGGTTTATATTCCACTGCATGAATATACCATATATTGTGTATCCAATTGATGGACATTTGGATTGTTTCTACTTTTTGACTGTTAGGAATAATTCTGCTGTGGACATTGTGTACACCTGTTTTTGTTTGGACATGTTTCCAGTTCTGCTGGATATGTACCTAGGAGTAGAATTGCGGGGTCATGTGGTAATCCTATATTTAGATTTTTGAGGAACTGCCAAAATGCTTCCCACAGTGGCTGAACCATTTTGTGTTTCTACCAGCAATACATAAGGGTTCTGATCTCTCCACATCCTTGTCAACACTTGTTTTCTTTTTGTTGTGATTGTTAAATTCTAGCTATCCTAGTAGGTGTGAAGTGTTATCTCATTATGGTTTTGATTTGCATTTCCCTTATTACTAAAGATTCTGAATATCCTTTTATGTATTTATTGGTTATATTTTCTTGGTACATCTTTTAAGAGAAATATCTGTTCTAGTCCTTTGACAATTTAAAAAAAATGATTTCTGTATCTTTTTGGCTTGTTACTGAATTTTGGTTTGTTGTCAAATTTTAAGAGTTCTTTATATATTCACAGTCCTAGACCTGGCTTTGTCTATTTGTGATGCTGTAACAAAGTGTCATAGACTGGATGGCTTAGAAACAACAGAAATTTATTTCTCACAATTTTGGTGACTGGGAAGTTAAAAGATCAAGGTGCCAGCAGATTCAGTGTCTAGTGAAGGCCTACTTCCTGGTTCATACATGGCCATCTTGCAGTATGTCCTATATACTTTATTAAAGTATATACTTAGGTTATGTGGTGGAAGTAACAAGGAAGTTCTCTCAGGCCTCTTTTATAAGGGTGCTAATCCCATTCATAAGGGCTCTGCCTCGTGAATTTGGGGGAAGTATTTAGTTCATAGGAAGTTTCTCACAGGATATATGATTAGCAAATAATTTCCCTCAGTTTGTTGGTTATTTTTCCACTTGATAGTGTTCAATGCACTAAGGTTTCAATTTTGACGAAGCCCAATTTATTATTTTTCCTTTTGTTGCTTGTGTTTTTGGTATCCTATCTAAGGATCTATTGCCAAATCCAAGATTATGAAGATTTGTTTTCTTAAATAAGAGTTATAGTTTTAGCACTTAACGTTTGGTCTTTTATGAGTTTTAATTAATTTTTGTACATGTTGTGAGTGGAGGTCCAAATTGATTCTTTTATATGTGCTTTTCCAGCTGTCTCCCAGCACAATTTGTTGAAAATAGAATTCTTTCTCTACTGAATGGTCTTGAGACCTTTGGAGAAAATCAATTAACCATAAGTATATGAGTTTATTTCTGGACCCTAAATTTGATTCCATTGAGCTATGTTTCTATGCTTGTATGTATTCATAAGTCAGTTGGTAGTTCGTGTCTTCCTAGGAATTTGTCTATTTCATTTAGGTTATCTAATTTGTTGGTATATAATTGCTCATATGATTTCTTTATAACCCCATTTATTTCTGTAAAGTCAATGTAATGTCCTCTCTTTCATTACTGATTTTAGTAATTTGAGTCCTCTTTTTTCTCTTGGTAAGTCTAAAGTTTTGATTTTGTTAATTTTGTTTATTTTTTTTAAATAACCAATTTTTGTGCTTGTTCATTTTCTCTATTGTTTTTCTTTTCTCTATGTCATTTATGTACACTTTACGCTTTATTATTTCCTTTATTATGTTTGCTTTGAATTTAGCTTTTTCTTTTTTCTAGTTTATTATATACTTAGGTTATTGATTTGAGATATTTTTTTTTTTTAATGTGGATGTTTCCAATGAAAAATTTTCATCTAAATACTGCTTTTGTTGTATCCATACATTTTGGTATGCTTTTGTTTTGTTTTGATTTATATCGGAGAATTTTCAAGTGTCTCATGATTTATTATTTGAGCCATTGGATTGGTTAAGAATTTGTTTGATTTCTACACATTTGTGACTTTCCAAATTTCCTCTCATTATTGATTTCTAATTTTATTCCGTTGTGATTGAAGAAGATACTTTATATAATTTTATTTTTTATGCTTACTGAGACTTCTTTTGTTGCCAAACTTATGGTCTGTACTGGACAATGTTCCATGTGGATTTCAGAAGAACATATACTGTTCAATTGAGTGTTTTATAGATGTCTATTAGGTCCAGTTATTTTATAGTGTTGTTCAAGCCTTCTATTTCCTTGATCATCTCCTGTCTAGTTATTGCAGCCATTATTAAAAGTGATATACTGAGGTATCCAAGTATTATTGTTGAATTGTCTGTTTCTCCCTCCAACTTAACAGCTGTTATTTCATATATTTGGGGCTCTGTTGTTAGGTACATATAATGTATAGTTGTTATATCTTCTTTCTTGTACTTTTTAGGGGAACATTATATATTTTTGAATTAAGTTAGTTTCATTCCTCACTGTTTAGAGATACAATGTTTCTAGCCATATATTGTCCTCTGATTACTGTTTTAAACATATCTTATAGATAGGATATCTAGTGGTTTAATTGTCTTTTTTTCAGAATCCTTTAATTCTTGTTTGTATCTTAATTATCACTCAATTGTTTAACAATAGATTGTTTTAAAGTTCCAATTGGAAAGGCATCTTTTAAAATATTTTTTGATGCAAAAATCTTCTCTTAACAGTTTTAATGAGATATAATTGGCATATAATAAACTTCATATATTCAAGATGTACAATTTGATGAATTCCGACATTTATAAAAACCAATGAAATCATCATCATGATCAAGATAATGAACATACCAAAAAAAAATTTGTGTCCCATTGTAATCTAGCTCTCAACCTTGTTCCCCACAAGCAACCACTCACCTGCTTTGTCACTGTGGGTTAGTTTGCACTGCATAGAATTTAATATAAATGGAATCATACAGTATGTACTCAATTTTTTATGAATTATTTCACTCAGCATAATAGTTTTGAGATTTAAACAAGAATTTTAGTGTTAATTTCTTTTTATTGTTGAATAGAATTCTATCATATGGATATACAATAATTTGTTTATCTAGTCACCTGATGATGACATTTCTGTTGTTTCCAATGTTTAGCTAATACAAATAAAGCTGCTAGGAAACTTGGAGGACATTTGTATGAACATATGCTTTTATTCCCTTGGATAAATATTTAGGAGTTGAATGACTCTATCATATGATAAGTGTATGTTTAACTTTTTAGAAACTACCAGCCAGGTGCAGTGGTGCACTACTGTAATCTCAGCTACTCAAGGTGCTGAAGAGGGTCCCCTTGAGCCCAAGAGTTTGAGGCCAGCTTGAGTAACATAGCAAGACCCCATCTCAAAAAAAAAAAAAGAAAAAAGGAAAGAAACTACCAAATTGTTTTCCAAAGTGATTGTACACTTTAATTCTCAAGAGCAATATGTGAGAGTTTTTAGTTCCTCCAAATCCTTATCAATATTTGACAAAGTTAGTTTTCTAAATTTAAGTCATTCTGAAATGTGTGTAGTGGTATCTCATTGTGGTTTTAGTTTGCATTTTTCTAATGACTATGAATGTTGAGTGTTTTTTCATGTGCTTATTGCTACCTGTACAATTTCTCTGGTAAACTATACATTCAAATCTTTTGCCCATTTTCTTATTGGTTTGTATTGCTATTTACTTATTGAGTTTTGAAAGTTTTTATATGTGTTACATACAAGTCCTTTGTTAGATATATGTATTTTGCAAATATTTTCTCCTAGCCTTTAGCTTGTATTCTCATTCTCTTAAGAGACAAAGAAGATTATTATATAATGATAAAAGAGTCAATCCACAAGGAATATTATAACAATTATAAATATATATGCACCCAACATTAGAGCTCCTAAATATATAAAGTAAACATTAACAGAACTAAAGGGAGAAATATATAGCAATGCAATAATAGTAGGAGGCTCCAACACCCCACTTTCAATAGTGGACACAACATCCAGAGAGAAGATTAGTAAGGAAACAGAGAACTTGAATAACACTATAAACCAAATGGAGCTAACAGACATATACTGAATATTTCACCCAATAGCAGCATAGGGATCTTTCATCAAGATAGATCACATAGTAGGTTGCAAAACAAGTCTTAACTATTTTAATAGGGTTAAAATTATATCAGATATCTTTTCTGACCACAATGGCATGAAGCTAGAAACCAATAGCAGAAAGAAAACTGAAAAATGCACAAATGTATATAAATTAAATACATTCTTGAACAATCATTGAGTCAAGGAAAAAAATTGAAAAGAACATTATAAAATACCTTGAGAAAAACAAAAATGAAAAAAACATATAAAACTTAGAGACGCAGCAAAAGCCGTACTTAGAAGGAATTTCATAGGAAGAAACATCTACATTAAAAAAGAAAACAGATCTCAAATAAACAACCTAACTTTATTCCTCAAGGAATCAGAGAAAGAACAACAAACTAAGCCCAAAGTTAGCAGAAGGAAGGAAACAACAATGATTAGAGCAGAAATAAATGAAACAGAAAATATAAAAGCAATAGAAAAACGTCAACAAAACTAAGATCTGTATTTTTGGAACGATAAGCAAAATGTTTACAAATGGACAATAGCTTAGAATAAGAAAAACAGATAAAAACTAAAATAACGTCATAAATGAAAGAAGGGTCATTAGAACTAGTGCCACAGAAATTTAAAAAGATCATAAGAGACTTCTGGGAACAATTATATACCAACACACTGGATAGCCCAGAAGAAATGGATACATTCCTAGAAACATACAACCTACCATGATTAAATCATAAAGAAACTGAAAGCCTGCACAGACCTGTAAGTAGTACAGCGATTGAATTAGTCATCAAAAACCTCCTAACAAAGAAAAGCTCAAGACCAGATGACTTAACTGGTGAATTCTACCAAACATTTAAAGAAAAACTAACACTAAACCTTCTCAAACTCTTTCAAGAAGTTGAAGAGTGGGGAATACTTCCAAACTCATTTTAAGATGCCAGCATTATCCTGATACTAAAACCAGACAAAGAGACCACAAGAAAAGAAAACTACAGGCCAGTATCCAGTATCCCTGAGGGATATATATGCAAAAATCCTCAATATACTATCAGCAAACTGAATCCAATAGCATATTATAAAAATCATACATTATGACCAAGTGGTATTTATCCTGAAATGAAAGGTGATTCAACATACAAAAATTAATGTGATATACCACATTAAGAGAATAAAAGATTAAAATTACATGATTGTCACAATAGATGTGGGAAAAGTGTTTGGCAAAGTTCAACACTCTGTCATGATAAAAATTCTCAACAAACTAGAAATAGAAGGAAACTACGTCACCATAATAGAGGTCATATATGAAAACTTCACAGCTAACACCATACTCAATGGTGAAAAACTAAAAACTTTTCCTGTAAGATTAGCACCAAGGCAAAGATGCCCACTCTTGCCACTTCTATTCAACATAGTATTGGATGTGCTACCCAAAGCAATTAGGCAAGAAAAAGAAAGAAAAGGTATCCAATTTGGAAAGCAAGACATAAAATTATCCCTCTTGCAGATGGCTTAATCTTATATATAGAAAACTCTAAAGACTCCATTAAAAAAACTATGAGAACTGGCCAGCCACAGTGGCTCACACCTGTAATCCCAGCACTTTGGGAGGCTGAACTAATAAATAGATTCAGTAAAGTTGTAGAATACAAAAATAACAACAAAAATCAATTGTGTTTCTATATACCAAAAACAAACTATCTGAAGAGGAAATTAGGAAAACAATCCCATGCACAATAACACCACAAAGAATAAAAATACCTAGGAATAAACATAACCAAGGAGGTAAAAGACTTGTATAATAAAAATGGCTGATTTCAAAATATTTTACATTACAAAGTTATGATAATCAAAACAATATAATGCCAGCATAAAAACAGACATATAGACCAATGAAACAAAATAGCGAGCCCAGAAATAAGTCCGCTCATAAATGCTCAACTGATCATCCACAAAGGAGTGCCAAAACTACACAATGGGTGAAAGAATCTCTTCAAGAAATGATTATGGAAAACTGGATATTCACATGCAAAGAAATAAAACTGGACCCTTATCTTACACCACCCACAAAAACCAAAATTGATTAAAGATTTAATTGTAAGACTGAAGTTGTAAAACACCTACAAAAAGCATAGAAGAAAAGCTTCATGACTTAGTCTTGGCAATGATTTTATGGATATGACAGAAAAGCACAGGCAATAAAAACAAAAATAAATAAGTGAGACTACATTAGACTAAGAAGCTTCTGCACAGGAAGTCATTGATAAAGTGAAAAGACAAACTACAAAACAGAAGAAAATATTTGCAAGCTTTATATCTGATAAGGGGTTAATCTCCAAAATATGTAAGGAACTCCTACAACTCAATAGGCAAAAAACAAACTATTAACCTGATAGTTAGGTTACTAAACATCAACGTTCAACATCAATAAACATCAAGGAAATGTAAGTCAAAACCACAATGAGCTAACATCTCACACTTCTCAGGATGGCTATTATCAGAAAAACCAAAGTGTTGAAGAGGATGTGGAAAAACTGGAATCCTTGTACATTGTTGGTGAGAATGCAAAATGTTGCAGCTGCTATAGAAAACAGTATAGAAGAAGATCCTCAAAAAAATAAATAGTAGGATTATCATATGATCTAGCTATTCCATTTCTGGGTATTTATCCAAGAGAATTAAAATCAGGATATCAAAGAGGTATTAGCATTCCTCTACTCATTACAGCATTATTCACAAAAGCCAACATGTGGAAGCAACCTAAATGTCCATAGACGGATAGATGAATAAAGAAAACATGGTATATACATATGATGGAATAATATTCAGCCTTAAAAAGGAAGGAAATTATGTAATGTGTGACAACATAGATGAATCTTGAGGACATTATGCTAAGTGAAATAAACCAGTGATATGATTTGGCTGTGTCCCCACCCAAATCTCATCTTGAATTGTAATCCCCATAATCCCCACATGTCTAGGGACAGACCTGGTCGGAAGTGATTGGATCCTGGGGGCAGTTTCCCCCATGCTATTCTCGTGAGAGTGAGTGAGTTTTCATGAGATCTGATGGCTATAAGGCAGTTTTCCCTGCTCTTGCTCACACTTCTCTCTCCTGTCACCATGTGAAGAAGATCCTTGCTTCCCCTTCACCTTCTGCCATGATTTTAAGTTTCTTGAGGCCTCCCCAGCCATGTGGAACTGTGAGTCAATTAAACCTCCTCCTTTTATAAATTATCTAGTCTCAGGTATTTTTTTTATAGTACTGTGAAAATGGACTAATGCAGCCAGTCACAGAAAGACTGCATGATTCCACTTATATGAGCTCTCTGGTGGTTGCCAGAGAATAGGAGGAGGAGGAAATGGAGAGTTACTAATCACCAGGAATAAAGTTTCAGTCAAGCAAGATAAATAAGCTGTAGAGATCTGCTTTATCACATTGTTCCTATAATCAGCAACAACGTGTTGTACACTTAAAAATTTGTTCAGAGGATAGATCGCATGTTAAGTGTTCTTTCAACAATAAAATAAAATAGTTTGATCAAGGTTGCAAAATGTATGTTTGTACAGATTTACAGGTTTTAAAAATGGTATTCAAATACATGATAATTAATATACAGGAAAAAGAGTGTATTTTGAAGAAAAGAAGTTTTTAATTTTGATGAATCCCAATTTACCAATTTGTTCTTTTATATGGGTCATGATTTTGGTATCATCCCTAAGAAATCTTTGCCTGATCTCCACAGTTGTAAATGTTTTTTCTTAAGAAGTTTTATGCTTTCAGATTCTACATTTAGATCATTTAGATCTGCTCTCTCTCTGTCTCTCTCTATATATATATAAATAAATATAAACACACACACACATATATATAGCAGATCAAAATTATATACGTATATATACTTTTTTTTTTTCTGTCACCCAGGCTGGAGTGCAGCGGTACGATCTTTGCTTACTGCAACCTCTGCCTCCCGGGTTCAAGTGATTCTCTTGCCTCAGCCTCCTGAGTAGCTGGGACTACAGGTGTGCACCACCTTGCCCAGCTAATTTTTGTATTTTTTAGTAGAGATGGGGTTTCACCATGTTGGCCAGGCTGGTCTCAAACTTCTGGCCTCAATTGACCTGCCCACCTCAGCCTCCCAAAAAGCTGGGATTACAGGTGTGAGCCACTCTGCCCAGCCTAGATCTGCAATATATTTTGAGTTAATTTTTGTATATGGTACAAGGTATGGATGGAATTTTTTTTGCACATTCTGTTGGAAAAGGTAGATATCCACATGCAAAAGAAGGAAGTTGTAGCTTTATGACCATGAATGGATGTATTTCTGGGCTCTATTTTGTTTCACTGGGCTATATGTCAGTTTTTATGTTAGTATCATATTTTGTAATTTGTTACAGAACCATTTGTTGAAAGCTGTATCTCTTCTCCACTAAATTATCATTGAACCTTTGTCAAAAGCCAGTTGTCCATATCTGTGAGGGCCTATTTCTAGACTTCTTATTTATTTCATTGATTTATTTGCCCATTTTTATGCTAATTTCACACTGTCTTGATTACTCTAGATGGTTAGGCTTTGTGTCTCCACCCAAATCTCATCTTGAATTGTAATCCCTGTAATTCCCATAATCCCCATGTGTCAAGGGAGGGACCAGGTGGAGGTAATTGAATCACGGAGGCAGTTCCCCCATGCTGTTCTCATGATAGTGAGTTATCATGAGATCTAATGATTTTATGAGGGCCCCTTCCCCCTTCACTGGGCATTTCTCCTTCCTGCCATGCTGTGAAGAAGGTGCCTTGCTTCCCCTTCTGCCATGATTGCAAGTTTCCTGAGGTCTTCCCAGCCATGTGGAACTGTGAGTCAATTAAACCTCTTTCCTTTATAAATTACCCAGTCTTGGGTATTTCTTTATAGCAATGTGAGAACAGACTAACACACTAACTTTATATTAAGTCTTGAAATCAAGTAACATTAATCCTCCAAATTTGTTCTGCTTTTTCAAAGTTATTTTGGCTGTTCTAGGTCCTTTGATTTCCATATTGATTTTAAGATCAGCTTGCCATTAAAAAAAAAAAAAAGCCTGCTGAAATTTTGATTGGGGTTGCATTAAATCTAATTGTAAATTTGGGAATTTACAGCTTAATAATATTGAGTCTTAATTATAAATATGGTCTATTTATGTCTATTTTAAGTTATCTCATCAATAATTTATATATTTCAATTTTCAGATCTTGCACATCTTTTGTCAGATTTATTCATAAATAGTTCATATTTCTGATGCAATTAGAAATGGCATTTTAAAAATTTCAATTTCCTATCATTTTTTACTAATACACAGAAATACAATTGATTTTTGAATATGACCTTGTATTACACAACATTGCTAAAATCATGTATTACTTCTAGTAATTCTTATTGTGGATTCCATAGGAATCCACTCTATTCCATTGGATTTTCTATATAGACAATCATGTCTTCTGTGAATAAAGACAGTTTTACTTCTTCCTTTCAAACCTGGATGCTTTATATTTTATTTCCTAGCCTTATGGCTCTAGCTACAACTTGCAGTAAATATTGAATAGAAATAGTAACAGCAGACCTCCTTATTTGTTCCTCTTCTTGGGGGAAAGCATTCAGTCTTTCATCATTAAGTATGATATTATTTGTAGGCTTTTAAAAGACACTATGAGATTGAGGAAGTTTCCTTCCATTCCTAGTTTCCTGAAAGTTTTTTTTTTTATCAGAAATTGATATTCAATTTTTAAAATGCTTTCTCTGTGTCTGCAAAGATGATCACATGCTTTTTGTTTCCTAATATGGTAAACTTTATTGATCAAGTTTTAAAAATGTTGAACCAACCTTGAATTCCTGGGATAAATCTCACTTGTCTTGACATATTATTCTTTTAATATTTTGTTGTATTGATTTGCTAAAATTTTGTTAAGAATATTTATATCTGTATTTATGAGGGATATTGGTCTTTAGTTTTCTTTGCTTATAATATCTTTGTCTGGTTTCGATATCAAGGTGACAGTTGTCTTATCAAATGACTTTGCAAGTACTCCCTTCTCTTAACATCTGGAAGAGTTGGTGTTGCATTGGTATTAAGGCTTTCTTAAATGTTTGATAGAATTCATCAGTGAAGTTGCCTGGGTCTGAAGTTTTCCTGTTTTGAAGGTTTATGATTACAAGTTAAATTTCTTTTGTAGACATAGGACTGTTCAGGTTATCTATTTCTTCTTACATAAAGTTTGGGAGTTTATGTCTTTCAATGAATTTACTCATTTGATCTAAGTTGTTAAATTTATTATAAAATTGTTCAAAAATATGTTTTTATTATCCTTTTAATGTCCATAGAATCAATAGTGATATCACCTCTCTTAGCTTTGGTATTGGAATTTGTGTTTTCTCTAATTTTTTTCTGATAGTGCTTTATTTATGTGAGACTATTATTCTTTTCTAATTAGGTGTCTAGTGCTATAAATTTCCCTCTGAGTAATACCTTAGCAGCATCCCACAAAGTTTGATAATTTTTTGTTCTCATTTTTATCCAGTTCAAAATACTTTATAATTTTCTTTTAAATTTCTCTTTTGACTCCTGGCTTATTTAGAAATATGTTATTTGGTTCACAAATATATGGGAATTTCAATAATCTTTTTGTTACTGATTTCTACATTAATTCCATTGTGTTATAAACTAATGTAAAATAACAATGTAAATAACATACTTTCCATGATATGAATTATCTTAAATGTATTAAAATTTGTTTTGGCTCAGAATATCTTGGTTTCACTTGAGAAGAATGCATATTCTGTTGTTTTTTGGATGCAGTGTTCTATACACGTCAATTAGTTCAACTTGTTTGATTGTGCTGTTCAAATCCTCTGTATTTTTACTGATTTTCTATTTGTTGTATCAGTTATTGAGGGAAGGGTATTAAGACTTTCAGCTATAATTGTGGATTCATCTATCCAGTCTTTGTTTAATGTATTTTGAAACTCTGTTGTTAGGCACGTGGACATTTAGGAGTTTATGTCCTTACAACTGATTAGTTATCATTTATCATTTGAAACTTACTAAATTACTTTCTTTATCCTTGGTAATATTCTTTGTTCTGAGATCGACTTTGTTTGATGTTAACAAACCACTCCAGTTTTTAAAGAATTAGTTTTAGCGTTGTATACCTTTTCCTATTCCTTTGTTTTATTTGTGTCTTTATATTTAAAGTGAGTTTTATGTCAGCAGCAATAGTGATGCTTGCTTTTTTTCTCAACTTTAATAATTTCTGCCTTTTAATTGGGGTGTTTAGATTCATGCAGTGTGGCCACATGCATTTACATGCAATGTGACTATTGATATGATTAGGTTTAAGTACATTGGCTTACAACCTGTTTTCTATTTGTCCCATATGTTCTTTATTTTCGATTTCCTCTTTTTTTTTGCTTTCTTTTGAATTCATTGAGCATTTTTTTTTTTTGTTAACTCCATGTTCTTTTCTTTGTTGGCTTATGATCTATAATACTTTGTTTTGCTATTTCAGTGGTTGCTTTAGGGTTTGCAGCATACTTCAACTTATGACAATATACCTTCAAGTAAATTTATACTACTTTATACCTAGTATAAGAGCCTTTTAATAGTGTATTCCATTTATCTCCCTCTGGCCTTTAAACTGTTTCTGTCATATATTTTACTTTAACATATATCATAAATTATACACTACAGTTATTTTTATTCTAAATGCAATTATCTTTTAAAGAGACTTAAATAAGAAAATCCTATACAGATGGTCTCTGAGTTAATGATGGTTCAACTCATGATTTTTGGATTTTATGGTTGTACAAAAACTATATGCATTCAGTAGAAAGCTCCACTCTCCTATGTGGCTGAGCAGCAGTAGCAAGCCACAGCTCCCAGTCAGCCACACAGTCAGGCAGATAAACAACCAATACTCCTACAGTGTATTGTGTTGCCAGATGATTTTGCCCAACTGTAGGCTAATGTTAAGTGTTTGGAGCATGTTTAAGGTAGGGTAAACTAAGCTATGATGTTCAGTAGTTTAGGTGTATGAAATGCATTTTTGACTTAAGATATTTTCAACTTACAATAGGTTTATGGAGATGCACTCCATCGTACATCAAGGAACATCTCTATATTTATCCACCTGGATACCATTTCCTGTGCTTTCATTTCTTTGGGTAGATTTGTATTTCAGTCTGCTATTATTTTCCCCTCTGCCTGAAAGACCTTCTTTAACATATCTTGTAGTGTGACTCTGCTGGCATGAATGCTTTCAGCTTTTGCATGTCTAAAGAATTCTTTATTTGCCTTCATTTTTGAATTCTACATTGACAGTTTACTTCTTTTAGTACCTTAAAGATGTTACTACACTGTCTCCTTGCTCTCATTGTTTCTGACTAGAAGCTGCTATCATCCTTATCTTTGTTGCTCTTTATGTAAGTTGTCTTTTTCTCTGTTGCTTTTAAGGTTTTCTGTTTATCACTAGTTTTGAGTAATTTTATGATTTGGCTTAGCACAGTTTTCACTGTGTTTCTTGTGTTTGGGGCTTTTGAGCTTCTTGGGTCTGTGCATTAATAGTTTTTATCAAATTCAGATTATTTTAGGCTACTACTTTTCTTCAAATTTTTTTTCTGTCTCTTTCTTGTCTTTTCTTTGGAGACTCCAATTACAGGTATGATAGGCAGCATGAAATTGTCCTATAACTTACTGATGCTGCTTTTATTTTGATTTTTATTGTTTCAGACATTAGAGACATTCTCTGTGTTTTATTTTAGATTGATTCTGTTGCTATCTTTAAGTTCAGTCATCTTTCTTTTTTCTAATGTCTAATCTGCCATTAATCCCATTCAATGTATTTTTCATGTAAAACATAGTAGTTTTCAGCTGTAGATGTTCAATTTAGAACTTTTAGACATCTTGTATGTCTCTATACCAACTTTTTTGAACATATGGATTACAATCATAACTGTTTCAACGTCCTTGCCTGCTAATTATAACACGTGTCCTGTTCTGGTTGGTTTTAATTGATTGATTTTTCTCCTCATTATGGGTTGTATTTTCCTGCCTCTTTCCATCCTT
This sequence comes from Homo sapiens, assembly GCF_000001405.40. NCBI lineage: Eukaryota > Metazoa > Chordata > Mammalia > Primates > Hominidae > Homo > Homo sapiens. The sequence goes on along the minus strand of NC_000006.12, from coordinate 40,363,495 downwards.
GGCAATTTTTTATTGGATGCCAGACATTATGAATTTTAATTTATTGGGTGTTGGTTATTTATATATTCCCTATAAATACTCTTGAGTTTTGTTTTGGAGTGCTGTTAAGTTACTTGGAAACAGTTAATCCTTTCATGTCTTGCTTTTAAGATTAGTTAGGTGGAATGATAGCAGCATTTAGTCTAGAGCATTCTGAGGTAAGATCTTCATGAGTACTTGACACAATTCTGCGTGAATTATGAGATTTTCCAGCTCAGCTATTCGGAATAGACACGATTCTTGGCCCTGTAAACGTACCTGGCAATGTTTCCTCTAATCCTTTCAGGTAAGTCTTTGTGTGGCTTTGAGTAGTTCCTTGCATGTATCTACTGATCTGCATTCCACTGAATACTTGAGGGAGACCCTCTGCCGCTCTCTTCTCTCCAGTACTCTGCCCTGTGAACTATGGCCATCCTGATCTTCTCA